>NC_000014.9:58399591-58702622 GCF_000001405.40 Homo sapiens
GAAGATCTTTCCCTTCTCCAAAAGTGATTTCAAATGTACTACTCTAGACCTGGTGTCCCAAGTTTCATCTGCCTACCAGACTCTGTCATCTGGACATTCTGTTGGCACCTCACCTTAGTGTGTCCCGAAGTAAATTCATCATCTCCCCCACCTTGCCACTGTGCCTACTCCTGTTTCCTTATGATGCTCCTGGTATCACTAGCCTCCCTGCTGTGACCCTGACTCATCTTGTTTAAATATCAACTTCATCCATCATAAACAATGACCAATTCTTATTTTCAAATGCTCTATTGCATATATATATATATATATATATATATATATATATATATATATATTCCACTTGTCTATTTCTATTACTTCCCTGCAACTAAAGGCTTTTATTACCTTTTACCCAGGTTATTGTAATAGTTTCCTAACTTGCCACCCTGCCTCTATTCTTATGCTGTTAGAGTAAATTTCTTCTAAATGGCAGCTCTGAATATGTAATTCCTTGCAGTAGCTCCCTACTCTGCAGATTAAAGACCAGCTTTGCTGGGTACAGTGGCTCACACTTGTAATCCCAGCACTTTGAGAGGCTGAGGTGGTTGGATCACCTGAGGTCAGGAGTTCAAGACCAGTCTGGCCAACATGGTGAAACCCCATCTCTACTAAAAATGCAAAATTAGCCAGGCATGGTGGCGCACGCCTATAGTCCCAGGTCCCTGGGAGGCTGAGGCAAGAGAATCGCTTGAACCTGGGAGACAGAGGTTGCAGTGAGCTGAAAGTTGCAGTGAGCCAAGATCACACCACTGCACTCCAGCCTGGGCAACAGAGTGAGACTCTGTCTCCAAAAAAAAAAAAAGAAAAAAAAAAAAACAGTCTCAGCTTGGCGCTATGCCTTTGATGGCTGCCTATTCCGATTGACTGCCTTATTTTCCTAGGGATTGGAAATAATATATGTAAAGTTCCTAGTTTATAGCTGGCCTTCAATAATGGTAATATTGTTGCTACATTTACCCTATTATGGCCGGCGCGGTGGCTCAGGCCTGTAATCCCAGCACTTTG
Source organism: Homo sapiens (assembly GCF_000001405.40). Lineage (NCBI taxonomy): Eukaryota > Metazoa > Chordata > Mammalia > Primates > Hominidae > Homo > Homo sapiens. The sequence continues at coordinate 58,400,639 of NC_000014.9, forward strand.
GGAGGCCGAGGTGGGTGGATCACGAGGTCAGGAGTTTGAGAGCAGCCTGACCAACATGGTGAAACCCCGTCTCTACTAAAAATACAAAAATTGGCTGGGCATAGTGGCGTGCACCTGTAATCCCAGCTACTCAGGAGGCTGAGGCAGGAGAATCACTTGAACCCGAGAGGCAGAGGTTGCAGTGAGTCAAGACTGCACCACTGCACTCCAGCTTGGGCAACAGAGCAAGACTCTGTCTCAAAAAACAAACAAACAAACATTTACCCTATCATAATCTAGCTAATTAAGTTCACTTGCTATGTTCCCTGCAATTTTGCGTTGCTTATACTTTCCTCATCAAACTTTCACTGAACCACATCTCAAACACTATCTTTTCTGAGAAGCCTTTGACAATTCTCCAACTAGATGTAATGTCTCTGTACTTTGAGCCCCAGAGGACATTGGACTTCGTCTTGTACCTACATGATCACTTTCCCTTTATTAGACTGTGGCTCCTTGGGGATGGGCACAGGGGTCTTGGTCTCCAATTCCTTCCAGCTTTTCCTTGAGTGTCCTGCCCTTGCCAGTGCTCACTAAACATCTATTGAGTAAAACCTCTGATGTTACTGATTATTAGTATATTTGATAATACAAGCTTAAAAGGTGACCCCTGGCTGGGCATGGTGGCTCACGCCTGTAATCCTAGCACTTTGGGAGGCCGAGGTGGGCGGATCACAAAGTCAGGAGATCGAGACCATCCTAGCTAACAAGGTGAAACCCCATCTCTACTAAAAATACAAGAATTAGCTGGGCGTGGTGATGGGCACCTATAGCCCCAGCTACTCGGGAGACTGAAGCAGGAGAATGGCGTGAACCTGGGAGGCGGAGCTTGCAGTGAGCTGAGATTGCACCACTGCACTCCAGCCTGGGCGACAGAGCAAGACTCTGTCTCAAAAAAAAAAAAAAAGGTGACCCCTTTCCAGGCTCATTGCATTTTAAAAAGAAAATTAGTGGGGGAAAACAAAAACAAAAACCTTACAGATTTGAAACACTGGAGCTGAAGTAACTGGCAGTGGAGTTGATATTTTGGGCTAGGCTTTGCACAGTGTACCTTGAAAGACCAACCCTAGGTGTAGTACCAATGATGATGCCATCTTGTGGCCATGGTCGCCTTCATGAACCAACCGCAGTAAACCAAAGCATCCTTCTGAACACTCACTCCCCTGCCAACCCCCAACCAGGTCCTTTGTCCCTTTCCTTTTGAGGGTGTGAGTACAGAAGGCTTAGCATAGTTTTTTGTTTCCCCGATTAGAGAGTTACTGCTACATGAACAGGTCTCACAACTAAAAGACCAAAATGACCTTGTAAGCCAGAGAAATCATGCAACCAAATCAACAGGCACTGTTAATATCCTGGGCAAGAAAATAATTTTGCAACATACAAAACTACCTTTGTTATATTAACTACAGTAGGATTTATGCTATATGTGGCTGGGTAAAATTTGGTATGAGAGTTATTTATTATAAGCATCTCAACCTAACAAATATTTCATGTTTTTTTAAAACACTTAAAATAATCCCATTTTAGAAAATTGGTTTAAATATTATAAAGAACAACTACATTTGTCATACTTTGGATTTAGAGACTAGGTTCAAGATGTCCTTTTTTTTTTCCTTTCTTTCTTTTTTGTGATGGAGTTTCACTCTTGTTGTCCAGGCTAGAGTGCAATGGTGTGATCTTGGCCCATTGCAACCTCTGCCTCCCAGGTTCAAGCAATTCTCCTGCCTCGGCCTCCTGAGTAGCTGGGATTACAGGCATGCACCACCACACCTGGCTAATTTTGTATTTTTAGTAGAGATGGGGTTTCTCCATGTTGGTCAGGCTGGTCTCGAACTCCCGACCTCAGGTGATCTGCCTGCCTCGGCCTCCCAAAGTGTTGGGATTACAGGTGTGAGCCACCGCATCTGGCCCAAGATGTCCTTTTTAAATAAAAAATAATTTGATCAGTAGCCATATACCTTACCTTCATTACTCATTGTTGAATATTTTATGAATATTTTAGTTGTGGGATCCAACGAAGAATAAAAAGTTGCAAGAACTTTTCTTGCAAGAGGTACGGATGGGAGAACTTTGGTTATCTAGAGGTAAGAATGTAAATGTTCTTTTGTGAGTTATGACAGCTTATACTTGAGAAATATTTATTGATTAGTATTTGTATGTCAAATAACTAGCTGGATGTGTTAGCCAACTCCCCTCATTAAAGAAAAACTATCCCAGCATGTTCACTTCATCATACTGTACTCTTGAATTATGTTAGCATTTAGTGCTCAAGTCGTAGACTTGGAAGTGGGCAAACGGAGTAGCAAAGCCAAATACAAAAATACCTCATTTATTGTTATATAAAATTCTAAGTCAGTGAGTTTTCCAAGTGACTAAATGTTAAGAATAAAAACTTTTTGCCAGGTGTGGTGGCTCATACCTGTAATCCCAACACTTTGGGAGGCCAAGGCAAGAGGATTGCTTGAGGCCAACAGTTTGAGAACAGCCTGGGCAACAAAGCAAGACCCTGTCTCTACAAAAAACTTTAAAAATTAGTTGGGTACCATGGCATGTGCCTGTAGTCCCAGCTACTCAGAAGGCTGAGGTGAGAGGATCACTTGAGCCCAGGGGTTTGAGGTTGCAGTGAGCCATCATCTTGCCACTATACTCCAGCCTGGGAGACAGAGACTCTGTCTCAAGAAAACAAAACAACTTTAAAAAATTCTAACTGCTTTATAAAAATGTTCCTGCTTTCTTAGAATATTCTTAATACTTATTTACTTTGTTGATAAATTAATTCCCTATGAATGTCCATTCTTTTACTGTGTTTAGTGGAGTGATGCCTGTCGGGGCTACCTTACACTTAATGGTCATATTTTGAGTTATAATTTATTCCTACCGGCAGGGCACGGTGGCTAACGCCTGTAATCCCAGCACTTTGGGAGGCCGAGGTGGGCGGATCATGAGGTCAGGAGATTGAGACCATCCTGGCTAACACGGTGAAACCCTGTCTCTACTAAAAATACAAAAACTTAGCCGGGCATGGTGGTGGGCGCCTGTAGTCCCAGCTACTTGGGAGGCTGAGGCAGGAGAATGGTGTGAACCCGGGAGGCGGAGCTTGCAGTGAGCCGAGATCGCACGACTGCACTCCAGCCTGGGCGACAGAGCGAGACTCCGGCTCAAAAATTAAATAAATAAATAAATAAATAATTTATTCCTACCTAATTCCAGATGGATTTGAGAAAACTTCATAATATTGTCAGGCAAAATGATGGTAGATAATATTATTATTGTATAAATATTATAATCATAATGTCCTTATTCTGGTGTTAAACCCTGGAAAGGAAAATTTGTCTTGAGGTTTCTTAATTTAAGAAGTAACTGATATTGCTGGATAAATCAGCATTACACCCATCAGTACAATGTATATATACATATATATGTATATATATATATATATATATTTTTTTTTTTTTTTTTTTTTTTTTTTGGAGACGGAGTCTCGCTCTGTCGCCCAGGCTGGAGTGCAGTGGCGGGATCTCGGCTCACTGCAAGCTCCGCCTCCCGGGTTCACACCATTCTCCTGCCTCAGCCTCCCAAGTAGCTGGGACTACAGGCGCCCACCACTACGCCCGGCTAATTTTTTGTATTTTTAGTAGAGACGGGGTTTCACCGTTTTAGCCGGGATGGTCTCGATCTCCTGACCTCGTGATCCGCCCGCCTCGGCCTCCCAAAGTGCTGGGATTACAGGCGTGAGCCACCGCGCCCGGCCATATATTTTTTAAGTGTTACAAACTCCCTTGCATATCACAGTGCCTGTACCTGTTTTTGCCTTTCTGTTGTTGTTTTTTTTCAAAAGGTTTTTTTTTTTAATCTGTAAGGAGCATCCTCCAGGATTTATAAAAACAAAGAGGAAGTCAAAATCCTAGACAACTCACAGCAATGACGGAGATTTTTATTCAGTGGCTTAAAACCATTATAAAGGTTTTGAGAAATGAAAAAGTTGCAGGCATTCAAAATCACTGCACATTAATCACTGTAATTTGTATTTTAATTTTTCATTTAGTATTGATCTTTGCTTTCAGATGGAGTAATTTTTGAATGGACTAAAAATGCCTGCTAAATATTAACGATTTTTGCTTTTAGATGGAGTAATTTTTGAAATGGACTAAAAATACCTGCTAAATATTGATGACAAAATGTACAGTTAGAACTGACTTAAATGATTATAAACAGAAGTGACTTTACATAAACCAGTGAAGCTTATGTCTAAAGACTTTTATTTGCATAGGCCTCTAAGGCCCCCTAGCAATTTTTTTTTTTTTTTTTGAGATGGAGTTTCACTCTTGTTGCCCAGGCTGGAGTGCAATGGCGCCATCTCAGCCCATTGCAACCTCTGCCTTCCAGGTTCAAGCGATTCTCCGGCCTCAGCCTCCTAAGTAGCTGGGATTACAGGCGTGCACCACCACGCCCAGCTAATTTTGTATTCTTAGTAGACACAGGGTTTCACCATGTTGGTCAGGCTGGTCTCAAACTCCTGGCCTCAAGTGATCCACCCGCCTTGGCCTCCCAAAGTGCTGGGATTACAGGCATGAGCCACCGCGCCCAGCCACCCCTAGTAATTTTGTACTCATAATTTTATATTCTTTTTTGTAAACAAGGGCCCTCAAATTGTGGGAAAGAAAGTTCTGAATTATAAGTCAGAAGAAAAAAGATGATAACGTATTTTATCATCACATTTTATTCCTATTCACTGTATGCTTAAGAGCTATGATGTAATAGTTTAATTAGATTTAGAGGTGATCTGAACATAAGTTGCAAACTTGGGTTTTTAAATTTTAAACTGTGAAATTATTTAATAGCTTTTTTATTTTTTGGGGACAGTGTCTCACTCTGTCACCCACGCTGGAGTGCAGTGGCATGATCTTGGCTTAGCCTTCCGGGTTCAAGCAATTCTCGTGTCTCAGCCTCCCAAGTAGCTGGGATTATACAGGTGTGTGCCACCATGCCTGGCTAATTTTTCCATTTTTAGCAGAGACTGGGTTTTGCCATGTTGGCCAGGCTGGTCTCGAACTGACCTCAAGTGATTCGCCCTCCTCAGCCTCCCAAAGTGTTGGGATTACAGGCGTGAGCCACCACACCCACCCCCCTAATAGTTCTTTACAGAAGTTTTATACTTCCATATTTTACTTATATTGCAGTTCTCGGTCTTGGCTGCTTATTCTTTAATTCTTCATCAAACCCCAAACCAATTAAATCAGAATCTATGGGGCTGGAACCCAGGTGTCAATATTTTTTTTAAAAATCTCCCTGGGTTACTAAAACATTGAGAACCAACCAGTACAGTATTCTATCCAATGTGGCAATTTTTCACCCAGTTTTCTGCAGTCTTCTTAACTTTCTCCACTCCCCTTTGCTATCACCCACAATTTTCGTCATTTTCTGTCAGGTAAAATACAGTTCTGTAGCCATCTCAACGGTGGCTATATCTATATGAGACCATAGGGCCAATAATTTTGATTGAAATTTCTGAGTAGCTGGTATGATTGAATTTATTGGTTGGTTGAATTATTTGACCAAATTGATTGTTTTGTATTGTTAGCACCACCAATCTTCAGAACAGGCACCATTATATCTTATGTTGAAAATGTAAAATTAATGTATTTAAATCAGGACATATCCCTATTGTTCAAGCTTAATACAAATCTTTGGAAAGCATTTTTTTCTGTCACGCACTATTCTCTTCCTATAACCATGTATTTCAACTGATAAATGGAAAACTAGTTTCAGCTAATAAAAATCTATTATTATACTTACCTGTAGGGCCATATTTTATTTTCTACCTAGTTATATGAAGTATGTCAATATTTCAACTCCTGTGATTACCGAATACCTGAAAAGAGGCAGTACTCTAGTCTCAAGGGTCAGAAAATTAGATTATATTCCTAAGGCTAGCATTAATCAGCATTGAAACTATACATCATTTCACTGATCTTTGCCTGTTTCCTTAAAGTAAAACAAGGGAGTGGGATTAAAGTCATTCCATGTTCTAACTTAAACAGAAATCCTATGATTAATTTTCACTCTTCACATATTTTCATTTGTTGTTACTTCAAAGCCAATCATCCTAAAACTCACTTTAAAACTGTGCTTAGAAATCAGAGTTCATAAATCTCTTATTTTTTTCCCTGGGGTATGTAATTCATGTTACACTACATCTTGTTTCAACTCTTTGATAGTGAAATCTATTTTTTTTAAGTTCCATTTAGCTGGAACATCAGATGTTTCATCTATAATATTTTTTCAATCACACATGTAAAGATAACCTATCAGATATTAATAAAAGCAGACAACTGCTTACAAAAAACCTCAGTATCCTCTTCCCTCCATACCCAAATTATAGAACACGAGCATTTCCAATGCAAGAGTATACTTCTAAACAGTAAGAGTATACTTGCTGTAATTTGGCTCAAAATTAATATTGCCGCTTCACCACTGTGAAGCTCAACATCTTCCTCATATTTGTACTCTACTCTTCACAAGACTTGTCTAAGTAGTCTTTAGTTGGATATGCTTTTAATTTTTAATGCTTGTTGCTTTCTTGGATTTGTAGAATGTCTGTTTTAAAGAACTTCAAAATTTTGCTCAAAACTTGTCATTCTGTTTCAGGAGAGCACAGAATGGGGATTCAACACCTCGGCAATGCCCTTTTAGTGTGCGAGCAACCACGGGAACTTCTGAAAGTTTTCAAACACACTCTCCCTCCCAAGGTATTTGAGATGCTGTTGCACAAAATTCCCCTTATTTGCCAGGTGAGCACATATTTAATTATCTTTGTGAAATGTACACAGTAAATAGCTATGTTATGCTTGACTACACAGAAATATCAAAGTATGTGTGTGAATTGCCCAAAATCTTAAATAAGTGAAATCTCTGAATTTTTGGCTGCTTTAACACGAAGCAAGCCTATTCTTCATTTTCCTTTGACTATAATAAATTGTATATTTTCTTGTATTATCCGTATTTCAACAGTTCAATTTTAAAGCAGAACATTGCTTCTACTTCCATTAACATACAAAACATAGAAATCACTTTGGTAAATTTAAACATACAGGCTAATTAGCATTCTCTTAAATATAGGTTTAAAATGGTATCAAATGAAATCCATTCATAAGCCAGTTGATTAGTAAGTTTTAGTCCACTTCCATTTTACTAAACTGCTTGGTGTATGTATGCATCAACTAGAATTTCCTGCAAATGCTTGGATTCATTTCAGGATTCATTAGGCATAAGACATTAACTTTGGTTCCCTTTTTATCATTGGCAAGCCTTGGAATCTATCATATTTGACTGTCAGCTTTTGAACAAAACACAAACATGAACTCCATTACAGTATAACAGTCAACTCTTAAACATTCCCAAACTAGGGCAGATGGGATTGTTTCCTGAAGATATACGAAAATGTAGGTAAGATATGTGGCCAGGCGCGGTGGCTCACGCCTGTAATCCTAGCACTTTGGGAGGCTGAGGCAGGCGGATCACCTGAGGTCAGAAGTTCGAGACCAGCCTGGCCAATGTGGTGAAACCCCATTTCTACTAAAAATACAAAAGTTAGCCGGGCATGGTGGCACACACCTGTAATCCCAGCTACTTGGGAGGCTGAAGCAGCAGAATTGCTTGAACTGGGGAGGTGGAGGTTGCAGTGAGCTGAGATTGTGCCGTTGCACTCCATCCTGGGTGACGAAAGCAAAACTCCGTCTCAAAAAAAAAAAAAAAGAAAAGTATATGTAATGCCCACCCTGACACAAGGGAGGCAAGAAAAGGATCATGCATTGAAATGATTAGCAAGTAACTATTTTATGTATTCACCAGCAATTTGAGGCAGACATGAATGAACAGGACTGCTTGGAGGATGATCCTGATTGAAAAACATTTCAACGTATCCACAGTCCAGTGAGAATACTATGGTACCATACAGTATAAACAACTGCTCAGTGATATTTCCATTTATTTTACTTTGAGTAATAAAAATTTTTCTATCTCATACATGATCGAACACATAAGTTGCTTTAAAATTAACAGTCACAATTGAAGAAACAATGGTTTATTTTTCTAATCAAGTGACCAAGCTGCTGAATCATAAGGCCTCAACAAATGTTGCATCTTATTATTTCACTGAACAATAAGACCTTCTATTGTGATTATTCCTGGTAAATAGCAATTTTGTTTCTCCAGCGGTTTCCATTTGCCAAACAGTCATGACAGATGGTTGAACATGGTGGCTACTGCTTTCAGGGGATTCTATCAGATGAGTCCTCATTTCCAATAAAGCAGCTGTTGGCAATCTTTCATCAAAAGTTCATCCATCAGGACTTCTCTATCGTGGTTGGCCAAGGAGTCCTGCTTTGGCTGCCAGGGCTTCATTCTGCTGAATATGATATTCCTGAAATCTCATGGATATTCTTTGTGTCATTTTTAAATATTTCTGTAAGCAATGTTCTGAACAGGTGGTCTAGGAATGAAAAGGGAAGATCCAAGAGGCAACACAAAAATATGAATTTTTTAAAATGCATGTATTCTAAAAGAATCAGTGGGGTAGTTTGCTTTTCTTTGAATATATCTGAGAATTAAATAGTACTAATTGGCAGCAACTGACCATAGCTTTTAATTGATACTTTCATTCACTGACAAGCATTAATATATATTGAATGCCTGCCAGTTTGTAGTCACTAAGAGCAATGATAAGTCTCTGTTTTCAAAAAGCTTCTGGACTAGATTTTCTGCAAGTGTATTAAGTGAAAGCCCACATTCCTGTCTTCTTGTTTCGATTATTAAAATGTAGACCCAGTAGTAAGTTTGTTCCTTTTTAATGAGAAAACAACATTCTTAATTCTCAACCTTTTACTTATTTTAATTTTATTTATTTATTTATTTATTTTTGAGAGGGAGTCTCGCTGTGTCACCCAGGCTTGAGTGCAGTGGCGTGATCTCGGCTCACTGCAAGCTCCGCCTCCTGAGTTCACGCCATTCTCCTGCCTCAGCATCCCGAGTAGCTGGGACTACAGGTGCCTGCCACCATGCCTGGCTAATTTTTTGTATTTTTAGTAGAGACGGGGTTTCACTGTGTTAGCCAGGATGGTCTTGATCTCCTGACCTCGTGATCCGCCTGCCTCAGCCTCCCAATGTGCTGAAGTTCCAGGCGTGAGCCACCGCGCCCAGCCTATTTATTTATTTTTTTGAGACAGGTTCTCTCTCTGTTGCCCAGGGTGGAGTGCAGTGCCTCACTGTGGCCTCAACCTCCTGGGCTTAAGTGATCCTCCTACCTCAGCCCCTGGAGTAGCTGAGACTACAGGCACACACCACCACGCCTGGCTAATTTTTCATTTTATTTTTTAGTAGAGATGAGGGCTGGTGCTTTTTGTTGTTGTTGTTGTTGACAGGGTCTTGCTCTGTCGCCCAGGCTAGAGTGCAGTGGTGCAATCACAGCTCACTGCAACCTCTGCCTCCCGGGCTCAGGTGACCCTCTCACCTCAGCTCCCGAGTAGCTGGGACCACAGGCATGTACCAACATGTCTAGCTAATTTTTTTTTGTATTTTTTGTAAAGACAGGGTTTCACCATGTTGCCGAGGCTGGTTTCGAACTCCTGGGCTCAAGTGATCCACCTGCCTTGACCTCCCAATGTGCTGGGAGTTCAAAGTTACAGTGAGCTATGATTATGCCATTGCACTCCAGCCTGGGTAACAGAGCGAGACCCTGTCTTAAAAAAATAGTTAAGACTTCTAATAGGATGAGGTTTTCAATATGAGCCACCAAAGTCAAGCTTTGTTTTTTCCAAAGCCAACCAGAATTCCCAGGGCCATACAGAAAGGCTGTGCCAAGTTTCTCTAGGTAGGCCATCTTGGCTGAAAGCTAATTAGTAAGAATCTTTGTTGTGAAACAGTAACTCAGCAGCTGCAGGCATCTTCTCTAAAATGGTCTGACTTGGTACAATGTAACTGTCATTAAATTTGGCACTGTTAAACTCAATGCCGTGGTTCAGTGGCTGCTTCAGTTCTTCCAAGCAATGGAACATAAAAGGTAGTCTAAATTCCTGTAATAAGTAGGAACAAGTGAAATGCTTAAGGGGATCCTACTTAGAGTGTTTATGAAGGCTTGTAGAATTTTAGTGAGTAACACTTTTCATACCTCTTCAGGTTTTACTTCTCTTGTTGTGAAGTCTTTAACACAGTCCAAAAAGCAGGTCTCTGTAAGTTTATTGTAGGTCCCCAGAAATTCCTTAAACTACAAACAAACCAGAATGTTCTTTAGTATTTGGTTTTTAAAACAAAGATGCTTTGAAACTTAAATTACTGGTATTTTATATTTAGACAAAATATACTATAACACTTGAAATCATAGTTATTATGCTAACTTAAATGGGTACAGTATGATCTACAGAATAGTTTTATTTTCTAGTTGAATATTTAATTTTTCCTTGATTATCAGTCAGATTAAAAATACATATGCTTGGCCGGGTGCGGTAGCTCATGCCTGTAATCCCAGCACTTTGGGAGGCCGAGGTGGGCGGATTACCTGAGGTCAGGAGTTCGAGACCAGCCTGGCCAACATGGTGAAACCCTGTCTCTAATAAAAATACAAAAATTAGCCAGGCGTGGTGGCGCATGCCTGTAATCCCAGCTACTCAGGAGGCTGAGGCAGGAGAATTGCTTGGGCCCGGGAGATGGAGGTTGCAGTGAACCAAGATCGTGCCACTGCACTCCAGCCTGGCCGACAAAGAGAGACTGTGTCCAAAAAAAAAAAGAACAAGAAAAATACGTACACTTTATAACATTTAATATCCATTTTGGAAATGAAATAGAAACAATTGTTTTGTGAAACCACTGACATGGTTTTTTTTTTTGAGATGGAGTCTTGCTCTGTCACCCAGGCTGGAGTGCAATGCCACGATCTCGGCTCACTGCAGCCTCTGCTTCCTGGGTCAAGCAATTCCTGTGCCTCAGCCTCCCACGTAGCTGGGACTAGAGGTGTGCGCCAGCACGCCCAGCTAATTTTTGTATTTTTAGGAGACGGAGTTTCACCATGTTGGCCAGGCTGGTCTTGAACTCCTGACTTCATGTGATCCACCCACCTGGGCCTCCCAACGTGCTGGGATTACAGATGTGAGCCACTGCACCCAGCCTGACATGGTGGCATTAGTAGCACCTTACATTTTTTTGCAAAATCTTTTCCCCTTAATTAGAATACCTTACCTGTTTTATCTGATCAGATTCTGGTATTTGTGCAGCCATATTCTTCTGGTACCTTTATTAGTCACCTAATTTAAAAATTCAAAACAAGTTTGTCAATCTATAAACAAATGTTTTTAGTCTAACTGAAGAGTTAGGGAATCACTGCTCGTATTTTATAAATCTGTGTATGTAATTGTATGCCACCACCCCCAATTTCTCAGATCATTAATGACCATAGAACCTTACAGTTGAGAATTAGATTTTCTTTTTTTTTTTGAGACGGAGTCTCACTCTGTCACCAGGCTGGAGCGCAGTGGCGCCATCTTGGCTCACTGCAACCTCTGCCTCCGGGTTCAAGCAATTCTCCTGCCTCAGCCTCCTGAGTAGCTAGGACTACAGGCACACACCACCATGCCCAGCTAATTTTTGTATTTTTAGTAGAGATGGGGTTTCACCATGTTGGCAAGGATGGTCTCGATCTCTTAACCTCATGATCCGCCTGCCTCGGCTTCCCAAAGTGCTGGGATTACAGGCGTTAGCCGCCGTGCCCGGCCAGAGAATTAGATTTTCTAATGCTAGTTTGGGACTCAAAGGCCCTGTCTATCAAAATCTCCAGTTTTAAGATAGTTTGCTCTGCTACCTTGCTAAGCTGCTTGTTTAAAGCCCCATTCCTAGGAGGGTTATAAAGGAAACCAAGATGGTGAAGTTTGGGCTTAAAAAAATAATTAAAAAAAGCTGGGTGTGGTGGCTCATGCCTGTAATCCCAGCACTTTGGGAGGCCAAGACATGTGGATCACTTGAGGTCAGGAGTTCAAAACCAGCCTGGCCAACATAGTGAAACCCTATCTCTACAAAAAATACAAAAATTGGCCAGACGTGGTGTCATGTGCCTGTGGTCCCAGCTACTTGGGAAGCTGAGGCAGGAGAATCGCTTGAACTCAGGACGTTGAGGTTACAGTGAGCCAAGATCACACCACTGCACTCCAGCCTGGGTGACAAAGTGAGACTCCATCTCAAATAATAATAATAATAATGATAATAAAAAGAAAAATAAAGGAAATCAAGAGATTTTTGCTGTTTTCCTAAAATTACTTAACTATTCCACTAGTCACCAAATTGCTTATTTTAAATTTTTTACTATTATACTCAGTCGAATACATCAAAAATATCAAAGATTTTAACATTTCAACATACAATCACATAAAAAGTATTAATAAGACATTTTACGTTCCTTTTCTGGTAGTAAGTCTTTGATTTTGGTGAGCATTTTACACTTACACCACATCTCAATTTGAATGCTAAATTTTCATCAGAAATACTTGGCCTATATTTAGATTTAATAAAATCTATTGTTGAAAAAGTAGATTCATATATCTGAGCCACTCCAAATACACTTAAAATTAGTTGCTAATTTAACTCTGACCCTTACTACTAATGATCCTTTTACAATGTAAATACAAAGGTTCTATTAATAGTTAACAAACACCAGTTAACAAACACCATTTGCTTAGAAATTGACAACCCTCATGAAGGATATTCAGAGTTTTAAAAGAAAGTTACAGGAATTATACATTCTACTACACATTCTCTAGTTCAAAAAGGGCAATCACAGAGACTAATCAGAGACTTCTAATTATAATCTAACGTGGCGGCAACAGGGAAGGGAAGACAAGTAAATAAAAAAGCCTTTCTGAATTCCTGAGATTTTCACATATCCTAAATGTAGGACTTAGGTTCAGTTAATCTAGATATAAGAATGTGTATAACATTATTTATTTACTATATCCTGGCTAGTTCTAAAAAGGTTGAGCATTTCATATAAAAGATTTGTATTTGTATAGGCTGGGCGTGGTGGCTCACGCCTGTAATCCCAGCACTTTGGGAGGCTGAGGCGGGCAGATTACGAGGTCAGGAGATCGAGACCATCCTGGCTAACACAGTGAAACCCCGTCTTTACTAAAAATACAAAAAATTAGCTGGGCGTGGTGGTGGGCGCCTGGAGTCCTAGCTACTTGGGAGGCTGAGGCAGAAGAATGGCGTGAACCCGGGAGGTGGAGCTTGCAGTGAGCCGAGATTGCACCACTGCACTCCGGCCTGGGTGACAGAGTGAGATTCCGTCTCAGAAAAAAAAAAAAAAAAAAAAAAAAAAAAGGTTTGTATAAAATAAAGCTGTTTGAAACAGAAATTAAACAGCATGTAAAAGGAAAACATGAATCATGTACACTGTAGACTAACATAAATGCTATACATTTTATTTAGTTAAGAGTTTTCTGATAACCAAAACAAAAATGATAAACTGGATGTGCAAATTTTTATTAGCTTATCAATTATTAAAGTATCTCTGGAAAACATAAATTCTTTATGAAGCTTTGTTGAAACTAATTTTTATGAAGTTCGTTGAAACTAGTAGTAAATTCAAGTTTAGGACAAAGTGTATGCCACCATCACAAAAAAAAATTAACATTCTGCTTTTGATTAACACATACAATCAACAGTAATTCCATTCCACCAGTCTCAACCATACCTATACTTTCCTCCTTTTTTCTTATCCTATAAAATCACAATAACTAGGCTGGGCACGGTGGCTCACACTTGTAATCCCAGCACTTTGGGAGGCTGAGGCAGGTGGATCACCTGAGGTCAAGAGTTGGAGACAAGCCTGGACAGCATAGTGAAACCGCATCTCTACTGAAAATACAAAAATTAGCCGGGCATGGTGGCTTATGCCTGTAATCCCAGCTACTCAGGAGGCTGAGGCAGGAGAACTGCTTGACCCCTTGGGCGGAGGTTGCAGTGAGCCGAGATTGCAGCACTGTACTCCAGCCTGCACCGCATAGTGAGACGCCATCTCAAAAAAAAAAAAAAAGAAAAAAAAGAAAGAAAGAAATTCACAATAACTACTGACATTTAAAAAAATGTCATTTCCTTCGTATGCACAGAAAAGCCTCCCCACTCCCCAGCGAGTGTCAGTGGAAACCACACAGGGAGCCTGGCTTTCCACCCCAATTGGCAGTAATGAGGTACCCATCTCCATCTACTCTGGGGTGGTATCTAAGGAGGCCTACTTGACATTCAGGACTTGCATTACTGCCTCATGACAATTAGGCCATGTACCCTGCTGTAATGTCAGTGGAGGCCACATGGGGAGAGTAACAAAGCACTGTAGTCCTTCCCAGCCAGGGAGTTATCAGTGGAAGCCTGGTGAGGAGCCAGAATGCCTACTCCACCTAGCAGTAACAAGAAACTCCCTGCCCCTCCCTTCAAGTGTCAGAGTGAGGAAGATGAATTTCTACTTCCACCTGGCAGTAATGAAGTGGTACCTCCCACCACTTCCCCTCATGGAGCATTGTCAAAAGGAGCCAGATAAAATGATTAAATAACATCTAGAGCCTCATAACATGATATGCAAGATGTCCAGGCTACAATATATTAAAAAATCACTCATCACACCAAGAACTAGGAAGATCTCAAACTGAATTAAAAAAAGACAACAGATGCTCAACATTGATTAATATGTGTTAGGATTATCTGACAAAGATTTTTAAATAGCACCTTGTAAATACTTCAGTGAGCAATTATGAACACACTTGAAACAAATGAAAAAACAGAAGGTCTCAGCAAAGAAATAGAAGATATCAAGACCCAAATGGAAAGTTTAAGAAGTGAAAAATACAATAACCAAAATAAACTCAATGAATAAAATCAATAGGAGAATGGAGGGGACAGAGGAATCAGTGAATTGGAAGCCAGAAAATAGAATTCTTCAACCTGAATTACAGAGAAAAACAGAATGAAAAACATTAACAGAGTACAAAGGACTTGTAGAAGTATAAAAAAGTGAATATTTTGTCTCATTAGAGTCCAAGAAGGAGAGGAAGAAAAGGGTAGGGTAGTAAAAGTAGTGGAAGAAATAATGGCTGAAAACTCCCCAAGTTTGGCAAAAGACATAAACCTACAGATTCAAAAAGCTGAACAAACCCCAAACAGCATAAACCCGATGAAACCTACATCGACACATAATAGTCAAACATCTGAAAACTAAAGACAAGGCTGAGCGCAGTGCCTCACGTCTATAATCCTAGCACTTTGGGAGGCCAAAGCGGGTGGGTCGATTGAGGTCAGGAGTTCATGACCAGCCTGGTCAACATGGTGAAACCCCGTCCCTACTGAAAAAAAAAAAAAAAATACAAAAAGCAGCTGGCCGTGGTGGCACACACCTGTAATCCCAGCTACTCAGGTGGCTGAGGCACGAGAATTGCTTGAACCCAGGAGGCAGAGGTTGCAGTGAGCCAAGATCATGTCAGTGCATTCCAGCCTGGGTGACAGAGTGAGACTCTGTAGCAAATAAATAAATAAATAACAATAAATAAAATAAAAAATAAAGACAAAAAGCCATTGAAAGCAGCAAGTGAAAAACTATATCTTGCCTGTAGGGGTAAAACCATTAGGATGAAAGCAGATTTTTCTTTAGAAACTATGGAGGCCACAAGGAAGTGGCACAAAATGTTTCAAGTGCTAAAGGAAAACAACTGTCAATGCAGAAACCTGTATCTAGTGAAAACAACCTTGAGAAATAAAGGAGAAATCAAGACATTCTCAAATGTAGGAAAACTAAGAAAATGTGTTACCAGCATAGCTACCTAAAATAATCGCTCAAGTTTCTAAACGAAGAAAATGATAAAAGTAGTAGTCCTGGAACATCAAGGAGGAAAACACAGTAATAGGTACAATACACTTCTCTTGAGTTTCCTAAATTATGTTTGTCGGTTGAAGCAAAAATTATAAAACCATCTATTGTGGTTCTAAATGTATGTAGACAATTAAGGTTTCTATACTTCACTTGAACTGGTAATATGCTGACATCATTACATGGTGATAAACTAAATCAGTGCCATGAGAAAAAGTTTTAGTACTAAATGCATACATTAGAAAAGGAAAAAGGCCAGGTGTCGTGGCTCATGCCTGTAATCTCAGCACTTTGGGAGGCTGAGGTGGGAGAATTCCTTGGGCTCTGGAGTTCAAGACCAGCCTGGGTGATATGGTTTGGCTATGTCCCCACCCAAATCTCATCTTGAATTCCCAAGTGTTGTGGGAGGGACCTGGTGGGAGGTAATTGAATCATGGGGGCAAGTCTTTCCCATGCTGTTCTCATGATAGTGAATAAGTCTCCCAAGATCTGACGGTTTTATCAAGAGGAGATCCCCTACACAAGTTCTCTCTCTTTGCCTTCTGCCATCCATGTAAGATGTGACTTGCTCCTCCTTGCCTTCAGCCATGATTGTGAGGCCTCCCCAGCCATGTGGAACTGTAAGTCCATTAAACCTCTTTCTTTTGTAAATTGCCCAGTCTAGGGTATGTCTTTACCAGCAGTGTGAAAATGGACTAATACACTGGGCAACATAGTGATACCTTCTCTCTCCAAAAAAAGAAAAGAAAGAGAGAAAAGAAAAGAAAAGAGAAAAGAAAGAAAAGTAGCTGGGCATGGTGGCATGTCCTATACCCCCAGCTACTTGGAGGTTGAGGCAGGATTGCCTGAGCCAAGGAGTTTAAGGCTGCAGTGAGCTATGATCATGCCATTGCATTCCAGCTCAGATAAAACAGCAAGACCCTGTTAAAAAAAAAAAAAAAAAAAAGGAAGTGGAGGTAAGGAAGGAAGAAAGGGGAGGGAGAGAGGGAAAGGAGCGTGGGAGGGAGGGAAAGGAGCGTGGGAGGGAGGGAGGGACTTAGGGAAGGAGGGAAGGGAGGGAGGGAGGGAGGGAGGAAGAAAGGAAGGAAGGAAGGTAGGAAGGAAGGAAGGTCTTAAATCAGTAATCCAAGCTCCTCCTACCTCAAGCACCTAAAAAAGAAGAGCAAAATGAACCCAATGAAGGAAATAAAGAGCAGAGATCAATTTAAATGAAAAGAGAAAAAAGAAAGAGCTAGTTCTTTGAAAAGATTAATAAAACTGACAAACCTACTAGCAAGAGAGAAGACACAAATTATACATCAGGAATGAAACAGGGTGTACATTACTACAGGTTTTGCAGACACCAAAAGGATACAGGAATATTACAAACAACTCTACATACATAAACCTGACAACTTCTTTATGAAGTTAGTATTATCCTGATATTAAAACCAGGCAAAGACAGTACAAAAAAGAAAACCATAAAAATATCCCTCATGAAAGATATAAAAAAGTCTATTACTATTAATATTAGCAAATATAATTCAGCAATATATAAAAAGAATTATACAACTTGACCAAGAAGGGTTTATTCCAGGGATGCAAGACTGGTTTAATATTTGAAAATTAATCCGTTTAAGTCCACATATTAATAGACTGAAGAAGAAAAACCAAATGATCATAAACATTGATGCAGAAAAAGTATCTGAAAAAATGCAATACCCATTCATAGCAAAATATCTCAGAAAAAAAGGAAGATCAATTTGATAAACAGCATGTACAAAAAAACCTACAGCCTACACTATACTTAATGGCAAAAGATAATACTTTCCCATAAGATTGTGAGCAAGGACAGATGTCCACTCTCACCACTCTTATCTAACATACTGCTGAAAGTTCTACCCAGTGCAGTGAAGCAAGAAAAGGAAACAGACATAAAGATTGTAAAAGAAAAAACAAAACTGTTCCTGTTTGCATGTAATATAATTATGAACATGCAAAATCGAAAGAATCTACAAATAAACTCCTAGAATTAATTAAGTTCAGCAGTGTCCAGTATACACAATAAGTATATTTAAAAAATCAATTGTATTTCTATATACCATCAATGAACACATGTATACTGAAAGTAAAAATACAATATCATTTACAATTACTCAAAGAAAAAAAAAGATTTAGGGGCAAATCTAACAAAACATGTACGGACTTGTATGTGGAAAACTACCAAATGCTGACAAAAGAAGGCAAAGACCTAAACACACAGAGAGACATACTGTGTGTTCAGAGATCAGAAGACTCAATATAGTAAGAATGCCAATTTTCTTAAGGCTGATATACGGGCTTATTGCAATTTCTATCAAGGTCCTAACAAGATTTCTTATAAATATACACAAATTTATATGGAAATTTATATAAAATTTATATAAAAAGCAAAGGGACCAGAATAGCTAAAACAAATTTGAAAAATGAAGAATAAAGTGAGAGGAATTGGTCTACCTGATTTCAAGACATAAAGAGCCTACAATAATCAATGCTGTGTGCCACTGGTGGAGGGACAGACAAATAGTCAGTGGAACATAACAAAGAATCTAATAACAGATTAACACCAAAAAACCCAACTGGCCAGGTGAGGTGGCTCACACCTGTAATCCCAGCACTTTGGGAGGCCAAGAAGGGAGAATTGCTTGAGCCCAGGAGTTCAAGAACAACCTGGGCAACACAGCGAGACCTTGTCTGTACAAATAATTAAGAAAATTAGCTGGGCATGGTGTCACATGCCTGTAGTCCCAGTTACCTGGGAGTCTGAGGCAGGAGAATCATTTGAGCCTGGGAGGTAGAGGCTGCAGTAAGCCATGGTTGCGCCACTACGCTCCAGTCTGGAAAATAGAGTGAGACCCCGTCACACACACACACACACACACACACACACACACACACACACACACACACACACAAACACATACACACACACACACACAAAAATACACTCCTGCCCAACTGATTTTTGGGAAAAAAAGATGTGAGAACTAAGTTTCTCACCTAATACAAAAATTAACTCAAAATGGATTGGGGGGCCAGGCATGGTGGCTCATGCCTGGAATTCTAGCACTTTGGGAGGCCAAGGTTGGCAGATGGCTTGAGGCCAGGAATTTGAGACCAGCCTGGGTAACATGACAAACCCCGTCTTTACCAAAAATACACACACAAAAAAAATTTTAGCTGGGCATGGTGGCACATACCTGTAGTCCCAGCTACTCAAGAGGCTGAGGTAGGAAGGATGGATTGCGCCCAGGAGGCAGAGGCTGCAGTGAGCCAAGATTGTGCCACTGCACTCCAGCCTGGGTGACAGACCCTCTCTCTAAAAAAAGGATCAGGAATTTAATGTAAAATATAAAACTACTAAAACTTTTATTTATTTTTAATAAACACAGGGTCTCACCATGTTGCCCAGGCTGTCTCAACTCCTGGACTTAAGCAGCCCTCCCATCTCCACCTCCCACAGGGCTGGGATTACAGGCGTAAGCCACCATGATTGGCCAACTACTAAAACTTTTAGAAAAATATTAGAAAATCTGGCTTTAGGGCTAGGCAAAGAGTTCTTATATTTGACATCAAAAACACTATAAGAGGAAAAATTAATAAATTAGACTTCATGAAAATTAAAAATGAAATTAAAAAATTAAAAACTTTTGCTTTATGAAAGAACATTGAGAGGATGAAAAGCTACAGACCAGGAGGAAATATTTGCAAACTACATAACTGACAAAGAACTAATAAGCAGAAGATATAAAGAACTCTCAAACCCCAGCAGTAAAAACACAAACAATCCAATTAGAAAACAAGCAAGAGCCGTAAAAAGGTATTTCAGCAAAAAGGAAATACATATGGCTAATAAGTACCTGAAAAGATGTTCAACATCATTAGCCATTAGGGAAATGCAAATTAAAACCAAAACAAGCTGCTGGGTGCGGTGGCTCACGCCTGTAATCCCAGCACTTTCGGAGGCTGAGGCGGGCAGATCACCTGAGGTCAGGAGTTTGAGACTAGCCTGGCCAACGTGGTGAAACCCCATCTCTACTAAAAATACAAAAGTTAGCCGGGCATGGTGGTGCATGCCTGTGGTCCCAGCTACTCGGGTGGCTGAGGCAAGAGAATTGCTTGAACCCAGGAGGTGGAGGTTGCAGTGAGCCGGGATCACGCCACTGCACTCCAACCTGGGTGACGAGAGCAAAAATCCATCTCAAAAAAAAAAAAAAAAAAA
Source organism: Homo sapiens (assembly GCF_000001405.40). Taxonomy (NCBI): domain Eukaryota; kingdom Metazoa; phylum Chordata; class Mammalia; order Primates; family Hominidae; genus Homo; species Homo sapiens. Next base: position 58,420,813 of record NC_000014.9, read on the forward strand.
ACAAGCTATATACCTATCAGAATGGCTAACATAAAAACAAAACAAAACAAAAAAACAAAAACAGTGGCAATACCAAATGCTAGTGAGGACATGGAAAAACTGAATCACTTACATATTCCTGTTGGGAATGTAAAGAGTTTGGCAGTTTCTAAAGAAGTTATACATTCATCTCCCATATAACCCTGCAATTGCATTCCTGGGCATCTGTCCTAGAGAAATGAAAATTTGTGTTCACAGGAAATCCTATATGTGAATGTTTGTAGAAACTCTATTCTTAATAATCAAAAACTGAAAACCCAAATGTTCTTCAGTGGGTGAATGGTTAAACAAATTGGTACATCTATACCTGTAATACTATTCAGCAATAAAAAGGATGAGGTATTGATACTTGCAAAAGCCTGGAAAATTCTGCTGAGGAAAAAAGCCAATCCTAAAAAGTTAAATACTGTATAATTCCACTTATACAACATTCTTGAAATAACAGAATTGCAGAAATGAAGAACATATGGTTGCCAAGGGTTAAGGAATGGATGAGGGAAGGAGTAGGAAGAAAGTAGGTGTTGCTATAAGAAGGCAACACAAGACCTTTGTAATAGAAATATTCTGTATCTTGATTGTATCAATATTAGTATCCTGGATGTGAGTGACATTGTACTCCAGTTTTGTAAGATGTTACCATTGTGGAAAACTGGGTAAAGGACACAGGGGACCTTTGTGTTAATTGTTGGAAGTGTATTTCAATCCACACTAACCTCAAAATAAAAAGTTTAATAATAAAGAAAAAAAATGTTATTGTATAACTTTCTGGTACCTGCCAAAGAACAACATGCAGCGTGGTAGATACTGTTAGCAAGCATTCCAAGCTAGAGTTCTTCTGGATTCCCACTCAGAAAACAGTCTGAAAAGATCTAAGAACTGGTAAAACAACTTCTAAAGAAGTATTAAATGAAATCACTGTTTTGTGAGAACTTGAAAAAAAATACAAGGGTAATAAAATATGCATTAAGGAACTTTGTTTACCAATAGGCTCCTAGCTGAAAGTTCAAAAGGTCATCTACTAGACCTGAGCCTTTTGAATTGTCGAATAAGGACAGTACACTCACTGCACCTCAGGAGGACACCCAGCAAACTGGACTTTCTACAGTTCACATCAAAAAATAACACAGAGCTGATTTCCTTCTTATAATGCCAAAATCTGTTCTTTTTTTTTTTTTTTTTAATTCCATCCTTGTATTTCTTTGGGTTAAAATTCTTATTTATTGACTTATCAACCCGAGGTCAGAGAGACAGAAAGTATGAAATCTTTTTTTTTTTTTTTTGAGACGGAGTTTTCGCTCTTGTTGCCCAGGCTGGAGTGCAATGGCACAATCTCAGCTTACTGCAATCTCCGCCTCCCAGGTTCAAGCGATTCTCCTGCCTAAGCCTCCCAAGCAGTTGGGATTACAGGCATGCACCACCACGCCCAGCTAATTTTCTATTTTTAGTAGAGACGGGGGTTTCTCCACATTGGTGAGGCTGGTCTTAAACTCCCGACCTCAGGTGATCCTCCTGCCTCGGCCTCCCAAAGTGCTGGGATTACAGGCATGAGCCACTGTGCCCAGTCGAAAGTATGAAATCTTTAAATGTTCTCTAAGTTTCATACTGGTACCCTGTGCTGCCTCTACACACATCTTGTCCTTATTATATATCTCATGGTGATAAATGATGGTTGTTACTAAAAAATCTGAAAAGACATATATGAGGAATGCCCCAAGTGCTGTTGGTATGAATCTTCTTTATTCATTAATGTATTAATATACATTACTTAAACAGTGTATGTTTCCTCTTTTCAGTGAAATAAAGTCTGTCATACTATAAAAGTAATATATTTATTGAGAATTTGAAAAACAAAAGATAGTTCTACCATTCACAGACCACTATGTTAACACTATGATTTATTTTCTTTAGAATCACTCAATTGTGTATTTTATTTATTTATTTACTTATTTTTGAGATTTATTTATTTATTTATTTTTGAGACAGAGTCTCACTCTGAGACCCAGGCTGGAGTACAGTGGTGCAATTTCAGCTTACTACATCTTCCGCCTCCTGGGTTCAAGTGATTTTGTGCCTCAGCCTCCTGAGTAGCTGGGATTACAGGCATGCACTACCACACCTGGCTAATTTTTGTTTAGTATAGATGGGGTTTCACCATGTTGGCCAGGTTGGTCTTGAACTCCCGACCTCAGGTAATCCACCCACCTCAGCCTCCCAAAGTGCTGGGATTACAGGCGTGAGCCACTGCACCCAGACCAATTTGGTATTTTTTTTTTCCAGACCTAACAGTTGAACTCAAGAGCTAACAATCAGAAGTTTTCTTAAGTCTGCTTAAATCTCTAAAGCTATCCTCGGTAGTCACCAGTATCTATCAAGATTACGGTATAGGCCAGGCACAGTGGCTCACACCTGTAATCCCAGCACATTGGGAGGCCAAGGCGGGTGGATCATTTGAGGTCAGGAGTTTGAGACCAGCCTGGCCAACATGGTGAAACCCCGTCTCTACTAAAAATACAAAAATTAGCCGGGCATGGTGGCACATGCCTATAATCGCAGCTACTCGGGAGGCTGAGGCAGAACTGCTTGAACCTGGGAGGCAGAGGCTGCAGTGAGCTGAGATTGTGCCACTGCATTCCAGCCTGGGTGACAGAGCGAGACTTTGTCTCAAAAAAAAAAAAAAAAAAAAAAAAAGATTATGGTATACATAATTGTAGGCAACTGGTTCAGAGAAAATACTGGAGATGACTGAGTAAATCAATGATTTTCAGAGTTACTTGCTAATTTGAGGTCTTCTAAATTTTTCACTATTCACTTCGCAGTTATTTAATAGTAAGCTTAGACTAACAAATTCCACCAGCCACATAAACCACCTGATGGTGAGAACAGGTAGCAGTAATGTGGTTGTTCTTTTATTTGATCCTAGTTTCCATATATTACAGCAAATTTATGTTACTGTGGCAAAGACCCATCAGGGGTTACCTTCTGATTATATCCCTGAAACCTGGAGAGGGAGAGAAGAAATAAGCAAATTCAAGAATCACTGGCTTAGATCTTGGGAATGATTACAATGATGCTGTTATTCTTGTGGCAAACAAAATATATCCTAGAACCAGGGAACTTAAGAATAAAGGGAGATCTTATCAGTCATCAAGCTCTAACCTTTTCTGATGCATGAGTTTCCTTTCTGTTCTGGAAAAGTAGTTGTCCAACCTTTGCTTGAATGTCTCCAATAAGGCCTGATTCTTACCTGAAAAATGAGGTAATATGATTACTAAGTCCCCTTCAAGTTCTAATAGTCTTTTCAATGAAATGTAAACTTCTATTGGCTAATCATTTATTTTTTTAAAGTTTCTTCCTTTTTAGTAAGTGAAATTAGTTTCCTCTATTCTGAGGTTACAATTCTTTGGCATATGTGTTACTATTAAAAAAAATACTTAATGTCATGCTATCCTTATTTATCCAGGTATAAGTATACATTACACTTCCCTTATGATTTTCCTACTAATTCTGGGAGGGATGGTTCAGAAATCTTAAGAAACTTACATGAGGTCACTTATACAGATAGTAACTGGACAGCTGGAGCCTAACTAAGGTCTTTGGACTTCAAAATCCAGTATTTTCCCCATTGCACCTATAAAATGACCTATTTAAGACCTATAAAATGTCTTATAAGCTATTATGACACATATCATCTATCTAAAAATATTTTCCAAATAGCCAAATATATGTTATAAGCTAAGTGACTGACCAGGTGCAGTGGCTCAATCCCAGCATTTTGGGAGGCTGAGGTGGGTGGATAGCTTGAGCCCAAAAGTTCTACATCAGCCTGGGCAACATGGCAAAACCCCATCTCTACAAAAAATACAAAAATGAGCCGGCATGGTGGTGTGCACCTGTAGTCCCAGCTACTCAGGAGGCTGAGGCAGGAGGATCACTTGAGCCCAGGAGCTTGAGGCTGCAGTGAGCCATGATCACGCCACTGCTCTCTTGCCTGGGTGACAGAAAGAGACCCTGTCTCAAAGAAAAAACGTATAAGCTAAGTCATAAAACCTAGCATCACAAACATGGGTGCCAACATTAGGTATTTCTTGGTGGGATGCAGTAAGACAGCATCACCTATGTGGTATTCTGGCCAAAGTTTGATATGGCTCTAATCATGAGGGAATAATTAGGAAAATCTACAACATGGAACAATTTGTAAGACAACCTGGCTGGTCTTTTCAAAAGTGTCAGTCATAAAGAAAAGGGGTTGAGAGGGCTGATTTAGAGTGAGAAAATAAGGCCAGGCATGATGGTTCACGCCTGTAATCCCAGCACTTTGGGAGGCTGAGGTGGGCAGATCACGTGCGGTCAGGAGTTCCAGACCAGCCTGGCCAACATGGTGAAACCCCATCTTTACTAAAAACACAAAAATTATCTGGGCAGAGTGGCGGGTGCCTATAATCCCAGCTATTTGGGAGGCTGAGGCAGAAGAATCACTTGAACCCAGGAGGCAGAGGTTGCAGTGAGCTGAGAAAATAAGCCTGGGCAATAAGGCGAGACCTAGTTTCTACAAAAAAGTAAAAAATTAGCCAGCGTGGTGGCAAGTGCTTGTAGTCCTAGCTACTCAGGAGGCTGAGACAGGAGGATTGCCTGAGCTCAGGAGTTGAAGGCTTCAGGGAGCTATGATCATGACAGAGCAAGGCCCTGTCTCTGGAAAAAAAAAAAAAAAGAGGGAAAGGAACTAAAGAGTAATGACAAAGAGCTGTAAGATCCAAATTAAGTTGTCATTTTAATAATTCAGAGTGCCTACACTCAGATCTTAGGTCACTGTTTCTTTCACATAAGTTTCACCTAGAAGGTAAGAGTTAAACTATCTCCAAGGTCTCTGGCGACTCTGACATTGTAGTTCTTTCAGTACACTCATAATATACAATAAATTGTGAACAAACAAGTACCACCTATGAGCCCAATTACGAAGAGAAAATGTAACTAAAATAAAAAATAATGGCCACGTGCGGTGGCTCACGCTTGTAATACTAGCACTTTGGTAGGCCGAGGCGGGTGAATCAAGTCAGGAGTTCGAGACCAACCTGGCCAACATGGTGAAACCCCGTCTCTAATAAAAATACAAAAAAAATTAGCTGGGCGTGGTGGCGGGCGCCTGTAATCCAGCTACTCAGGAGGCCTGAGGCAGAAGAATCGCTTGAACCTGGGAGGCGGAGGTTGCAGTGAGCCAAGATCGCGCCACTGCACTCCAGCCTGTGCCACAGAGTGAGACTTTGTCTCAAAAAACAACACAAAACTCATTAGAGAAACTCAGCAAGTTACAAAAAAATAATAATTAAAAGGGTCTTTAACGCTGAGCCCTTAAAGTCTTTTTTTTTCTTTTTTTTTTAAGACAGTCTTGATCTGTCACTCAGGCTGGAGCACAATGGCGCGATCTCAGCTCACTGCAACCTCCACCTGCCGGGTTCAAGCAATTCTCTTGCCTCAGCCTCCTGAGTAGCTGGGACTACAGGCGCGCGCCACCATGCCCAGTTAATTTTTTGTATTTTCAGTAGAGGCGGGGTTTCACCTTGCTGGCCAGGCTGGTCTCGAACTCCTGATCTCGTGATCCGCCCGCCTTGGCCTCCCAAAGTGCTGGGATTACAGGCGTGAGCCACCGCGCTCAGACTTTAAAGTCCATTTTAAGTCTAGACTTCTATGAAGGTAGACTGCCGAGATGTAAAAGAAATAAAATTAGTTATTTAGCTTTTAGATCGGATTACATTTTCTGCTTTGATTATTCTAAAGCCTCCAGTAAGGCGTAAAGGGAAAGCTCTAAGTAGCGCATCCTGGGAAATGAGCAGATCAGGGAAGGGGTGTTAGACCTGGTATTATGTCTAAAGACGATTTTCATTTAAAGGAGGATCTTCCCCCGGGCAGCTCAAGGTCACATCGTAAATACCTTATAGTCTAATTCAGTGTCCCAAAACAGGACCCCGACTCCCCAGATCCGGGTTGGGGGTGGCTCAGGGCCTAAAGTTCCTACCCTCGCCCAGGTGACACCATCTCCAGGAAGGTCTGCACCCGACCCGGCGAAGCGCTGTCCCGCTTCGCACCCCCCACTGCTCCAGGTACGTGCGGCGGCCTCCTCGGGAGACCCCGCCACTTTCCTGGAGCGTAGCCTGCCACCCCCCGTCCGGGAACCCCGGATTCTCACGGCAGAGAACAGACACCATACTTAAGCACAGGCTCTCGCATCCGACATCAGTACAAGGCTGGGGGTTGTTGGGGGACGGTTGAGCCTTGGGAGGGAGGGTCAGGGTCTGGACAGGAGCCGCGGCCGCCAGATGGGAAAGAACACGTGGGAGCAGTAATGTCAAGTGACACTTAAACCCTTAGACGCCGATTCGTTATAACGCGAGGAAATCTAGAAGAAAAAGCAGGTACCATCAGCGAATTCTAAAATCTCCTAAGGATTAACTTCGGTTATTTTCTGCTTAGACAACGCTTTCTATTCCCGACTTCCTCTCCAATAATGACCCGAATCTGTCGAAACTTCTTGGAAGCCTAATTTACCTAATCCCACGTCCCTAACGGTCTTCGGAAGCGAAGCAGTGTCAACAGTCCCTGGTAAACACAAGTAGTATTACAAGTCGGGAGCTCTTCAAGTCTTGGATGAGACTGTAGAGCGGTCTTGTGCGGCAATGTGCTACCTTAAAATAAATAAATAAATAAACCCCTGTTATGTCCGGAGTTTGTTTCCACCCGGAGAGGAATGGAAGAGCACCAGAGAGCGCTTAGCTTTCTGGTTGGATGTTTTGGGTGAGTTTCTTGGCGCGCATGCGTGTTGTGTCTCAAGGGCGGGTTTGAAGGGAAGTGGGTGTTGACCTGCGGGCAACTGACGCTGTTGTCAGATTACACCCACGACGGTGCGGGTCTCGGGCGTTCTGGAGATACGTAGGGGTGAATTTATGTTTCCGACGATTGCATCTGGAGGGGTGTGTAAGACTCTGTGGCTGAAGAAAGCTATTACGCTTCTTATGTGGGTCATTATTTTAAAAATAGCATTTCGCTTTTATTTGCTTGACTGCCTCTTCTCAACAAATTTTAAGCCCGCCACTACATGTGTTTGGTTTTGCCCTACCAGCTCTGGGGTTGGGGAGTGCACTGTTATGGTTATTGTTGCTCCTGTGGCCATTCTCTTGTCATCCCCACTTTCACATTTTGGCGTGGTGTATTAATAGACTGAGTGGGATTAATGGGTAAATATGACTTTATAGTCAGCTCTAATCCTGGATTCAATATCAGAATTTAGATTTTCAGCTTTGTGGATGTTCGACATTTTAAAAACAGTTATTGCAAAGAGGTGAAAATTTTGTTCTGAAGTCTTAAGGAAACAGAGAAAGTTTTTCCGTCCTTAAGTGTGGGACTTGTTTTGTGACCAACAATATGAAAGGCTCTGAGGTCAGCTTGGAGAAGAAAAAAAAGATTAAGATGCCAGTGAAGAGACTTCGTGAGGTAGTTTCTCAAAATCATGGAGATCATTTGGTTTTGCTGAAAGATGAGTTGCCCTGTGTTCCTCCGGCATTGTCTGCAAATAAACGTCTTCCTGTTGGAACGGGGACTAGTTTGAATGGAACATCACGTGGTATGTGATTCCATGTAGTTTTTCAACCAGTTTTAGTTTAGTAAATCTTTAGTCCTTATTTGTTTAAATTCCCAAACGTAAGATATAAGTCTAGTTTGTACAGATGTTTGAAAACTGACCCTGTTTCCCGGGAAAATGGCCAGGAAGCCTATAAAATGTTTGAATAGATGGAATGAATGAAACTTTAACGTCCCCTGTTGTGCTTTTTTTTTTTTTTTTTGCATTGACTTTTGCATATTTTTTTTTTTATATTTATGGTGGATACACTTAACTTGTATAATGTGCTTTATTTTCCCCCACGTAGTGTTTTTTATAGTTTTCCCCCAAAGTAGTGCTTTTTACCTAATTCACTACTTTCTTTTCATAGTGGGAAAAGCAGGACTTCTGCCAATTGATGGCTTCTATATTCCAATTCACTTAATCTGTCTAGAGCTCAGTGAAAATAAGGATAACATATGCTTTACCCACTTCGCTGCTAATTGTGAGGATTAAATTAATGAATATGTGAGCAAAAACAGCAAAACGCTTTTGTAATGCTGTTCTTTGGGGGATACAGCGGTGACACTCAAATAGTACTGCTGTTAAATTAGACCTTTACATCGTATACATATTTCTACCCATAGTTTGTCCACATCCAATAGTGTATGGTTATATTTTAAAATGTTTCGTGCTTAATCTCACTTTATTGTCAGTACCGAACCTTATTTTCCCAAATATCAACTGTAAAAACTTTCATTCAGATATGTTTAAATACATTTTCTTAACTTTTTTTGCATGCAAATTGTCTTTCCAACTTCTGCGTTATATGGAGTTTATAGATCTTGAATCATGCATATACAGTTTCTAAAGCTAAGGATCTGATTTTAAAATCACTAAAATCTATTCCTTTGTTTTGTTAGGTTCATCAGACTTAACTTCTGCTAGAAATTGTTACCAGCCTCTATTAGAAAATCCCATGGTGTCAGAAAGTGTAAGCAAAAGGATTCTTAATTATGCTCACGTTAAAATTTTCAGTATTGTCAAATAATGCATTCTTAAATTATGTTTGATTAGCAGCATGCCTTGTTTTTATTTAAATATCACTTACCAAAACAAATGTTTTATATACTACAATTGTGACTTTGAATGGTGTTTGAGACATTAAACAAAAGGCCTTCCCTAGAATCAAAAATACCTATTAGTAAGATAATGGCCGCTGAAAGAGATAGGATAACTGAAAAGAAACTCTCTTACTATTCAGGGAAAAGGTGTTCTTGCCCAGAGACTTAACATGTTCTTAGGTAAAAGAAAAGGAACAACTAACAGTACAATTTTTCTTTAATGTGAGGTGTGCTTGCATGTCATTCTAACACTTGTGAGAATGGTTTTGGTTTTCTTAGAAGGGAGGTTCTTTAAGAATAACATGAAATTATCATCTTAACTTTATAATGCCGAAAGTATTTGATAAATACAATGTTTTGGTTATGAGATCTAATCAGACTTTGACGGCTAATCATAGTGTTGACCTATGTATTGTCAGTTTAATAAGTCTGTATAATGAGAGTTTCACAATATGCTATTTTGAAAATTGAAGCTGGCAAACTAATAATTCAATTGAGACTATATGACAATTTTGTCAAAAGCTCACAATAAAATGTATAATTATTTGCTGTACTTGATCCCTAAGTAAATGCCTAGACTTTGGAGTGTTTTTTTGTTGTTTTGTCTTTTTTTTTTTTAAGCAGGCCTTATTTAATGATATCTAAACTTCTCAAATGTATGGATACACTGTTATTGTATAATTGAGAATAAATGGGTGATCTTCGTGATGTTGTGCCATCCTTATCTACTCCATTTGACTCACAGTGAGTCAGATTTTCACATTTCACTGAAGCAACTGAGATGTTAAATGACTTGCTCTGCTACAAGTGGCAAACTGGTTTGAGTCTGAATCTCAGTGCTACATTTGCTTGCTGGTTCATTTACTCATTCATTCACTTGTCTGATAGTGTATTACTCACCCATTCAACAAATCTTTGAGTAGCTTTAAGGTACATCAGAATTGCATGATGATGGAAATGAAGAATATGAAATACACAGTCCTGCCCTCCCAGAACACAGTAGTCACATAGCTAGTAAACGGTTCTTGATAAATAATAAATCATGAAGTTTATTTAGCCTATTTCTTCCTTTCATATCCCAAAGGATTTTTCTAAAGACGTTGCAGTGCAAGTGTTGCCTTTGGATAAAATAGAAGAGAACAACAAGCAAAAAGGTAAAAGAATAATATTGATTTTTTTAAATTGTGACAACATATACATAACATAAAGTTTACTACTTTAAAATGTACAGTTCTGTGACAGTAAGTACATTCACATTGTTGTACAATCATCATCACCTTTCATATCCAGAGCTTTGTCATCTCTCCCAACTCTACCCATTAAACACTAACTGCTCATTTTTCATCCCCTCAGCCCTGGGCATCCTACTTTTTGTCTCTATGAATTTGACTACCCTAGGTACGTTATATAAGTAGAATCATATAGTATTTGACCTTTTGTGACTGGCTTATTTCACTTAGCATAATGTTTTAAAGGTTCATCCATGTTGTAGTATGTGTCAGAATTTTCTTCTTAAGGGTAGAATTTATTTTTAAACATTTATTACGTAGTCTTATAGTTTTTATTATTTTCATTTTAAATTAGTTTTTCTTCCCAAATTAAGCTATCACTAGAAGCTATAAAATCCAGAATAAGGTTTGCAATGGTGAAGGTTATCTTGTTATTACCAACCTATTGCAGAGGTTTAGTATTAGATATGTTTATAAATTTTTTTTTTGAGACGGAGTCTCCCTCTGTTGTCCAGGCTGGGGTGCAGTGGCGTAATCTCAGCTCACTGCAACCTCCAGCTCCCGGGTTCAAGCAATTGTCCTGCCTCAGCCTCCTGAGTAGCTGGGATTACAGGTGCACACCACCACACCCAGCTAATTTTTCTATTTTTTTTTTGTAGAGACAGGGTTTCACCATCTTGACCAGACTGGTCTCAAACTCCTGACCTCAAGTGATCTGCCTACCTCAGCCTCCTAAAGTGTTGGGATTACAGGCGTGAGCCACCGTGTCTGGCTCCATATGAATTTTAAAATAGTTTTTTCTAATTCTGTGAAAAATGATGTTGGTAATTGAATAGGAATTGCATTGAATCTGTAGATGGCTTTGGGCAGTATGGTCATTTTAACGATATTGATTTTTCTAATTCATGAGCATGGAATGTTTTCCACTTATTTGTGTCATCTGTGATTTTTTTCATCAGTGTTTTATAGTTCTCCTTGTAGAGATCTTTCACCTTCTTGATTAAATGTATTCCTAGGAATTTTATTTTTTGTGTGCCGCTGTTGTAAATGGCATTGAGTTCTTGATTTCATTCTCAGCTTGAATGTTATTAGTGTATAGAAACGCTACTGATTTTTGTACGTTGATTTTGTATCCTGAAACTTTACTTAAGTCATTTATCAGATCTAGGGGCATTTTGTAGGAATCTTTAGGGTTTTCTAGGTATAGGACCATGTCATCAGTGAACAGAGGTAATTGGACTTCCTTTTACTTTTTGGATGCCTTTTCTTTCTTTCTCTGTCTGATTGCTCTGGCTGGGACTTCCACTACTGTATTGAAAAGAGTGGTAAGAGTGGGCATCCTTGTCTTGTTCTAGTTCTTAGGGGGAATGTGTTCAACTTTTGCCCGTTCAGTATGATGTTGGCTGTGGGTTTGGGATTATGAGGATTATATTATTACTTAATCACTTAATTTGTTCCTTGTCCTTTTCGATCGTGGAATGCTATGGCTGAGTTCCTAAACATTCTTTTAGTTAAAAAAGATTTTTTTAGTAGCTTATTAAAGTTTAATAAATATTCAGGAATTTAATATATATTTTTGTGTCTTGATTTTGCAGCAAATGACATCTTCATTTCTCAGTATACAATGGGACAGAAAGATGCTCTAAGAACAGTTTTAAAGCAAAAGTAAGTTTCATTTACAGAAAATAATTGGACCATTTCTTATGTAAATCAGCTTCATTTGTACTTTGGACATATGAAAAACCTTTTCACTATGTGAAATATATATTGTGTGATATGTATAAAGCATTTCTCATGGTGCTAGACACGTATAAAATACTCAGTAGCAGTTAGCAGTTATTATTATGGAAGTGCTATAGTATTAACTCATTTAACACACTTATAAAATAGATTTACTATCCCAATTTTATAGAATCCCCATTTTCTTTTATTTATTTATTTATTTAGAGATGGAGTCTCGCGTCGCCCAGGCTGGAGTGCAGTGGCACAATCTCGGCTCACTGCAACCTCTGCCTCCCAGGTTCAAGCAATCTCCTGCCTCAGTCTCCCAAGTAGCTGGGATTACAGGCACCTGCCATCATGCCCAGCTAATTTTTGTATATTTGTAGAGATGGGGTTTCACTATGTTGGCCAGGCTGGTCTTGAACTCCTGGCCTCAGGTGATCTACCTGCTTCGGCCCTGCAAAGTGCTGGGGTTACAGGCGTGAGCCAGTGCGCCCTGTGGTTAATTTAATTTTGCGTTAGAATCTAAGGAAGAGCCACACTTTACATTTGAATGATATGTCTCTTAAGTTTGTTTTTGTTTTTGTTTTTTTTAAGACAGGGTCTCGCTCTGTTGCCTAGGCTGGACTGCAACCTCCACCTCCTGGGTTCAAACAATTCTCCTGCCTCAGCCTCCTGAGTAGCTGGGATTACAGGCACACACTACCACGCCTGGCTATTATTTGTATTTTTAGTAGAGATGAGGTTTCACCATGTTGGTTAGGCTGGTCTCAAACTCCTGACCTCAGGTGATCCGCCCACCTTGGTCTCCCACAGTGCTGGGATTACAGGTGTGAGCCACCATGATCAGCCTTCAGTTTGTTTTAATCTACAGATTTACCCTTATTTCGTTTTTCTTATAATTTGTTTGTCTTAAGAAATTTTCTACCTTCTGGATTTTGCTGAATGTATCCTTTTGTTGTCTTTAACATGTTTCTTTCAACCTTGAATTTCTGTCAAGTGGCAAGAATGCTTGATAGGTGATATTATATACTTCCTGTGTAATACATCGGGATACATAGATATCTGATTTTATCTCTTATTGTGAAATTAGGATTGATCTGTTAATACACCACCTTTTTGTATCAAATTACAGCATATGGAAATTTGAGGACAAAGAGTCTAAACAGTCAATTTTAGAAATTTAGCAGGAAAATAATTTCTTATAAAAGCTGAAGGAAGCTGGGCATGGTGGCTCATGCCTGTAGTCCTAGCACTTTGGGAGTCCAAGACAGGAGGATCACTTGAGCCCAAGAGTTTGAGACCAGTCTGGGCAATATAGCTAATTTTTTTAAATTAGCCAGATATGGTGGTGTGTGCCTGTAGTCCCAGGTACTTGGGAGGCTGAGGTGGAAGGATCACTTGGGCCTAGGAGTTTGAGGATGCCATGAGCCATGTTCATGCCACTGCACTCCAGCCTGGGTGACAGAATGAGACCCCGTCTCATCAGAAAAATAGGGAGACAGACAGACAGACAGATGCTGAATGATAGGAAAAAAGCAGGGAAAGCAGAAGAAATCAAGTATACCAGATAAAAGAAAACATAAACACAGTAGAATGTTTTCAACTAGTTCTAGAAGTACGTCAGTGTAATAAGCAAATCTTGGACAAGTCTAAGTCAGAAAACTGGTGAGAGAATGCATGTTAGAAGTAAAAAGAGGACATAATGATAGACTTAGAAGGTATTAAGAATACAGTGTATTAAGAATACTGTGTACATGAATGCTACAAATTAAGAAATCTAGATGAAAGAAATAACTCACCAAAAATAACCATATAACTAAGAAGATTTTAATAGGCCAGTTACTGGGAAATAAATTTAAAAAAAACCTTCAAAGAGCAATCTCCAAAAGCAGTCATGATTTTGTTTGAGTTCTTGAAAAATTTTAAGAAACAGATTATGATCATGCTATATATTCTGCTCCAGAGCAATGAAAAGCAAAGAATGCCCCTCATGTCATTTTATGATGCTAACCTAGCCCAAGTATCAACACCTAACAATTAGTTTCATCAGAGATATTTTCATCATGCTATTGTAATTTAAACAAACCTAGTTCTTTAAATAAGTTATGAGTAAATTATATTTTATCATATGTTAAAAGATTAATACACAGTGATTGGAATGCAGCAATGTTTTAAAAATGGTAATAGCAAATTCTGATGTAACACTTATGCACCAGCCACTGTCCTCTGCACTTCTTTATTTTTGTTTTACTTTCTGTTTTTTATTTTGTTGAGACAGGATCTCGCTCTGTCACCCAGGCTGGAGTTCATGGGTAGGTTCACGGCTCACTGCAGCCTTGACCTCCCAGGCTCAAGTAATCCTACAACCTGAGGTCCCCCTAACCGCCCCCCCGCCAGAGTAGCTGGGACTACAGGCATGTGCCACCACATCCAGCTAACTTTTTTACTTTTTGTAGATATAGGGTCTCACTATATTGCCCAGGCTGGTCTCAAACTCCTGGGCACAAGAAGTCCTCCCGTCTCAGCCTTTGAAAGTGCTTGAATTACAGGCATGAGCCAACATACCTGGCTGCACTTCTTACATACTACTTGATCTTTACAAAAGCCTAGCACGTCTAATAATGTTTCAAGCTTAAGGAATAGAAGGGTTTAAGTCACCCAGGCAGTCTCTCTCCAGAGACAGTGCTCTTAACCATTGCGCCACTACAATAATTCATGATCTATTAATACATTTATATCATTTGATCAAATAAGAAAATATATGTGGCAAGCACTACAGTCACATTTAATGACATTTTATGCCCATATCTTCTTAATTTTTTTATTTTTTAAATTGACAAATAATTGTACCTATTTGTAGGGTACGTAGTGTTGTACTTATAATGTGTAGTGATCAGATCATGGTAATTAGCATATCCATCATCTGAAACATTTATCATTTCTTTGTGTTAGGAACCTTCAATATCCTCCTTTTAACCGTGTAACACATTATTGTTAACTATACTCATCCTACTATAGTCATTCCTCCTATCTAGCTGTAACGTATTCCTGACTTATTCCTCCTATGTAGCTGTAATTTTGTATCCTTTAACAAATCTCTCCCTATGCCCCCCTTCCATACCCATTTTATACTCAGTCACCACATACACACATAATACCCACAAACTTCTTTAAGAATAGAATGATACATTCCTTTTTTGTTTTTTTAAGATGGAGTTTCACTCTTGTCACCCAGGCTGGAATGCAACGGTGTGATCTTGGCTCACTGCAACCTCCGCCTCCCCAGTTCAAGTGATTCTCCTCCCTCAGCCTCCTGAGTAACTGGGATTACAGGCATGTGCCACCATGCCCGGCTGATTTTTTGTATTTTTAGTAGAGACGGGGTTTTGCCATGTTAGCCAGGCTGGTCTCAAACTCCTGACCTTAGGCGATCTGCCCACCTTGGCCTTCTAAAGTGCTGGGATTACAGGCTTGACCCATCGTGCCCAGCCAGAATGATACATTCTTAACATGAAGGACAATGTTTATTGGAAACCTGCAGTCAATACCCTGTTTAACAGTAAAATTGGGAACAAGACAAGATGTCCATTATTTTTTAAACTTAATTTGGAAGCCTTAGTTGTAGCAGTTAGATAAGAAAATGAAATCAGTTATGGATATTGAAAAAGAGGAGGCAAAGTTATAATTTGTAGAAAATATTGTGTATTCAGAATATCCAAGAGACCACTAACTCAGAAATTTTTACACTAATGGAAGTTCAGGAAGGTGACCAGATACTCAGCATATTATTCAATAATAAAATGAAATAACAATTACCATAGCAATGTCCCCACCGAAAAAAAAAAAGTTGGGAATACTCATAACCAGAAGTCTATAGAATCTGTCTGAAGAAGTATGAAATTTTGTCAAGGGAAATAACCAAAGGCTAAGATAAATTAAGAGACTCAACATGTTCTTGGATGGGAAGACTAAGCGCTGTAAAAATACAAGTTATTACAAAATTAGCATATGTTTGGCTGTGGTCAGTCTTAAAATTTTTTGTTATTTTGAGAATAAGTGGTAGATGTAAATTGGAAATGTAATTCTAACACTTACCTAGAAGAACATACTGTTGAGAAAAAAAAAGTATGTGCCTGTGTGTATACTGTATGTATATATTTATACTGTATATGTGTGTATATACATACACACAGAATTAAGGATACATCCATATAGAATACATTCAGTTTGGAATAGCTAAGATAAATTTGGAAAAGCAAAAACAAAAATGGGATGATGGAGAACTTGCCTTAATTGATATTATAATGTACTCTAAAGCCTTAGAGGAATGAAGAATCTGGCTAGAGTGTCTAGAACAACGGGAGAACTCCCTTGTGTGTGACTGGAGAGATAAGCAAGGGACTAGGTTATGAACTCCCCTAAAGGAATTTGGTCTTTAATATAAGATAAATGGCAAATCATTGAAAAGTTTTAAAGAATTAGATATATTTCTTAAAATACTCACTCTGGTAGCCATATGAAGAAATGGATTGGAAGAGGGCTAGACTATAGTCCAGCAAATGAATTGGCTCTGGAGTTTTCAGGGAGGAGTGAGTTAGATTGGTCCTGAATACACTGGGCAGTGGTGGTATGGTAATGGGAATCATGCTCAGTTGGAGAGGAAGAGACAAATTTGGAAGATGATTAGGAGATTGAATTGACAGGAATCATTAATTAGATATGAGGGTAAGGAAGGCACTAAGGTTGAATCCCAGATTTTTGGCTTTCACAAATACATGGTGAGTAGTATTACTCATTGAGAAAGGAAATCCTTGTGGGGGATAACTTATTCTGGGCATGGGCAAGGGTTTGAGGTTCCTGTGAGAAATGTGGGTAAGAAGTGTTCAGGAGAAAATGGAATATAAAGGTCAAGTTGCCAGACAGTGGCTCATGCCTATAATCTCAGCACTTTGGGAGGTCAAGCTGGGAGGATGGCTTGAACCTAGGAGTTTGAGATCAGCCTGGGCAACATAGCAAGACCCCATCTCTAAAAACAATAAATTAGCCAGGTGGGGTGGCATGTGCTTGTACTCCTCATTACTTGAGAGGCTGAGGCAGGAGGATCACTTGAGCCCAAGAGGTTGAGGCTGCAGTGAGCCATGGTTATGCTAATACACTCCAGCCTGGGTGACAGTGAGATCCTGTCTCAAAAAAAAAAAAAAAAAAAAAAAAAGGCCAAGTTCACAAAAGGGATCCAAGCTGGAAATTAAGATGCAGAAGTCATCATTATGTAAGTGGTAGTCTAAGTCTAAGCTCTGGGAATAGTTGAAGTGATTCAATGAGGTTATGATAGTGAAAGAGAGATGGCTAGGGCTGGATGCATTCTGAGAAAACCAAACATTTAAGGAGTATGTGGAGAAAGCAAGCTAGCTTCTAAATGCTGCTCAGAAAGTTTGGCCAGAGATGTAGGGGGTATGGTGTTAACAAAGCCAAGGGGAATTAGGTTCCAAGTGTGATATGCTGCTCCGAGGTAATGGAAGCTAAGTACTGAAAAATACACTGAATTGAGCAAGCAGGATTCTTAGTGGCTTTGGTGAGAATAGTTGCAGCATAGCATTGGGATGTTCAGTGGGTTTAAGAATAAAGAAAAACTGGCTAAAAAAGAAGACTAGAATGAAATAATTGCTTCTTAATGGGAGGGTTATGTGCATTTTTTTGACATTTATATGTCGTAGCTCTTTACATTTGCCACATTGAGCATTTATTAATGTAATAATTGGAAAAAATAAAATTTAAAAGCCTATAAAGAAATTTATGTCTAGCCTTATAATGTTTCTCTTATTGGGCAAAGGTAAGTCACTTTCAGACTTCAGGCAGAAACCTTAAAAATAAGGAATTCCTGAATTATATTTTCATACTCTACCCCTCAATTGGTTAAATATATATATTGAGCACTTACTACATACCTAACCCTTTGTTACTTGCTGTTTGGTATGAAAGAAGTCCTGCTACCATTCCCAACCCCAGGTTGCTTACAGCTTAATTGGGGAGATAATATGTATATATATGGAAGAATTAGTGATTAATTACATTCAATATATTATTAAATTGTCCCATACAGATATTTAAACCCTGGGATGGCTAAGTAGCAAGCCTCCGTTGATAGGTAGTAAATGCAAAAGGAGTTAATGAAGGGAGAGATCAAGAGGAAGTGCTAGAAGAACAGGCTTCTTGAAGAAGGTAGTACTTGCATTGCACCTTAAAGGAGGAGAAGGATGTAATAAGTTGGGTGGAAGAAGGGTGAGAGAGCAGAGTGAGGCAAAGTGTGGAGTCACTTGTGGGCATGGCATGGTATATGTAGTTAGTGAGGAGTGCCTCGTGTATGGAAAGCCAAACAGAGGAAATTAGCCAATTCAGTTGTTTATAAGGAATAATTTTAGATTTTTGAATGGTGACGTGTAGGAAGTTTCTAAGCAAGTAGAAACTGGAAGAATGGAATAGTTAGTAATAGGTGATGAAACCTTACGGTTGAGAGAGAGAAGTGAGAAGGGAAATGTGCCAAACTGAGAGAAAAAGCCCTGGTGTCATGGTAAGACCTCTGGGAATTGGGCCCTAACTCTACCACTTAATAAATAGTTCTATGACAGTGATCAAGTAAATCCTGTTACCTCTGTGGACTGCCATTGCTTTTTTTCTTTCTTTTTTTTTGAGACGGAGTCTCGCTCTATTGCCCACGCTGGAGTGCAGTGGCGTGATCTCGGTTCACTGCAAGCTCCAACTCCTGGGTTCACGCCATTCTCCTTCCTCAGCCTCCGTAGTAGCTGTGACTACAGGCGCCTGCCACCACGCCCGGCTACTTTTTTGTATTTTTTAGTAGAGATGGGGTTTCACCGTGTTAGCCAGGATGGTCTCGATCTCCTGACCTCGTGATCCGCCCGCCTCAGCCTCCCAAAGTGCTGGGATTACAGGCGTGAGCCACCGCGCCTGGCCAGACTGCCATTTCTTCATCTGTAAAATTAGGAAATTAGGATATCCTGTGACCTCTGTGGACTGCAATTTCTTCATCTATAAAATTAGGAAATTAGGATGGATGTCCTATAAGTTTCTCTCAGCTCTATAATTCTATGACACTCTTCATGCAATTGTGATGAAATAATTGACAACTCTTTATGATTCAATTGGGTATGAGACGGTAAGCAAGTAGAGAAGTCAAGATGACTTCAACATTTTGAGACTGAGAGAAAAATGTTATTCTTAGTAGAAATGGGGAAATATCAAAGAGGAGTAAGTTTAAGAGTTCTGTGATGCCCTTAAAAGTCGACGGGGAAGTCCAGCAGCTGGAGATGGAATGTATTCCTGCCAATTTTACTTAGACTCTCTTAGGGACTCTTCAGTTTTGTCAGTGGTTCCTTTCATTGTTTTCTTTGAGGCCAAATACCGAGCAAATTGGCTAGCCTTCTTTTTTCTTTCAGTATTTAATTAAATGCCTTATTGCAAGTATGTATCTATTTGCTGGACTTGTTTTCATTTCAGGGTCTTTTTTTAATTTTTAATTTTTTTTTTTTTTTTCTAGAGACAGGGTTTGCCATGTTGCCCAGCTGGTCTTGAACTCCTGGGCTCAAGCAGTCTTCCTGCCTCAGCCTCCCACAGTGCTAGGATTACAGGCATGTAGCACTACACCCACCTAATTCAGGCTTCTTAATAATGTATTTTGTGAACATTTTAATAAACTGAGTGACCTTCCTTTCTTTCTGTCTTGCTTTGCTCTGCTCTGCTTTTCTCTTTTCTTCTTTCTCTCTCTCTCTCTCTTCCTCCCTCCCTCCCTCTTTCCTGTCCTGTCCTGTCCTTTCTTTAGACTGAGTTTCGCTCTTGTCGCCCAGGCTGGAATGCAATGGTGTGATCTCTGCTCACTGCAACCTCCGTCTCCTGGGTTCAAGCGATTCTCCTGCCTCAGCCTCCTGAGTAGCTGGTATTACAGGCTCCCGCCATCACGCCTGGCTAATTTTTTGTATTTTTAGTAGAGACAGGGTTCACCATGTTGGTCAGGCTGGTCTCAAACTCCTGACCTCAGGTGATCCACCCGCCTTAGCCTCCCAAAGAGCTGGGATTACAGGCGTGAGCCACTGTGCCTGGCCTACCTGAGTGATATTTGTTAAGTAAATCTAAATGACCTAGAATTCAGAAAATTCTTTTCAGTGGTGTTATCAATCCCTCTTGGGGACATTATGCTAAGTGAAATAAGCCAGGCACAGAAAGATGAATATCATGTATTCTCATTTACATGTGGAATCTGAAAAAGTCAGACTTATAGAAGCAGAAAGTAGAATGGTGGTTGCCAGGGGCTGGGGGTGGGGAGAAAGTGGGGGATAGAGGTCAAAAGGTATAATTTCTCTTAGACAGGGTTAATACATTCTAGAGATCTATTGTACAGCATGTAACTATGGTTAATAATAATGAATTGTATACTTGAAAATTGCTAAGACAGTAGATCTTAAATGTTCTCATCACATAAAAAGATAATTATGTGAAGTGATGGGTATGCTAATAGCTTGACTATAATCGTTTTACAATGTATACATATATCAAAATATCACACTGTAAATATATACAATTTTTTTTCAATTATACCTCAGTAAAGTGGGATAAAAAATAGTCACAAAGTGTACATCAATAGTGCTGTAATTCTTACAATTCTTTTTTTTTTTTTTTTTTTTTCTGGGACAGTGTCTCACTTTGTCTCACAGGCTGGAGTGATCACAGTGGGGTGATCACAACTCACTGCAGTCTCTACCTCCTCAGGCTCATGAGATCCTCCCACCTCAGCCTCCCGAGTAGCTGGGACTACAGGTGTGTGCCACCACACCTGGCTAATTTTTGTATTTTTTGTAGAGTCAGGATTTTGCCATGTTGCCCAGGCTGGTCTCGAACTCCTGGCCTTAAGCTGTCTGCCCACCTTGGCCTCCCAAAGTGCTGGGATAACATGTGCTAGCCACTGCACCTGGCCGATAATGTTATAATTCTTATATAAATATTTGGAGGATGAAATTATCAATAATGGAAAAACCACAGCAGCTTGTCTGAAGGTAATAAGTTATCTCAATTGATTGTTCACAGTCAGTTACAGACCAAACTTTTTGTTTTATTTTATTTTTCTGGAGACAGAGTCTCGCTGTGTCACCCAGGCTAGAGTGCAGTGGTGCCATCTAGGCTCACTGCAACCTCCGCTGCCCAGATTCAAGTGATTCTCCTGCCTCAGCCTCGTGAGTAGCTGGGATTACAGGCATACACCACCATGCCCAGCGAATTTTTTGTATTTTAGTAGAGATGGGGTTTCACCATGTTGCCTAGGCTAGTCTCAAACTCCTGAGCTCCAGCGATCCACCTGCCTTGGCCTCCCAAAGTGCTAGCGTTATAGGCCTGAGCCACCACACCCGGCACAGACCAGACTTACTCCACTTTTTCTCCCCTTCTCACTACTGTACTTGACTAGTCTTTAAAAAAATAATAAAAGAAAAAAGAAAACAATAGTGTTTCTTGGGTTGTCTGCCTTTAGGAGTAAAGCTTGGTACTTTAATTCTTGGAGCTTTTTCTGAGTAGTTTTTTTTGTTTGTTTGTTTTGTTTGTTTGTTTTGAGACAGAGTCTCACTGTGTCACCCAGGCTGGAGTGCAGTGGCGCAATCCTGGCTCACTGCAACCTTCGCCTCCTGGGTTCTAGTAATTCTCCTGCCTCAGCCTCCTGAGTGGCTAGGACTACAGGCGCATGCCACCACGCCCGGCTAATTTTTGTATTTTTAGTAGAGACGGGGTTTCGCCACGTTAGCCAGGCTGGCCTCTAACTCCTGACCTGGTGATCCACCTGCCTTGGCCTCCCAAATTGGGATTACAGGCATAATCCCACCGTGCCACCTTGTGAGTGTTTTAAATTTGTACTTCTTGAAAATGTCTTTATAATTGTGCTATGCCTTTTTCATATGTTTAATTCTTATTTTCCAAAATAATATTGCTACCTTCAAGGAATTATCTTCTTATTTCTTTAGCCCTTAGTGACCTGGACCTTGATAAATTTTGTTAACCAAATGACCTTGTTTGATAGGTGATTTAATTAAAAAAAATCAAAACCACCTTCGGCAGATTACCATTTGTTAAGTATTTCTTGAAATGTTTCAATGTAGTTTACTGAATACATTTTTATTGCTTTTTTATTTATAGAGCTCAAAGCATGCCTGTTTTTAAGGAAGTAAAGGTACATCTGTTAGAAGATGCAGGCATAGAGAAGGATGCTGTTACTCAGGAGACTAGAATTTCACCCAGTGGAATTGATTCAGCTACAACCGTGGCTGCAGCAACTGCTGCTGCCATTGCAACCGCAGCTCCGTTGATAAAGGTATATTTTTCTTCCCAGATAATCATAACTACTTTGTGAAATATAGAAGTACTTACTAAGAACTGATTCTATAAATGGTTGTGTCCAGTTATAGACTAGGAACATTGTAGTTGCTCTCAATTTGAAAGAATTTTCCCATTTGTGGTTGTGTGTTACTTCTCAGGAAATGTGAAAATTACCCTCTAATACTGTGATGGCACTGGTGAATTTAGAACTTTCCCAGTTTTAGCACTGAGAGTCCTACATCCTGGGAAACACCTTGGTCCTGGCAACCTGGATAATCGGTTATTCTTATTTGAGAGCTAGAGGAACCTTAGAGATAATCTATGCCTTAGCTGTCGCTTTGTAAATAGGGAAGCAGAGAAACAGGTCAGAGTAGGCCTATGAGTCTAGAACGAGTAAGTGACAGAGCCAAAACTAGAACTCAAGGCTGCTGACCTAACTCAGCCTTATGTTAGTAAAATATCAAAAGCTACTTTGCTTTGCTGTTTTCTTCTTTTTAATTTCCATTTAAGTGTCTTGTTTTAGGCATCATAAAATTATTTGTGGCAGATTTGTTTGAGACGGAGTCTCACTCTGTTGCCCAGGCTGAAGTGCAGTGGTGCGATCTCAGCTCACTGCAACCTCCGCCTCCTGGGTTCACGTGATTCCTCTGCCTCAGCCTCCCGAGTAGCTGGGACTACAGGCCGCACGCCACCATGCCTGGCTAATTTTTTGTATTTTAGTAGAGATGGGGGTTTCACCGTGTTGGTCAGGATGGTCTCGATCTCCTGACCTCGTGATCTGCCTGCCTTGGCCTCCCAAAGTGCTGGGATTAGAGGTGTGAGCCACCGCGCCTGGCCAATTTTTTTTTCTTTTGTTTGAGAGGAAACATTTACCTAAGGATAGCTATCTTCTGCCTTTCATTTCTGTGACTCTAAAAATAAAGGCATTAAATCATTAGACATTTAGTGGGTAAAGGCTCAAATTAGATCACTTATCAATGCCAATTGATTTAAATAACATTTCTAGTAATTAGACATATTTTTGGTATCCTATAATGTGAATTTTTAAAAATGTTTTTATTGTTTTAGGTGCAGAGTGATTTGGAAGCAAAAGTCAATTCTGTTACAGAATTACTTAGTAAATTACAGGAGACTGATAAACACCTGCAACGTGTTACAGAGCAGCAAACAAGCATTCAGAGGAAACAAGAGAAATTACATTGTCATGATCACGAAAAGCAAATGAATGTGTTTATGGAGCAGCACATAAGGCATCTTGAAAAGTTACAACAACAACAAATAGATATTCAGGTATCTGTAATAAATCCAGTACAGATTCCATAATCTTTTATCACTTGGATCTCTCAGCCAGTATTCATTGATAATTACAGTAGCTCATTAGATTGTAACAGTTTTAGTTCTGAAATCATGATTTGCTTATCTTTCTTCTCCTGTAATGCGGGTAACTCTGAATGTTATATCTCAAATGTCACTAGTTGTGTGAGACCTCTCCCTCTAGTTGGCTTTTCCTCCTTTTACACTATTTTTGTTCATATCATTTTTATTATTTATTTTTTGAGATGGAGTTTGCTATGGTTGCCCAGGCTGAAGTACAGTAGTAGAATCTCCAGTCACTACAACCTCCACCTCCTGGGTTCAGGAGATTTTCCTGCCTCAGCCTCCCATATAGTTGGGATTACAGGCGCACACCACCACGCCCAGCTAATTTTTGTATTTTTAGTAGAGGTGGGGTTTCACCATGTTGGTCAGGCTGGTCTCTAACTCCTGACCTCAAGTGATCTGCCTTCCTCGGCCTCCCAAAGTGCTAGAGTTACCTGCGTGAGCTGCCATGCCCAGCCATATTTTTAAGTGCTTATATCATATTGCAACTATTGGTTTACGTCAGCAGTTTTCAGTCTGGGAATGTGCACTAGAATTACTTGAACAGCTTTATAAAAATATTTGTGCTTGGCAGGCCAAGCTAAGAGGATTGCTTGAGGCCGAGAGTTCAAGATAAGCCTGGTTGATGTAGCAAGACCTCATCTCTTAGGAAAAAAAAAAAAAAAAAAAAAAAAAAATTTAGCCTGGCATGGTGGCATGTGCCTGTAGTCCCAGATACTTGAGAGGCTGAGACTGCCGGAGACCTTGAGTCCAGGAGTTTGCAGTTACAGTGAACTATGATAATACAACTGCACTTCATCCTAGATGACAGAGTGAGACCCTATCTCAAAAAAAAAGAACTATATACACACACACATACATACACACACACACACACACACACATATACACATACACAAACACACATGCTTAGGCCTTTCAGTGATTTTGAGCCAGCGATTCTGAGGTAGTGCCTGGCAATCATTGAAAGCTTCATAATGATTCTGATGCACACCGTTGGATAAGAACTACCTGGTGTACATGTTTGCTTTTGCATTTAATTAATTAAAATAATGAACATTTTTAATGCCTTTTGAGAGTAAGGCACTGGGCTATTATAAAAAGCATTATCCTCACAAGGAGCTGTAGCATACTTTCTTATTTATTTTGGAATTTCTTTTTCTTTCTTTTTCTTTTTTTTTTTTTTGAGACGGAGTCTAACTCTGTTGCCCAGGCTGGAGTGCAGTGGTGTGTTTTCGGCTCACTGCAACCTCCACCTCCCAGATTCAAGTGATTTTCATGCTTCAGCTACCCGAGTAGCTGGGATTGCCAGCCTGCGCCACCATGCCCAGCTAATTTTTGTATTTTCAGTAGAGACAGGGTTCTACCATGTTGGCCAGACCAGTCTCGAACTCTTGGCCTCAAGTGATCCACCCATCATGGCCTCCCAAAGTGCTGGAATTACAGACGTGAGCCACTGTGCTCGGCCTATTTTGGAATTTCTAACTCCTAGAACACGACTTAGCACTCAGTAAACTCTTTTTTTTTTTTTTTTTTGAGTGAGTGAGGGAATGATCAGCATTGTAAATGTGTTGGTTTTAATTTCCTTTTTTTTCTAATATGAAATTTATTTATTTTTTTGAGACAGAGTTTTGCTCTTATCGCCCAAACTGGAGTGCAGTGGCGCAATCTCAGTTCACTGCAGCCTCCGCCTCCCATGTTCAAGCGATTCTCCTGCCACAGCCTCCCAAGTAGCTGGGATTACAGACGCCCACCACCATGCCCAGCTAACTTTTTATATTTTTAGTAGAGATGGGGTTTCACCATGTTGGCCAGGTTGGTCTCAAACTCCTGACCTCAGGTGATCCGCCTGCCTTGGCCTCCCAAAGTGTTGGGATTACAGAAGTGAGTAACCGCGCCTGGCCTACTGTGCATTTAAAAACTTAAAAAAATTAAAATATAACATTCAGGCTGGGCACAGTGGCTCATCCCTATAATCCCAGCACTTTGGGAGGCCGAGGTGGGTGGATCACTTGAGGTCAGGAGTTCAAGACCAGCCTGGCCAACATGGTGAAACCTCATCTCTACCAAAGATACAAAAAATTAGCTGGGCATGGTGGCACATGCCTGTAGTCCCAGCTACTCAGGAGGCTGAGGCAGGGGAATCACTTGAATCCGGAAGGCAGAGGTTGCAGTGAGTTGAGATTGGGCCACTGTACTCCAGCCTGGGTGACAGAGCAAGACTCTATCTTAACAACAACAACAAATGTATATATATGTGTGTGTGTATATATATACACACACATATATGTATATATCTATAACTTAATGACTTTCTAAATTATATATTTTTTAAGACAAAAATTCAGAAGAATGTACTAAAATAAGTTTATTATACTTAATATATCATCATAAAGTAGACATTAATTTGCTATAATTTTCAAGACTTAACAGGGTTTATCTTGAGCTTTTCATGTGGTTGAAGATAATATTTTATTGGAATGATTATATGCATACCAAGTAAAGTTTAGTAAGTACTCCCTGCATGACTAAAATTGAGCACGCAGCAAATTATCTAGTGAGAGACCAGGAATGAGTCTATAAACTATTAGTTTATAGATAACTTTACTTCTTTAAGCCTCAATTTCTTTACCTAGAAAATATTTTCTGTTGTTCAGGATAAAATGAGATGACACATTTGAAAAGCACATTGATTCCTTAAGGAGTGGCTCCTACTTAGTCCTAAGTACTTACCTGCCATCATCCATCCTTCCATAACTAAATCTGTAACTTAATGACTTTCTAATTTTGGAAGAATGAAATCTGCTAATTTAGATGTCTTACTTATAAAGCTTATAATTACAGAGAGAGTTGAAGTTTTGTTTACATACTGGATATATTAGTTGTTCAGTAAATGCTTAATGAAATGAAATTAGTTGAGTCTGTTTCATCTGTTTTATGTAGAGGGATCTCAACACACTTTTAGAAATTCTGTAAAACTATAAATTTTTTTAGGTTTTTCTTGGCCTGGCATAAAACTCTATTTTGATTATTACTCATTGCATGCCTGTATCAAAGTATTTCATGTGCTCCATAAATATATACACCTACTGTGTACTCACAAAAATTAAAACAAAACAATAAAACCCTCTTTTTTGAAACCAGTTTTATTAGTTAAGATACTTGCTCATTTCAGATATTTTATTTTATTTTATTTTATTTTATTTTATTTTGTTTTATTTTATTTTGTTTTTGAGATAGAGTCCTGCTCTGTCACCCAGGCTGGAGTGTAGTGGCACCATTTCGGCTCACTGCCACCTCCGTGTCCCGGGTTCAAGTGATTCTCCTGCCTCAGCCTCCTGAGTAGCTGGGATTACAGGCTCCCACCACCACACCCAGCTAATTTTTGTATTTTTAGGAGAGACGGGGTTTCACCATGTTGGCCAGACTGGCCTCGAACTCCTGACCTCAGGTGATCCATTTGCCTTGGCCTCCCAAAGTGCTGGGATTACAGGCTTGAGCCACTGCACCGGGCCCCATTTCAGGTATTTTAATAAATAGTGCTGAAAACTATGTTGTCACTCTAGTTTCCATTTATATACAAATGCATATATTATTGCTGCTGCTAAGCATGGATGTTTATTTGAGTACTCACTATCAATGATTTTCAAACCTTGACCTCAAACAAAATCCTACCATTTAGGATATAAAAGATGGGATGTTTTGGTTTAAAATTCTCTGATTCAAGTAGAGGTTTAGGGTGAGGGCCTCTCCTTCCTGGTCTTCTCTTAGCCGGCTGCAATGGCCCCTGAGCCATGTCTGTGGTAGAAAGGACAGCACTGAGGTTTAGAATGGTTAAGGAAAATGATTAAGGTCACACAGCAGAGTCAGGCTTAGTCAGATCTTTGTGCTTCTACATCTTTCCAATGGCATCACTGCTGCTACTACAGTGGATACTTGCAATGTAATACATATTTTTCATTGTTTATTAAATGCAGTAAATTATGTTTAACTCCTCTAATATTTCAATGTATTTTATCATCTAACTCTTTCAAATGATATTTGAAAATAATAAAATAATCTTATTTCTTCTAGACTCATTTTATTAGTGCTGCACTCAAGACTAGTAGTTTTCAGCCTGTTAGTATGCCCTCCTCCAGAGCAGTGGAAAAGTATTCCGTAAAACCAGAACACCCTAATCTTGGTAGCTGTAATCCATCTTTATATAACACATTTGCTTCCAAACAAGGTAAAAATATGTAGTTCTCTATGAATAAAAAATGTCAGCTGTGAATTTTCTTTGTGCTACATAAGCTGAAAACATATTTCCTGAGCAGTAGGAGTTTTTGTTTTATAAAATTTATTTATAGGAGTTTTTGTTTTATAAAACAATTTTTTTAAATGTTCTTTTTTTAAAATTGTGTTTCTCAGGCTACCTTGTCTTAGATAAAATGAGTTCTTTTTTTGCGTCAAGTAATTTTTAGTTTATTTTGAAATTTTTTAAATTATGGATTATGTTCTTAACTGATTTTAATTAATCTCATAAATTATCAGAAGCACTTATAAATTTAGAAAAAATTTACTTATTTACTACAAAAATGCTTGTAAATAAATCAGTTCTCCTGTTCTCTGACAAACTGCATATTTGCTCTTTCTTGATTCTGTCAGAGCAACTACCTGAGTACATTTTTAAACCATTTCTAAATATTTTCAGAATTAGTAATGCAAGTCTGCTTATCTTGATTGAATTTTAAAACTCTATAATAACAAAGGAATACATGGCTTACTTGTTAAAACTTTAGTATTTAAAATAAATGAATAAATGTTTTTCTAAGTTATTGATATTTGAATAATGAACTAAAGAAAATCGAGCTACTATCCCTTTAATGATATACAGATCTATATAGTACAATATTTTCAGCACTTGATTTGTTAGAACAGTGTTGTTTTACAGTCATTAAAGATTGCTCATGCTTTTAAGGTGCTTTACATTTTGCAACAAATGAGTGGTCCTTACAAAACTGTTGTGCCCAGCACTTTGAGAGGCCAAGGTGAGAGGATCACTTGAGTCCAGGAATTCGAGACCAACCTGGGACATATAGTGAGATCCTGTCTCTAGAAATAAAAATAAAAAATTATCCAGGTGTGGTGGCACATGCCTATAGTCCCAGTTACTTTGGAGGCTGAGGTCGGAGGATTGCCTGAGCCCAGGAGGTAGAAGCTTCAGTGAGCTGTGATCATGCAGCTGTACTCCAGCCTGGGTGACAGAGCAAGACCCTGTTTCAAAAACAAAAAAACAAACAACAACAACAAAGAACTGTTGTGAAGTAATATGAGTCCATTTTTAAGTTATGAAGAGAGGACAGTGAAGCACAGAATGGTGTGACTTGCCTGCTCAAGGTTACCTGACTTGGGAGGGAGGATGTCAGAGCTAGGGCCAGAACTCAGCTTTCAGTATGACCCAGCTGAGTGCCTTCTATAGCAGTGGACACTTTTTTCATAACTCAATTCCAGAGAATTTCTTGCTGATAATTTTGTTTTTCTTAAACTTGAGTTTTCATGAAAAAGGTGTCTATTTTGTTGATTGTAAATTGAATTTTTCTTTGTATATATAAATTACAGTAACAAATAAAAGAAAATAAAGAGTAAAAATTCAGTAAATTAAACTTTTAATTTTTCTATGCTTTTTCTTGGGCAAATATCATGTTTACATATTTGTAATTGTAGCATTTTATACAACTTTTTTACTAGCACATAAAAAGATTTGCCATATTTTATATAGTTGTCTTCATAATTTTAACTTGTAATGACTAAAGGGTGGCCTATTGAATAACTATTTTACAATCTACTTGACCATTATCCTGTTTCGGATACTCAGGCAGTTTTTAGGTTTTCATCTTCATAAATAATACTGTAATAAACATCATATTTAAAGCACATTTTCTTTCTTTTATGTTATTTCCTTAGAATAATTTCATAAGAGTAAGATTACTAGGTTAAAGTATATAAAACTTTAATTCTTCCTATACTTATTGCCAGATGGTTTATCAGTTTTCACTGCCATGAAAAGTATCTGGGCCTGCCAGTTTCACCGCAGCTTCAGTAGTTCTGAATATTATCATATAGATTCGTATTTACTAGATGTAAGTGTACAATGTTTGTAGTCTTCATTTCTTTTGATTTTTAATGGGGTGAAGTTATTTCTCTACACTTAATAATTTGTTCATCATTTATAATTTTGAATTTATTTTTAAAGTATAGGCAAGAGTAATATGCTATAATTTTTAAAGCTTTTTAAAAGCAAGTTAAGTTTTTAAAAAATTTTCTGTTAAAGCACCTTTAAAAGAAGTTGAAGATACGAGTTTTGATAAACAGAAATCTCCTTTGGAGACACCAGCACCTCGCAGATTTGCTCCTGTACCTGTTTCAAGGGATGATGAACTATCAAAGAGGGAAAATCTTTTGGAAGAAAAAGAAAATATGGAAGTGTCGTGTCACAGAGGTAATAGAGACTTTTACTAGACCTATCCCAAATTAGGAAATTGTCATGAGATTTTCTGTGCCTAGTAGTAACTGAAGTGGGATCTCTATTTGTAATATTTTACTTTAAATGACCCTTGCTGGGAAAATCAAGCTTCTTTAGATTCTTTGTAAAAGGGTTTGGAGGTATACATTTATAATTATTTTATCTTTTACAGGTTATTATTACTTAAACCTTTAATGAACAAGTTTTGTTAACTTTTTTTTTTTTTTTTTTTTTCTGAGACGGAGTCTCGCTCTGTTGCCCAGGCTGGAGTGCAGTGGTGCGATCTCGGCTCACTGCAAGCTCCGCCTCCCGGGTTCACCCCATTCTCCTGCCTCAGCCTCCGGATTAGCTGGGACTATGGGCGCCCACCACCATACCTGGTTAAATTTTTTGTATTTTTAGTAAAGGCGGGGTTTCACCGTGTTAGCCAGGATGGTCTCGATAAGTTTTGTTAATTTTTATTTATTTTTTATGAGACAAGGTCTCACTCTGTCACCCAGACTGGAGTACAATGGCGTGATCATGGCTCACTGCAGCCTTTACCTCCTCAGGCTCAGTTGATCTTCCCACTTCAGCCTCCTGAGTAGCTGGGACTACAGGTGCACGCCACCACACCAGGCTAATTTTTGTATTTTTCATAGAGATGGGGTTTCACTATGTTTCCCAGGCTGGTCACAAACTCCTGGGCTCAAGCGATCTGCCCGCCTCAGCCTCCCAAAGTGCTGGGATTACAGATGTGAGCCACTGTGCCTGGGCAAGTTTTGTTATTAATAAATAAAAAACAATGCTTTGCTGAAGGTAAGGCTGATCATTTTTAGAGCATGCTTCCTCATATTGTTTTTAGGTGTGAATTTCAATAATAAAACGTAGAGAAACTTAACATTCATCACCATGTTCACTTGGAAAAAGTGCTAATATATGAACTTTTTTTGAGATGAAGTCTCGCTCTGTCACCCGGGCTGGAGTGCAGTGGCACCATCTCAGCTCACTGCAACCTCCGCCTCCTAGGTTCAAGCGATTCTCCTGCGTCAGCCTCCCGAGTAGCTGGGACTACAGGCGCCCGCCACCACGCCTGGCTAATTTTTTGTATTTTTAGTAGAGACGGGGTTTCACCATGTTAGCCAGGATGGTCTCGATCTCCTGACCTCGTGATCCACCCACCTTGGGCTCTCAAAGTGCTGTGATTACAGGCGTGAGCTACTGCGCCCGGCCATATATGAACTTTTTAACACAGAGCAAGAACTTTTATAAGGGACATGTATTAACCAAACATCATATGTTCTCACTCATAAATGGGAGCTAAGCTATGATAATGCAAAGCCATAAGAATGACACAATGGACTTTGGGGACTTGTGGGGAAAGGGTGGGAAGCGGGTGAGGGATAAAAGACTACAAATTGGGTTCAGTGTATACTGCTTGGATGATGGGTGCACCAAAATCGCACAAATCACCAATAAAGAACTTATTCATGTAACCAAATACCACCTGTTCCCCAAAAATCTATGGAAATAAAAAAAATTAAAAG
Source organism: Homo sapiens (assembly GCF_000001405.40). NCBI lineage: Eukaryota > Metazoa > Chordata > Mammalia > Primates > Hominidae > Homo > Homo sapiens. Next base: position 58,452,297 of record NC_000014.9, read on the forward strand.
AAAAATAGTATATTACAGAGTCTTAAAATGTACCCCTTCTAACAAAAGTAAGTGAAATATTAAACTAAACACTTTAATTCTTGGAATCATTTAAATGCATGCAGGTCTTATCTTAGACACATTTAAAGAATTTTAAGAAAGTCACAAGATAATAAAATCTTTAATAAAGAAGGCAACCTCACACCAAAAATTATTATGTAGTCTTACTACATACAAACAAGGCTAAAGGATAGATCCACTTATTGGTACTTTGAAGAAATAGATAAATCTCTTCTTTACTAATTTATAAAAGTCGTCTATTTTACTGGACTTCGTGATGATGACACTTATCAAATTCCTTTTTTCTGTGATGGAAATAAATGTAGGGGTTTTTCTATGAATTCAACCTTTTACTTACTTGTTTATGTATTTTTTTGTAGAGACAGGGTCTTGCTTTGTTGCCCAGGCTGGTCTCAAACTCCTGGCCTCAAACAGTCCTGCTGCCTTGGCCTCCCAGAGTGCTGGGATTGCAGGCATGAGCCATTGCGCCTGGTTGTGGTATAGTTTTTATGAGGTGTAAATATTTAGTTTTATTTGATGAGTGTATTTATGGCCTAAATTGTAGGCTACTTTGTAGGCTATAAATTTTTTTTTTTTTTGAGATGGAGTTTCACTCTTGTCGCCCAGGCTGGAGTGCGATGGTGTGATTTTGGCTTGTTGCAACCTCCGTGTCCCAGGTTCAAGCAATTCTCCTGCCTCAGCCTCCCAAGCAGCTGAGATTACAGGCACGCACCACCATACCCAGCTAATTTTTTCTATTTTTAGTAGAGACGGGGTTTCTCCATGTTGGTCAGGCTGGTCTCGAACTTCCGACCTCAGATGATCCACCCACCTCAGCCTCCCAATGTGCTGGGATTACAGGCATGAGCCACTGCGCCTGGCTTTTAGGCTATAAATTGAGTAGATAATCATCATAAGAAGCTAACTTAGGCCAGAATACAAATATGTGAGATATTATATACAAGAGAAATGAATTAGTATTTGGAAAATGATACTATATCTCTTCTATTTCAGGAAATGTAAGACTATTGGAACAAATTTTGAATAATAATGATTCTTTGACAAGAAAAAGTGAATCATCAAACACCACCTCACTAACTAGGTCAAAAATAGGATGGACTCCTGAGAAAACAAACAGGTAAAAACAAGAGATTGGAATGAAAACTAGATTGAAAAGAGTTTTGTTAAGATTTTTCAAATTTCTTTGGGACTTTTAATAAATTATAGCATTGCTTCTTAAATTTATCTTAGATTTAGTTACTATTTTTTGATGCTAATATATCTTCCCCCTTTCTATAATATAGCTATGAAATGAATATCTCATTTTTTCAAAATGCAGGTTATTAATTTCTAACGTATGGATTATTCATTTCTGATTAAATGATATCTAGGATTTGTTTCAAAAATAATCCAAGATAGGTTAGGGGCAAGTAAGTTGGGAGTATAGATAAAATGAGGCTAGCCAAAAGTTAATGATTGTTGTAGTTAAATATTGGGTGTATGGGGTTCATTTTAGTATTTTCTCTATTTTTGTGTATATTTGAAATTTTACATAATAAAAAGTTTTAAAAAAATCAAATCTGGGCCATGATAATTATATTTATCTTCAACATCTTAAAAACTACAGTAATAAGAACTAGAGGAGCCATATGTTGAGTAATTTTATGTGGAGATATTGTATAGTCTATTTACATGTAATGTAATTACTGATAAGGTAGGATTTGTGTCTACCATGTTGCTTTCTATATGCCTTAGGTCTTAGTTCACTGTTCCTCCCTTAGTGCCTTCTTTTGTATTAGACATTTTCTGGTTGCACCATTTTAATTCTTTTGTCATTTTCTCTACTATTATTTTTTGAGTTATTTTCTTCGTGGTCACTCCAGGAATTACAATTAACATATTAATTTAAAGCAATCTAATTTGGATTAATAGTGATTTAATTTCAATATTATTCAGAAACTTTGCTCCAGTAAAGCCTTGTTCCCTCCCCTTTTCTTCTATTATTATCATACAAATTACATCTTTATACATTATAAGCTCATCTATGTAGTCTGATAATTATTACTTGATGCAGCTCTTTTAAATCAGATAGGAAAAGAAAAGAGATATGAACAAAAATACATATACTGGCTTTTATATTCAACTATATAGTTCATCTTTAACAGTACTCTATTTCTTCATATGGATTCAAGTTAGCCCAGTGTCCTTTTATTCCACCCTGAAGGACTCCTGATAGTATTTCTTATAGGGTAGGTCTGTTAGCAGTGAATTTTCTCAGTTTTTGTTTATCTGGTACTGTCTTAATTTCTTTCTCACTTTTTCGTTGTCATTTAAACAGACATTTGGTTTCTCATAGTTGTGGAAGCTGGAAGTTCAAGATCAAGGTGCTGGCCGGGTTGGTTTCTTTTGAGGCCTTTCTTCTTGACTTGCAGGTGGCCTCCCTCTTGCTGTCTCTTCACATGGTCATCCCTCTCTGCACACACACCCCTGGTGTCCCCTCCTTCACTTTTGAACAATAATTTTGCTACATACAGAATTTTTGGTAGATGTTCTTTTTCTTTCAGCATTTTGAATATGTCACCTGACTGCCTTTTGGACTCTGTGGTTTCTGATGAGGAGTTGTATGTTGGTGTGCTTGATGGTGTCCCACAGGTCTCTAAGACTTAATTTTTCTTCATCCATTTTTCTTTCCCCAATTATCCTCATATTCCTTTCCTCATAATCTCAATTAGCCTGTCTTAAAGTTTGTTGATTCTTCTGCCAACTCAAATATGATGCTGAGCCCCTCTAGTGAATTATACATTTCAGTTGTTATATTTTTCAACTGCAGAATTTCTGTTTGTCTTTTAAAAAAATGTTTTCTATCTCTATTGATCATTCTATATTTGGCAAGACTTCATTCTTATACTTTCCTTTAATTTTAAAACTGGTTTCTTTTAGTAATAGCTGATTTATAGTCTTTGCCTAGTAAGTCTAATATCTGGGATTCCTCAACAGCAGTTTCTTTTGACTGTGCTTTTTTCTGTGTTTGGGCTCTACTTTCCAGTTTCTTTGTATGTCTCATAAATTTTTGTTGAAAACTGGGCATTTTAAATAATACAGTGTGGCAACTCTGGAAATTAGATTCTTTCACCTCCCAGAGTTTATTGTTGCTAGTTATTGTTGTTGTTGCTGTTTGTTTAGTGACTTTCCTGGACTAATTCTGTGAAGTCTGTATTCTTTGTCATGTGCTCCCACTGAAGTCTCTGTTTTGTTAGCTTAGTCTGCCAGTGATTGGAAAGAGATTTCCTTAACTGCCTTGAACTGATAAGTCTCCCTCTCTTTGCCATGGATTACGTGTGTGTGTGTGTGTGTGTGTATGTGTGTGTGCGAGTGCATGCACATGCATGTGCTAGAGCATGCCTCCAGTGCCTGGCAGATTATGAGTCTGTTTTAGCCTTTCACTTCCTACTTGCACAGAGCCTCAAGGTCGGAAGTGAGTGATTAGGACCTTCCCAGGTCTCTCTTGGGCATGTACATAGCCCTGTATGTGGACTAGAAGGCATGACCTTCTAGATTCCTAGGAATATGTTGGAGCTTTTCAAAACTCCACTTTGGACATTTCATTGCCTAGATTTTTAACATTTGTTGACCACAATCTTGTTTGCCCCAACTAGTGTCACTACCTCACGCTGCTGAGATGTTAAACAATTGCCACCGTTTTTTGAAAAATGCCCTGGGGATACTTTCTCGCTGAGCTAGCAGTGAGTCAGTTCAAATAAAGACAAACACTATGAATGAGACTTTTAGGAGAGCTTGAAACCATTCTACTGTCTTTAGTGGTTGTGAGGCTGTTGGTTTTCGAGGCCGCCACAGAGTTGGGAATAGGGTCCCGAGAATGAGGCAAGTTAAAAAAATTCCATAAAGCTTGCTCTTCTTACCTAGAGTCAGCCATTTTTCTTGAATAAATGCTCCTGGGGTTCTTGCAAGTCTTTAATTTCCAGAGGTTAGAAAAACTTGATTTTGATGATTTTTGCTAGGGTTCTCATTGTGCTTATGGAGAAGCAGATTTTCAGAATTTCTTACTCCACCAATCTGGAAGTGCTTCTGGATGTTAGCTTCTTGAAAGCATAACCTTTTCCTGCTCCTTTTCTGCTACATCTAAACTTTTCTGGTTAGATAATTTTGTCTCTTGTGATTTTCTGTGTTTCATTTGTTTAATCACATAACTGATTAATTCCATAGTTCAATTTTAATAGGATACCATTTAGTAATATAGCTAAGACTGTATCAAAGATTTGTGTAATGAAATGTTTACTGAATTTACAACAATTTAGGAAACTTTTTCAAAAATCTTCTGTAGCGTTGAAACTCTACCTTCTCAAAGATTTCCTTCCTGTGAAGAGCTAGAAACAACTAAAGTGACTATGCAGAAGTCTGATGATGTTCTTCATGACCTTGGCCAAAAAGAGAAAGAAACAAATAGCATGGTCCAGGTAAAGTGGGAATGGTCTTAAAATTGATGATTAGTTAAGATAAAAATTAAAAAGGAATAAAAGAGTTATAAAGATAGAAATTAGGAGGAAGGATGAAGAAAAAGCACTGAAAAAGATATGTCAGCCACATCTGTTCCATTTATAAAGTATTTCCAGAGGCCTTCACCAAGTGATTTCTACTTATCGCTCCTTGACCAGGACTGAGCCATATAGCCACCTCTGGCTTCCCAGCTTCTGTTGGAAAGGGAGGAAGGGGAAAAGAGACCTGTGAGTGAATGGACTTCATTTATCCAATCCACAATGTCTGCCATTTCTTCCATACATAAAGAGCCAACTTGCTTATATTTTACTTTATTTTGCTTTCTTCAGCAGAGAGAGAGAGCTATTATTGGTCGCTGGACTGCTTAGCACTGCTATGGATTTCTCACCTCTATTTTATTTAACACTCACATTAGTTTTTTTTCTTTTCTTTTTTTGAGTCAGAGTCTTGCTCTGTCACCCAGGCTGGAGTGCAAGGGTGCAATCTCGGCTTACTGCAACCTCCACCTCCCGGTTCAAGCAATTCTTCTACCTCAGCCTCCTGAGCAGCTGGGATTACAAGGGTGTGCCACCACACCTGGCTAATTTTTGTATTTTTAGTAGAGACAGGGTTTCACCATGTTGGCCAGGCTGGTCTTGAACTCCTGACCTCAGGTGATCCACCTGCCTCGGCCTCCCAAAGTGTTGGGATTACAGGCGTGAGCCACCATGCCTGGCCCACATTAGTATTTCTAAATGGAGGAAAAACACTTTGATTGCCAAGTATTCTTTTGTAAGTCTTCAGTTTGACAAATTGAGTCCTTAGAATATATTGGTATAATGTATGGCCTCAACAATAGTGATAGCTGTTATTTTGATTAAAGGAATCGTTGTGAGTTTAGTAACTTTCTGGTCTTTTTTTCTTTTAAGCCAAAAGAATCTCTGAGTATGTTGAAGCTTCCAGATCTTCCACAGAATTCTGTTAAGCTTCAAACAACCAATACAACAAGATCTGTATTGAAAGATGCTGAGAAGATTTTGAGAGGAGTACAAAACAATAAAAAAGTACTTGAAGAAAACCTGGAAGCTATTATTCGTGCAAAAGATGGAGCTGCCATGTATTCGCTTATCAATGCTTTATCTACCAACAGGTAAGAGGATGTTGGCATCCAGGGTTATTTATGAGTCTGTCAGTTCCACTTTCTTCATAATTTTTTTCTAAGCACTGTATTTTCCTATTAGTTTTCATATTTTTAAAAGGTTCTTTATTGACTTTGAAGATGTGGAACTTATAAAGTTGGAATTTGGATATATATATATGGTGGTACTACTTTTTTCTGGTGGAAATTTTTCTTTTAATTTTTTCTTTCTTTGGTACATATCTTCTTGGATCCACATGTGCTTTTCAAACATTTATCCTTCAAATATTTGATGAAAACTAATACCATGAAAACAAATAGCAAAGGTTTTTCCTTTTCAGATGAAGGATATTAGGCCCCCATTCTACTATCCTAATATCCTTTCCTTTTCAGATGAAAGATATTAGGATAGCAGGTTCACAACTAGATAAGAGTTAGATCTGATCCAAGTCCTGCTCAGGACAGTAAGTGCTAATTTAAGAAAATTCCTTTTTCTCTTTTATAGAGAGATGTCAGAGAAAATTAGGATCAGAAAGACAGTGGATGAATGGATTAAAACTATTTCTGCAGAAATTCAGGTATGTCTTGGAAAAAAACTGAAAATTAAGTGAATTCTCAGAAGATAATATTGATTCCAATTTACAGGCATTACATTTGTTTTCAAAATATTTCTTATATAAAAATCCACTTATTTTTAATTTAATTGTCACTCTTTATATTTACTTAGTAATAAGTTTAGCTTTGTTTAACAAGTATATTATCTCCACTTATATTCTGGCTCTTATTTGGCAAATTGTTGGACAAAAACTAAAACATGAATAATCTGAAAGAAAATTTAGCAAAAGTGTTTGGAAAAAGAATTATACTTGCAAAGATATTTGAAGACAGTGGATTTAGGAGCATTGACCCGCCAAAGTAAAAATACCAGAGTAATGCAAAGAGAAAAAAACCAACGAGATTTACTAAGTTTACGGAAGTCAGTTCCAGATGGAAAAACAGCCTCTTTCTCACAACCACAATGGGCATGGTACATCTTCAAACATCCAGCATTGGAAAAGTCTGGGAGTTATCTTTCTTAGAGGGTCCATAATTTAAAGGAAATTTAAAAATTTTATATATTTGAGTGAGCGGAACTAGGCAGGCTAAGGTGTTATTTTGTCCTGGGGTGCAAGGTGTGTTTTTTTGACTGTAGATGTGCTTATATGCTACTTACAAGGGTAGCAAGGTGAAGCATCAGTACTGTTTCCATAGCAATAAACACAGAAATATATTTTAAAACTTTGTTGTTGAAGAATATATATTTCTAATGAAGTTATGAAAAATTTATTTTAGGTACTATATGGTACACACACAAAAAAAAATTGAACTAAGAGTCAGAAGATTTGGAGTCTAGTTTTCGCTCTACAGCTAACTGGCAATGTATCTTACTCTTTTGCAATGAATCCCATGTAAAGTATATTTGTTTAAACTTTCACATAATTTTAATTTATATTTATCTCAGTTTTGTTACAAAAGTGTTTGCTTTTTTTGAAATGTATTTTTAATTTTTTAAACTGTTAGCAAAATTCATATGGTTCAAACATCAAAAAGTATAAGAAGGTTTGTCATGCAAAGTTGTCCTGCTACCCCTGCAACCCTTCTATTATTTCCCATTCCCCACTCCAAAAGATACTAGTCTTTTTAGGGTTTTGTTTATTTTTCCAGAGATTTTTGATTTTTATATATCCAATAAAGCCAATATCCTTTATTTTTAATGCATTTAAAACTGCTAAACTGTATTTATATAGCAGCAAAAAATAAATTCTAATACTTTCTGATGTGAAAGCATTACTATTTGTAGACATTTTAAGTAATTTTAACTTTGGTTATGTTAAGGATGAACTGTCAAGAACAGATTATGAACAAAAAAGATTTGATCAGAAGAATCAGAGAACCAAGAAAGGTCAGAATATGACTAAAGATATTAGAACCAACACACAAGATAAAACTGTCAACAAATCTGTAATTCCAAGAAAACATTCTCAAAAGCAAATAGAAGAGCATTTTAGAAATCTACCTATGAGGGGCATGCCTGCTTCAAGTTTACAGAAAGAGAGAAAGGAAGTAAGATCCTAATCTGTTCTTTTAACATAATTGTTGTGTTATAATTGATCATTTCCTTTAAGAGATAAATAATGAAGCGAATGTGAAGGTGTTTTAAAAATATGAAGGACTATACAAATGTAAGCTATCTTTACACTATTGATACTTAGGGTTTTGGATTTATAATGTGAAAAGCACTGAACAAAATAGATAGTTCCTTTCTTATGAGATCTCACACCCTGGCATCATGATTTTGTAGTTATAGCAGGTATAAAGGTATATCTAGAGATCATCTAGTCCAAAAACTAGATTCTCTAGTTTATGGTACTCAAAATTTTCATTTGCGTGTGTGTATATAGTTTATTTTTCAGTTTAACAAATGCATGTTTAGTGCCTAGTATATGCAAGGCGTGGTACTAGATGGTATGGAGGAAATTTTTTTGACTGCTGTAACTAGGCTATAAGTTTCTAAGTGCCAAACATGGATTGTTGAGCAGATCAGTAAAGCATCTAATTCAATGCTTATACTTAGTAGATTCTCAGTAAATGCTCCCTTTCTGTGACATTTAGATTATGGTTGAAGGTGGGTTCAGAAATATATAAAATTATTTAAAGGTTAAGGTTGTTGTATTTTTATTGTACTGGAGTATAATAAATATGTAAAATGTGTTTAAATGTTTCTTGTTGGTGCTGAAAATATACTTAGTAATGTAAAAATTTTCATGTTTCTTAGGTGGATGATTTTTATATTTAAAGCTTTTCAAACTAATGCTTGAAACCTGTTATCTAGAATTTAAGGGCTGTTGAAAACAGAGGTTATTTTTTACTTAATCATTCTTGTTATAATACTTAAGCTAGCAAAAGGAGGCTTTAGAAAAATGAGATAAGTGTTTGATGACTGTTTTCATGGTGAGTTGAATAACTTTGTACACACAGGGGCTTTTGAAAGCAACCACAGTAATACAAGATGAAGATTATATGTTACAAGTCTATGGAAAGCCAGTTTATCAGGGCCATCGAAGCACTCTTAAAAAAGGACCATATCTCAGATTTAATTCTCCATCTCCTAAGTCCAGACCACAGAGACCAAAAGTAATAGAACGAGTTAAAGGTAAGGAATCTCATTTTTAATGTTTAATCTCATTTCTTAATAGTATCAGTTTAATATGTAAAGTTTCTTTTTGCTTTTTATTTATTGCTTATACGTGCCATTCAAGTTATATGATGCTTGGGGATGGAAAAATAATTCCTCTTAGGAGAGGTAGGAAGAAATAGACCAACATTTTAAAAAAGACACAAGATAGGAATAATTGGGAAGAAATGTAGGATTAAATGGCATCTTCAGATAAAGCATCATAAAATTTTTATTTAGGAGAAAATGATTTTTTTTTTAATTTTTTTTTTAGACAAGGTCTCACCCTATCCCCCAGGCTGGAATGCAGTGGCACAATCATGGTTCACTGCAGCCTCGACCTACTGGGCTCAAGTGATCCTCCCCTCTCAGCCTCCCAAGTAGCTGGGATGACAGGTGCACACTACCACGCCTGGCTAATTTTTTTGTATGTTTTATAGAGACAGGGTTTCACCACATTGCCCACAGTGGGTGATGATGAATCTTGAGCATCTAAATTATAATCTAGGAAAGTAGACATTTTCCTGAAGACCTAGGTGCATTATGAACAGAAAGATCAGCCATTTGCTGTTTATTATAAAAGTGTTGATGAGCACTTTTGCAGTTTGGTTTTCAAAGAGACTTAGGTAGAAAGGTGAAAACTTTTTTGTTGCTTTTGTGCACAACTGAAAACATCTTCATGTATCACTGTGTATTTTGAGTCACATCTACTGTTTCACTGGTACTGTGTATTTAAATACAACTTTTGGTTATATACTGAGTCTGTTGACTTTGGTTATGTATTATAGTTTCTCAGCTTCTGCTTAGCAATCAGTAAGCTACAGCTGACAATATGTGATAACTAGTAGATACAAACCCATTTTCCTCTCTTATCCTTTCTAGAAGTTGGAGCTATGGTGGTTACTTTGGTTCCCTTTGCTTTCTAAAGGTTATGCAATCATATACAGTGTCAGGTTATATAGAAATTTTACTAATTTAAAATAGAAAGCATATAGCTTATGGGTGATATTTATCCTAATGGATGGTATTTACCCTGAAGTTTTCTCTTATTTAGTGTAGTTTTGCTTTTTTTTTTTTTTTTTTTGAGACGGAGTCTTGCTCTGTCATCCAGGCTGGAGTGCAGTGGCACAGTCTTGGCTCACTGCAACCTCCACCTCCCGGGTTCAAACGATTCTCCTGCCTCAGCCTCCCGAGTAGCTGGGATTACAGGCATGCGCCACAATGCCCAGCTAATTTTTTTTTTGTATTTTTAGTAGAGACAGGGTTTTGCCACATTGGCCAGGCTCGTCTTGAACTCCTGACCTCAGGTGATCCACCCGCCTCAGCCTCCCAGAGAGCTGGGATTACAGGCGTGAGCCACTGTGCCCGGCCTAGTGTAGCTTTGCTATTAATTTATATGGGGGGTTTTGAAAGTCTTTGCAAAAAATAATTTGAGGCTTTAAAATGCTTTCAAATCCAAAAATAACTTTATTCAATAACGCTTTTAATGATCAGAAGTGATTAAGAGCCTGTATTAGTTCATTTTCACACTGCTATAAAAAACTACCTGAGACTGAGTAATCTATAAAGACAAGAAGGTGTAATTGACTCACAGCTCCACATCTCTGGGGAGGCCTCAGAAAACTTAGAGTCATGGCGAAGGGAAGCAAGGCATGTCTTATATGGCAGCAGGAGAGAGGGAGCAAAGAAAGCCATGCCCTTTTAAAGCATCAGATCTCATGAGAACTCATTCACTATCACAAGAACAAATTAGGGGAAACTGCCCCCATGATCCAGTCATCTCCCACCAGGTCTCTCCCGTGACGCATGGGGATCAATTTGAGATGAGATTTGGGTAGGGACACAGAGCCAAGCCATATCAGAACCTAAGGACTTATGCTTATCCTAGGGCCTCAGTACCTGCCACTTCCTCTGTCTGGAGAGCTCTTCGTTCAGACACTTGCATGGTTCTCTCTCTCAATTCTTCCGTCTCCGCTCTTAGATGATAGCTCCTTAGAGTGCTCTACCCTGACCATTCTATTCAAAGAATTATCTCCTGTTCCTCTCCATCTCCTCACTCTGCCATATTGTTCTTCATGGCACTTCACATTTCCTGTGTTATATTTTTATTTGTTTGTTTTATTATTTATTTGTCACTACTGGACTGTAAGCTCCATGAGTACAGTTGGTTTAGTCACCTCTGTATTCCTTGTGCCAGAAACAATGTTTAACACATATTAAATGCTGAACAAACATTTTAAATAAACACTTAAGAAAAATATTCATTCAATAGAATGACTATCAGAGAACAAGATGAAAGAATATAGACATGGTATTACAATTTTTCTTCCTGGGGTCATAAACAAAAAGAAACTATATTTAAAAGTCTGGATGTGTAGGTTGGGCACAGTGGCTCATGCCTGTAATCCCAGCACTTTGGGAGGCTGAGGCAAGAGGATTGCTTGAGACCAGCCTCAGCAACATAGCTAGATCCTGTCTCTACAATAAATTAAAAAAATTAGCAGGGCATGCCTGTAGTCCCAGCTACTTGGGAGGCTGAGGTGGGAGGATCACTTCAGCACTTGAGCTTAGGAATTCAAGGTTGCAGTGAGCTATGATAGTGCCACTGCACTCCAGCCTGGGTAACTGAGCAAGACCCTGTCTCTAAAAAAAAAAAAATTAGATACATTAAAAAATTAGATACATAGAAACACCCACATGTGAAGTGGAAGTGTAGGTGACGGTCTGAGACATCACCACCAACCTGGGCACTGGGGAGATGGCCAAGACTGACCCCAAGACCTTGCAGGACCTCACCTCGGTGGTGTAGACACCCCTGCAGCAGATGCAAGATAAATTTCAGACTATGACCAGATAATTGGGAGAATTGATGATATGAGTAGTCACATTGATGATCTGGAGAAGAACATCACAGACCCCATGACACAGGCTGGGCTGGAAGAACTGGAAGGTGAAAACAAGATACCTGCCACACAAAAGAGTTGAGGGTTGCTAATAATTTATATAATGGAATCTGGAACATCATTTTTCTGAGCCAAGAGAAGACTGAATGGCTTTTTTCAGCTAACTACTGTGTGTAGACAGGTTTTATATTATAAAGTGTGCATTCTTATCACATACTATATAGTTAGTTTATAAAGGTTTATCCCCCAGTTTCTTGAATGTGGTATCTTCACATCTTGGACCTTGGTCAGTTGTACTATTAATTATTAAAAACTAAAACTTTGGCAGTTCCTGCATTTAAAAAAAAAAAAGCACCCACATGTTAAAAGTAAAAATGTAATGTCAGGAAATTATTAAGAAAATATTTTAGCCTCTTCCTTTGCCCGCTTACTTTATTCTTTACTTTTTTGTGTGTGTGTTCCATAGACATTTATTCACTTCTCCAAAGAGACATAAAGTCAAATTTTTAATATTTTAAGATTTAGGATATAATGGCTATATGTGTATGTATACATCATAGGAACAGAAAAAAATGTACAGCAGTCCCCCCTTATTCATGGGGGATGTGTCCCAATACCCTCAATGGATGCCTGAAACTGTGGATAGTACCAAGCCCTAACATGTACTATGTTCTTTTAATCTGATAACTGAGATGGTAACTAAGTTATTAATGGGCAGGTAGTGTCTACAGTGTAGAGACCCCAGACAAAGGGATGATTCATGTCCTGGGCAGGATGGAGCAGGACGGCATGAGATTTTATCGCGCTACTCAGAACAGCGTACATTGTAAAACTTATGACAGCCGGGCATGGTGGCATGCGTCTGTGGTCTTGGCTACTCGGGAGGCTAGGGTGGGAGGATCACTTGAGCCTGGGAGGCAGAGGTTGCATTGAGCTAAGATCGCACCACTGCACTCCAGCCTGGGTAGAGTGAGACTCCATCTAAAAAAAATTAATGAATAATTTTTAAATACTTATGAATTGTTTATTTCTCAAACTTTCCATTAATATTTTCCAGCCAAGGTTGATCCTGGGTAATTGAGACAGGGAAAGAGAAACCACAGATAAGGAGAGACTACTGTATAATGATATTAATTAGTAAGGTTTAAGTAAGTATAGAATTTGATTGTCTGTACATAATTTAAAAAGATAAAGCTGGTTATTCAGAATTATGTTGTGTGTAAAGGTGTAATGAGAAAATGAAAATCATCAATTCCAAAAATGATCATTAACTTTTTCGTACCTATGGAAAAAAATTTAAAGAATTCAAACATTGTTGGAATATTCTTCAGAATCTTTATTTAACATTTTTTTCTAGTTATTATATCTATTTTGTCACAGTAGCTGTACAAGTTGTATGTCTATTCAGGGGCTGGCAACTGTGGCCTACACGTGAGCTGCCTGTTTTTATAAAGTTTCATTTGCCTCTAACTGTGTTCATTCATGTATATATTGTCCATGGCTTCTTTCATGACACAACAGCAGAACTGAGTCATTACAGCTGAGATCACGTGGCCTGCCAGACAAATATTTACTGTCTGGCCATTTAAGAAGTTTGCTACCTCTGGTCTATATATTACTTCTGTTTTGGGGCCTTGTAACCTTATATAGAATTAAGATTTTTCTGTGAAGAGCTGTTGTATTTCTAGATGTCTGGATAGTAGATATTCTAACAATATTTTAAAATATCTGCCATTGGTGATTATTATAGGCACTAAGGTAAAGTCAATAAGAACACAGACTGACTTCTATGCAACAAAACCTAAGAAGATGGATTCTAAAATGAAACATTCTGTTCCTGTGTTACCTCATGGCGATCAGCAATATTTGTTCAGCCCAAGTAGAGAAATGCCTACTTTTTCAGGTACATTGGAAGGTCATCTGATTCCTATGGCAATTCTTTTAGGTAAGAATCAACAAAATATGTGGGATGGATTTTATTTTATTTATTTATTTGTTTGTTTGTGTGTTTATTAGAGACGGGGTTTCACTGTGTGGCTCAGAGTGGTCTGGAACTCCTGGACTCAAGCAGTCCACCCACCTCAACCTCTCAAAGTGCTGGGATTACAGGCGTGAGGCACCGTGCCCAGCCATTGAATTTTAAATTCTTATCAGCAGTAGCAGAACTTACAAAATGGTACTAACATGATAGTCATCTACCTTTTCTTGTAAATGTTATTTGTTTTTGTGGGGAAGGCCTCACAATGTATTTTATGCTGTGTAATAGCAATCTCTGAAATGATGGGTTCCTGCTGTAGTTTCACCAATAGGAAAAATTCTTTTGGTATGTTATATTATTGTAGATGAAATGAAATTTTAAACAATATTTTGGCTGGGCACAGTGGCTCATGCCTTTAATCACAGTACTTTGGGAAGCCGAGATGGGAGGATTGCTTGAGACCAAGAGTTTGAGACCAGCCTGGGCAACATAGCAAGACCTTGTCTCAAAAAAAAAAATTAGCTGGGCTTGATGGCTAACACCTGTAGTCCTAGCTACTCTGGAGGCTGAAGCAGGAGAATCCCTTCAGTCCAGGAGTTTGAGGCTGCAGTGAGCAATGATTATGCCACTGTACTCCAGCCTGGACAACACAGCAAGACCCTGTCTCTTAAAAAAGAAAGTTTAAATATGTCATGGACATTCATAATAATTCAATAAGTTTGATTATCTTGTTAATATCATTATGTCTTTGGGGAAGTATTAAGGTACTTTTTTTTGTACTTTTGAACTAGGCTATCATAAGTGAAAGCTGTGTGGGTGTGTAATCTAAGCCAATAGTTGTTTATTTACTTATTTGCCTTCTCTCTGAGTCTTCATGTTAAAAATTGAACAGATCATTTTTGTCCTCACACCAGCTGTTCAAGTCTAATTAGCTCTTTTTTCCCTTTAGTGTCATTGCTGTTCTTTTGTTTTGATTAACAATTTAAGTATGAATATTTTTTAATGTAAGAGACTTTTTTATTTTTGATATTATGGGTTAATTTCATGTCAACATAATAGCTCTCTGTTTAAACATATCTCCTAGTAATAAAATAGCTCACACTTTTAAAGTTCTTACTGTGTGCCCGGTACAGTTCTGAGCACTTTACATATATTCTCTCATTTAATCCACCCTATAAAGCACATGGTAATATACAAATTGTATAGCTAAGAAAACTGAAGCACAAAAGGGTTACATAATTTGTCAAAGGCTACACAGCTAGAATGGTGCCAGGATTCAAACCCAGGCAGAGGCAGTCTGGCTTTATAGTCTGTGTTTTCAACAAGTACACTGTACTACCCCTCTTTACTTTGATATGTAGAAGTCAAGTGGGACTTTGGAAGTGAAAGTTTTTGACATTTTAAAATGTGGATAGTATTAATAGCTTTCTATTAGCCTTTATTTTGAGGTTTAAATTAGATAGTGATGTGAAGCGTTGAGTACATATAAGTGCTTAATAAAAGTCACTGGGTATGGTGAGTATGTCGACAGTGCTGATGATGGAGGGAGGGGTGATTGTCAGATAGGGCTTTTTTAAATATGAGAATATAGCCATTAAGATCCAGATGGTATATTAGACTTTTCCCTTTTTTTCTGAACTAGTTGACTTATTTTTTCTCCTAAACTTCTTAGGACAAACCCAAAGTAATAGTGATACCATGCCACCTGCTGGAGTGATTGTCAGCAAGCCACACCCTGTAACTGTGACTACTTCTATTCCTCCATCATCTCGAAAAGTAGAAACTGGAGTAAAGAAACCTAACATAGCCATTGTAGAAATGAAGTCAGAAAAAAAGGATCCTCCTCAGCTTACTGTGCAGGTATGCCAGGGTGCATGAGTAGAAAATTTTAAGGAAGAAAAAATTTTTTTGCTTAACGTTAGTACGGAAATCCATTATATTGCTTCATAAAAATATTGCTTTTGATCATGACTCTTTTTTTTAAATTTATTTTTATTTTTTAGACAGAGTTTTGCTCTTGTCGCCCAGTCTGGAGGGCAATGGCGCAATCTCGGCTCACTGCAACCTCTGCCTCTTGGGTTCAAGTGATTCTCCTGCCTCAGCCTCCTGAGTAGCTGGGATTACAGGCGCCCGCCACCATGCCCAGCTAATTTTTTGTATTTTTTTTTAGTAGAGATGGGGTTTCATATGTTGGCCAGGCTTGTCTCAAACTCCTGACCTCAGGTGAATCCACCTGCATTGGCCTCCCAAAGTGCTGGGATTACAGGCATGAGCCACCATGCCCCGCTGGCTCTGTTATTTTTAAAACTGTGATATTAATATGATGTTTCTGTCCTGTTTTGCATGATTTAAGCTGCTCTTCTAGGCCAATGACTTATATACAAGTGGCTTGGTGATATTCCAAGGGGAACAATTGAACTGTGTATTATAATTAATTTTAAAAAGTTAATATATGTGACTTATATAATTAATACTTCAAACTTTACACTAACATATGTTAGAAGACTTGAATGAATACAAGACTTCAACAGGCTCATGTGGGAAGA
The DNA here is from genome assembly GCF_000001405.40 of Homo sapiens. NCBI lineage: Eukaryota > Metazoa > Chordata > Mammalia > Primates > Hominidae > Homo > Homo sapiens. Next base: position 58,468,609 of record NC_000014.9, read on the forward strand.
AACCCTTTGACATTTCACAAACATCTACCCTTCGGCCTGGGATCCAGCTGTAGAAGCTGAGGTCTTCACTAGGTCTGGACAAAGGTGAACATGAGTATTTACATGCGACTTTCTATTGACCAGTCAGGAGGCAACTGTAGGAAAGCATTCATGAACTGTGGTAAACTTTTTGGCTGATTTACTCCAACTCCTGTATTCGTCTTACCATCCTTGCTTACTTACAAATAATTAGAACACTCCAGTCCTTAGACTGCTCCAAGGTTCCTCTTTTGATTGAGCCAGGACAAATGAGTTTTCTTGGGCAACTTAGTATGCCCTCTGGGAAGAGAGAAGACTTGCCTCATTCTTGGATCCTGATCACTGAGGAGAAGATAATCCTGGAGCTGTCGGATGCCACCACATGAACAGTCAACAGGCTCTTAGTACTGATTTTTGACTGGACACTCCTCCCTGAACAAACGAACTATCCATTTCTTCTGCACAAATTTATACAGAACAGCCTCAACCCACCAGCCTGAGAGATTCCCAGGGACTTAGAAATCACCCATGTAGCTCCACAAACACTTCGTTCTCATAGATTGACTTCCACCCTGCAGCTAAAATTGATAGTGTGTTTTCACAGCCAAGTTGTTAGGGCTGAGGCAGTCAATGGATCTCAGGAATATTCCCGGCCCTGTGCTTGATAGGAGCAAATGCACAATAAAGCCCTGGCTGCAGAATCTTTCAACTTCCAGTCATTCTTGCAGGGCAGGGAACTCCCAACATGAACCCAAGTGTGTTCCTCTCTTATAGCAGTCTTTGGGCATCCTTCTGACAGCGTAGGCCCACTAACCCAGTGGTGCAGCAGCTATGGAGGCTTCGGGAGACCTGGGGACACTTCAGCCTGGACAGCTCCCTGAGCCAAGTACAAACCCGGTCAATGTGTATTGAACGAATGAGCATCACTAGCACAGTCAGTCCATGGAGGAAATTAGAGGATCTAGATCAGGGGGCAAAGAATCCTGAATTAAAAGGCAAACAACACACAGTAAGAACATATGAAACGAAGATGCTAGTAAAGCATTAATTTTTAAATATAAAGATCTCTATAAATTAATAAGAAAACACAGATCCAAGTCTAGAAATGTTCAAAGGACATGAATAAGACTCTACAAAAGAGGAAGTACAGTTTATCAGCAAGCAAACTAAATAAGTTTTGCCAGTAACCAAGATAATGCAAATTGAAATAACAATAAGATGCATCCATTTAAAAACTATTATTGCTGAAACAATCATATTATCTAATTTTGGTGAGGGTTGGGTAAAACTTAGACTTAATTATGTTTTTGATGATGTAAATAGAGGTTGTTAGGATTACATTTCACCAGTACTTCCAAGAATCTTAAGTATTCGTGTCCTGTGGCCCAGAAAGTTAATCCAATATCTGGCTATCTAGTATAGTGAATTAATTTAGGGTTTAGGAAGAAAATGTGTGTGTGTGTGTGTGTGTTTATGTGTGTGTAAGTTTTTTTTGTAGTGATATATATATAATAGTGGAAAAATTGGAAATTTCCTAAATTTTTCCAATTGAAACATAATTAAATAATTAAGACATGTTTGTTGAAATGTTATATAGTCATTTAAAAATATAATTATGAAGTCTATACAAAAGCATGATAAGTGTTTATGGTTCTTGTAATCAAAATGAAAAATCAAGAATGAAAACTATTTTAAATTTTAGTTATGTATAAGTAGATAGTAAAAGACAAAGGGAATAGTGAAAATGAAGTCATCTTAAGATAGAATTTTGTGTGTTTTCCTCTTTATTTTTCATATTTTATAAAATATGCTTTCATAATTAAAAAATTTTGTTATCCATTGGGTTCACAATAAAAACTTAAAGGGCATGCTTTGTTTTTATGTATATGTGTATACACACACACATATACATGTATATACACATACTCATAAAAATATTTGAGTAAAAATGATAAACAGAAAGCTGAATGTTGTATTCTGTTTTAGGTATTACCCAGTGTAGATATTGACAGCATTTCAAATAGTAGTGCTGATGTCCTTTCACCTCTGTCTAGCCCCAAAGAAGCATCTCTTCCTCCTGTGCAAACTTGGATAAAGGTATATTTCAGAATTTTATCATATTATTTTGAGTAATGTCTGACTGTAGATTTTAACTAATTACTCCATTTAAAGCCTTTTATCATAATGATAACTTATAATAATTTAGATTTTGAAGAAAAGATTGAAAACAATTTTTTTTTTTTCAGTCAGAGTCTTGCTCTGTCGCCCAGGCTGGAGTGCAGTGGTGTGATCTCAGCTCACTGCAACCTCCGCCTCCCGGGTTCAACCAATTCTCCTGCCTCAGCCTCCTGAGTAGCTGGGATTACAGGTGCCTGCCACCACGCCCGGCTAATTTTTGTATTTTTAGTAGAGATGGGGTTTCACCATGCTGGCCAGGCTGATCTTGAACTCCTGACTCCAAGTGATCCCTCTACCTCGGCCTCCCAAGTTCGGGAATTACAGGCGTGAGCCACCACGCCAGCCCAAAACAAATTTTGAATTGTTTATGAACTTGAAAGTTTGTTTCAGATCCTTACATTTATAACTATTTGGAAAGTGATAATCTTTAGTGTAACTTTTTGGTAATTTAAGTTGTGAAACTCTCATGTGAAGAAAGAATTTCTGTCACTTTGGTGATGAATCTTTGATTTACATGGGAATTATAGATATCCTAAATGAATTTTATAGTGACAGTTGGGAGTTTATATTTTGGAATGTTACCTTGTTATCCCACTGTTGACATGATACAAAAATATGCATTTCTTCCTGGCATTTATTTGCTTTTGAATAATGAAGTTATGGCTTTACTACACAGCAAAATAGCACTGTAACTTACCCCAGGTTTTGTTTATTGTAAGCAAACTTGGCCAAGGGTACAGTTTTAAAAGGAGAGAGAATACCAGCAATCTTTCATGATCATAAGTAATGAAATAGAACTGTCCGTAAGTGACATTTGTGCTTAATTGAATTTTTTCATCAGTATTTTTTTTTAACCTTCTGTTTATTGAAACTTCTGTGATAACAAGCAATAAATTTTTGGACTGTTTATCATTCTGCTGTCAGTAAGAGGCTATTGCATGACTACATTTTATATAATGAGGCCTAATGATTAGATTTGTAAAATGACTATTTTGTTTTTTTTCCTGAATTATTTGATTCTGTATCCATCTTCATGTGAGTTCATATATGTTTATACTTAGAGATCTACACATGTAAACACTTTCCTTTATCTTAATTCTGGAAGAGAAGTCTCAATTATATCAACCTGTTGATCAATTAAGTGATATTGCTGATGGAGTCCTTTACAGAAAAACAGCTGATTAATTTTTTAAAGCTATTGAAATGTTGACCTAATGGCTTGGGGACTAGCTTGGATTTCATTTACTAATTAAATCAATTCTGAATAGGGTATTAAAATGATTAAAAAGGACCATGTAATTATAAGCTTATACTATAGGTGGAAATATGATAAATTACTTATAAATTTTAAAAGTGTTAAGCACAACAAAAACTTTCTGAAAATGCTTTCTTAGACTCCAGAAATTATGAAGGTAGATGAAGAAGAGGTGAAGTTTCCAGGAACTAACTTTGATGAAATAATCGATGTCATACAGGTAACAAAGCTTAGAAACCATGAGAAATTATTTTTCTACCGGTATTTTTCCAGGTTGTTGACTATCTTTGGACTATCAATATTATGTTACAGTGCTTTGAGATACTTTCTTTTACTTTTGAGTTAAATATACTTTTAAAAATTATAAAGTTGTTATTCTAGAATGTCTTTAATCTATATCACCTATCTGCCTTCATGAAGCTTCATGATTATCTGCCGTTCCCCACCTAGATTTTGTCTATCTGTTTCCTGCTTTCTTCTTTCTTTCCACTTCCTTTGGCTTCTTTTCCTCCAATTTGTCTTTTTTTCTTTCTGTTAATTTTGGTTTTTGGATTCATGGTGAGGTGACTAGTTAATTGATATTGAGAAAAAAGTTGTGAGAAATCTATAATCCAAAGGAATATCCCATATGGAAGGAAGAGTTATAGAAATGATAGAAATAATGAAATAGAGGGAAAAATAGGTGGAAGTAAATTATAAAGGATGGGACAAAAGATCATAGAACATTGAAACTACTTGACCATTATGTCATTAGACTTTAAAGAACACATTTGATCAAGTTTCTTTGACTTTTAGAGCTAAGATCAGTTTTGTTAATCATAAAATGAAATCCAATTTTAGAATATACAGAGGTGTGCAGTATATTAATGTTATTCGCTCACAGATATGTCTTTTCTCATGTGAGTGCCACATGAGAATTTTGAAGACAGGGACCTTATTTATTTTTATATTCCTAATGCCTAGCAAAGGTACTTGGTAATTGTTTATGCAATATACAAGCGAAAGAAATGGTTATAGAAGTAGCAGAGAATTTAGCATTCAAAGACAAGTGTTCCTGTATTAGCTCTGCCATTTATAAGCTGTGGACTTCATTTTTCAATGGAATAATATTACTGAGTTGTACTATTTAGAGAGACCCAAAGTGTTTTTGATTGAATTATTTATAGATAAAATGATGTGATATCTGTGATTTGCTTCAAAATGATATGTGAAGGGGAAAGTGGCTAGATGAGACAAGATTGACCATAAGTTGATAATTGTTAAAGCTGGGGAGCGGATAAATGCAATTCATGTTATTTATGTAACAGATACAGTACAAGGACACTATTTGTTTACTTTTAAACACATATGATTTTTTTGTAATAAAAACTTTAACAATTCCAGAAATAACTCTATTGGTTATGATGTGGTAATGCAAATAATTTGTAAGATGACTGACCTTATTGCATATTTAAATGTAAATTATAAGTTGTATAAGAGCAAAAAGTGATTTTGGAAGTGTATTAGTGTATTTTGCATTGTTATAAAGGAATTACTGGGTAATTTATAAAGAAAAGAGACTTAAGGCCAGGTACAGTGGCTCATGCCTGTAATCCCAGCACTTTGGGAGGCTGAGGCAGGTGGATTACCTGAGGTCAGGAGTTCAGGACCAGCCTGGCCAAGATGGTGAAACCCCATCTCTACCAAAAATACAAAAATTAGCTAGGCATAGTGGTGGGCGCCTGTAATGCCAGCATCTCGGGAGGCTGAGACAGGAGAATTGCTTGAACCCAGGAGGTGGAGGTTGCAGTGAGCTGAGATCGCACCATTGGACTCCAGCCTGGGTGACAAGAGTGAAACTCTGTCTTAAAGAAAAAAAAAAAGTAAAGAGATTTAATTGGCTCGTGGCTCTGCAGGCTGTACAAGAAGCATGGTGCCAGCAACTACTTCTGGTCAGGACCTCAGGAAGTTTTACTCAGATAGAAGGCTGTGAGGGTCCAGATGTGTCACAAAGCAAGGGAGGGAGCAAGAGAGAGAGGAGGATGTGCCAGTCTCCTTTAAACAATCAGCTCTCATATGAACTAACTTATTACCATGGGGAGGGCACCAAGCCATTCATGAGGGATCTGCCCCCAAGACCCAAGCACCGCCCACCAGGCCCCATCTCCAACACTGGGGATCACACTTCAACATGAGATTTGGAGGGGACAAATATCCAAACCATATCAGGAAGCATCAATTTTTTAACGATAATTATTAAGCATACATTTCTAGAGAGAAATAATAGTGTTTTATGTAGGAATAATTATGTTTTCTAGTTTATTTTGTGATTGCATAAAATGAATATTGGGTTCTAAAAAGACAAACTGATTGTGTAATTAAGGGTTCCTCAATATGATATGTCTGACTAATGTGTATATTATAATTAATGTGATACCACCTAATTAGAAATGCTGTTGGTTAATTTAGAAGGGTTTCTTAATTCACCTAGTTCCTTGCCTATAGTTGGTACTCAGTAAATGTTGAACAAATACATGAATATAATAGTTTTGTTTTTGTTACTACCAGGAAGAAGAAAAATGTGATGAAATTCCAGACTCTGAACCAATTCTGGAGTTTAACAGAAGTGTTAAAGCTGATTCTACAAAATATAATGGTCCTCCATTTCCGCCAGTTGCTTCTACTTTTCAGCCCACTGCTGATATTCTGGATAAAGTAATTGAGAGAAAAGAAACACTGGAAAATAGCTTAATTCAATGGTAAGTTTATAATGTTTTTGGTATGAATAGAACCATAGTAGAAAATATAAATGGAAAGTATTAAAATGTGGCTGAAAATATTCCTTGTCTTCTTTTGTTTATTAAACTTTCTTTGCTTTAGTCACTGGAAAGTGTTTGATATAATGCTGAGGGCTTAACTATTGTTGGAGGTTATTGTTTTTGTCCTTGAATATTTGTACTCAATCTGTCTACTCTGGCACAAGTAGACTATTAGGAAGCCTTAAAAATGTACATGTTCTTTAATCCAGTGATTCATTTCCAGAAACTTATCCTAAAGAAGTAATTATGGTTTGCTGCTAGGCCAGGGCCACGAACCAGTACCAGTCTGTGGCCTGTTAGGAACCAGGGAACTAAGCTGCACAGCAGGAGGTGAGCAGCGGGTGAGTGAGCATTACTGCCTGAGCTCCACCTCCTGTCAGATCAGCTGTGGCATTAGATTTCATAGAAGCACAAACCCTATTGTAAACTGTGCATGTGAGGGATCTAGGTTGCACGCTCCCTATGAGAATCTAATGCTTGATGATCTGAGGTGAAACAGTTTCCTCCCGAATCTATCCCCCCACCCCCTACCCCACCACCCCTGCCCTGGTCTGTGGAAAAATTGTCTACCACAAAACCAATCCCTGATGCCAAAAAGGTTGGGACTGCTATACTAGGCCATATAATACCTAGCACTACAAAGAGGGCACTGTTCTAGGTTTGTTACATACTGATAACAACAAGCTGTAATATGTTATTATTGTTACATATTACAATAACAATTGTAACTTGTTACATATGAATATGAAATGAACGCTATTATTTGTATTTTTACTTGTAAGAAACCTTAAGGAAGTTATGGAATAAGTGAAATGGCTGAATATTAATATAGTCATGAAAATTAGGTTTAGAAGAAATTTAATGATATAAAAAGATATTAATAATGTACTGGCATATAAACAAAGCAGGATACTAACAATGTAACCCCAGTTTACAAGATCTTACTCAAAAGTAAGTAGGCAGCTAGCACAGTGGCTCATGCCTGTAATCCCAGCACTTTGAGAGGCCAAGGTGAGTGGATCACCTGAGGTCAGGAGTTCGAGACCAGCCTGACCAACATGATGAAACCCCGTCACTACTGAAAAAATACAAAAATTAGGTGCGATGGTGCACACCTGTGGTCCCTGCCACTCGGGAGACTGAGACAGGAGAATCGCTTGAACCTGGGAGGTGGATGTTGCAGTGAGCTGAGACTGTGCCACTGCACTCCAGACTGGGCGAAAGAGTGAGATTCTGTCTCAAAACAAAACAAAACAAAAAACTGTGCATAAAACAAAAGTTTGAAAAAGCATACATACCAAATTAACTGTGTTTATTGCTGAACCTAGGATTATAGGTGAGCTTTATCAATTTTTTAAACTCTTACATTTTTTTCTAAATTTTCTACAATGAACACCTATTATTTATATAATAATTTTTAAGAAGTCTATTAACTGCACTAAAGAAATGTTCTAGAAGTCTCCTGTTCCCCTTTCCCTTCCTGAAGATGACTTTGGAAATAAATTTTTTCTTTACATTTTAAGAGGAAAACTACCTATAATACAGCCTATATGTGTATTACCGTGAAGAAAGGGCAGCTGGACATCTTTTCTAGCTCTGATCTGATATGGTTTTTATGTGTGCACTCAGAGTGGAAATCAAACAGTTTAGGTACATGATATGCCAGATAGTCATTGGCCCAAGTCTTATTTTGAGTTTAGGAGTTCTTTTAAGCTTTTCATTAGACTAATCTGAAAGATTTTAATTTGATTTCATAAACTATCTCCCACAAGGAGATTCTGTTTAGTGTGTTTTATCTTCTTCAGAGGTACTTTTTTTTTTTTTTTTTGAGACAGGGTCTCACTCTATTGCCTAGGCTGTAGTGCAGTGGTGTGATCACAGCTCACTGCAGCCTCAACCTCGTGGGCTCAAGCCATCCTCCCACCTCAGCCTCTTGAGTAGCTGGGACTACAGGCACGTACCACCTAATTTTTGTATTTTTTGTAGAGACAGTGTTTTGCCCTGTTTGCCAGAATGGTCTTGAACTCCTGAGCTCAAGCAATCTGCCCAACGTGGCCTCCCAAAGTGTTGAGATTACAGATGCACCATGATGCCCAGCCCATTTTATTTTTTTTCTTCTAGATTTAACTTTCAGAATGACTGCTTTCACACCAACATGTTTGTGGCATTGGTAAAGGTTATTTTTAGGGGTGGTATGTCTAACATTTTTTACATTTCAATCAAATTGAGGAATCTTAACTTTTATCTGCCCCACCATCCTCTCAGGGTAGAGCAAGAAATAATGTCAAGAATTATCTCTGGGCTCTTTCCAGTCCAGCAACAGATTGCACCTAGTATCAGTGTTTCAGTCAGTGAGACAAGTGAACCACTGACTTCTGACATTGGTAAGTGAAATAGAATTTTTTTTTGTTTTTATTAAAAGACAAAAGCTTTAGTTCATCGTGGATTTATATATTCCAGAGGTCAAGTAAATTCTCCAGTAACAAAAGGTAAGCTCTTCTAACCTTACTTCTTAGTACTTCTTTGGTGATGGTTAGTTCTCTCTCACCCTCTTATTTCATATTGCAGCTTTCAGATTATTAAACCACTCTTCATACCTCCCACCCCAAATCTCTTTGTTATCCCCATAGTACTTTGTACATATTTTTGTTATAGTAATTATCAGATTATATTAAGGTTGGTTTCCATATGTACCTCACTCTTTATACTATAAATTACTCAGGATTTAAGGATGTTTCTCCTTTTGTGCCTAGTCCTTGCCTGATACCCAACAAGAGTTTAAGTATTCATTGAATGGTTAAAATGAGCCTCTTTCTTTATGGAGCCTATGCCATTCTTTTCTCCATTTTTTTCTTTTCTTCCTTTCTTTATGGTGCCTATGCCCTTCTCTTCTCCATTTTTTTCTTTTCTTCCTCTTCTTTTTCTCCTTCCCCCTTTTCCTTTTCTTCTCCTGCTTCTCTTCCCGATTTTTTCTTTTCTTCCTCTTCTTTTTCTCTTTTCCCCTTTCGCTCTTCTCCCCATTCTCTTCCCCATTTTTTCCTTCTCTTCCTCTTCCTCCTGTTTTTCTTCCTTTCCACCTCCTCCTTGTTTTTTTGAGGTAAGTTTACTTGCCATAAAAGTCACCACTTCTAAGTGTACAGTTTGACAAGTTTTTTGTTTGTTTGTTTTAATTAGAGCCAGGGTCTCCCTCTGTCATCTAGGCTAGAGGCTGGACTGCAGCGACATGATCATAACTCACTGTAACCTCTAACTCCCGGGCTCAAGCAACTCTCCTGCCTTAGCCTCCCAAGTAGTTAGGACCATAGGTGTGCACCACCATGCCCAGCTAAAAATCATTTTGGGTCCAGGCACACAGTGGCTCACGCCTGTAATCGCAGCACTTTGGGAGGCCAAGGAGGGCAGATCACCTGAGGTGAGGAGTTTGAGATCGTCCTGGCCAACATAGTGAAACCCCGTCTCTATGAAAAATATAAAAATTAGCTGGGTATGGTGACACACACTTGTAATTGCAGCTACTCCGGAGGCTGAGACAGGAGAATTGCTTGAACCCAGGAGGCGGAGGTTGCAGTGAGCCAAGGTCACGTCACTGCACTCCAGCCTGGGCAATAGAGCGAGACTCTGTTTCAATCAGTCAATCAATCAGTCAATCAATTTGGTAGAGATGGGGTCTTGCTATATTGCCCAGGCTAATCTCAAACTCCTGGCCTCAAGTGATCCTCCTCCCTCAGCCTCCCAAAGCACTGGGATTACAGGAGTGAGTCACCGCACCTGGCCCAGTTTCACAAGTTCACACAGCTATATATTAGCCACATAATCATGAGATAGAAAAACATTTCTGTCTTCTCCAAAAGCTTCCTTATGCCATTTTGCAGTCAATTCCTAAACCTCACTCGTGCCCACTGGCCCCTAACAACACTGATCTGCTTTCTATTACTGTATTTTTACCTTTTCTAGAATTTCATACATATGTAATCATGCAATATGTAGCCCGTTGTTAGCTGGCTTCTTTTATTAGCATAATATTTTGACAATCATGCTATTGCATGTAGTAATAGTATAATGTATAGATATACCATAATTTGTCAATCCATTTACCAGTTGATGGACATTCATAGTCTTTCAGTTTTTGGCTATTATGAATAAAGCTGCTATGAACATTTGTAAGCAAATCTTTGTGTAGAAACCTTTTAATTTTGGTTGGTCATATGATAAGTAAATGTTTAACTTTATAAGAAACTGCTAAACATTTCCAAAAGTGGGTGTACTATTTTGCATTCCACCCAGCAGTGTATGTGACTTTAGTTGCTCCACATCCTCCCCAACACTTGGTGTTGTCAGTGTTTATAATTCTAGCCATTTCTGAACATATGTGGAGGTATTTCCCTAACTATACTAATACCTGAGTAGTATAATTATTAATGATGTACAACTTTTTAATGTGTTTATTTGCCATCTGTATATTTACTTTGGTGAAATCTCTTTAAATCATTTGACCATTTTTAAGTTCGAGTCGTGTCTTCATATTACTGAGTATGAAGTTTTTTATCTATTCTGGATACAAGTCCTTTATTGGATATATGTTTTGTAAATATTTTCTTCTACTTTGTGTTTTGCCTTTTTGTTTTCTCAGCATTATTTTTTGAAGACAAAAAGATTGATTTTGAAGAAGTCTAATTTATCAGGTTTTTTCTAGTAGTTTGTAGGGATTTTTGCATGCTGCTTTTAAAAAAATCTTTGCTAACCCAAGATCATTAAGATAGTTTCCTATGTTTTCTTCTAGAAGATGTATGGTTTTAGATTACACATTTAGGCCTATAGTATATTTTGAGTTAAGTTTTATGGTGTGAAGTAAGGATCAAGTTCTTTTTTGTTTGGGGTTTTTTGGCATATGGATATCCAGCTGTTCTAATACCATTTGTTGAAAAGATTATCATTATTCCATTGAACTACCTTAACACCTTGGTTGAAAATCAATTGGTTATATATGTGTGCATCTTGTTTTTGGACTTTGTATCCTGTCTCATTCACCTGTAAGTTATACTAATACCATACTTCTTGATTACTGTAATTTAATAGTAACACTTGAAATTGGATAGTGAAAGTTTTTCTAACTTTGTTCTTTTTTTCTTTTTTATTCCTGTTTATCATTATCTCTACTTTTTTTCTTCTTTCCAGCCTCAGGATAAGCTATTCTTTCTCCCTCATAGACTATCCTTTAACAGCCCGAATCCTAGACTTCAGAGTCTATATTCACCACTTTAATTTCTCATTACCTACTTCCTCTTTGGTCCTTATAGGTTGGCCTTCTTTTGCCCTCCCCCTCAAGAAACTCCTTTCTCACAGCATTTGCTTGTCAAAAATGTTTCCCTTTTTCAAATCCTTGTTTTACTGTATGGCTCAAGCATAGGCACTATTGACCATCTCTGATGCTTAAACTCTTCTCCTGGTGTTGGCTGCTTAGACTTCATTCTGTTAATTCTTCCTCTTTTAAAAAAAAAAAAAAAAAACTTCTTTAAGACCTTCATTTTCTCATTTTATTTTCTGCTACTTGAATAAAATTATTTCCCTAGTTCCCATGCTTTGCCCTCTTTTCTGTTTTCTTCCAGTTTCCTCCTGACATTAGTTATCCTGTGTCAGTTGATGAACCCTAAGCCATGTATTTGGGCCGACAACTTGCAGTTCTGCTGGTTGATGAATATTGTGCTTGATGCTCCCCTGGCATCTCATCTTTAGTATGTCTAAAATTCTTCTCATTTTTGAGATCACAGTTCTCCCAGCACCCAATCTCTAAAGCCTTGGAGTTATTATTTGTTCTATTTTCTTTGCTTTGCTCTTCTTCATTCCCCACTCAGCCATACCCTATATCCCAGCTTCATAGAGTTTATTGTTGCATTTGGCTAATTTGTCCTATTTAGCATAGCTCACATGCCTCCTTCTGTTGTTACTATCCCAGTTTTCTCTCGTCATCTCATCTTTGAAGGGAGGACAAAAATAAACAACAAATTTATGAGAAAATTTTTTTCCTGGTGAAAATCTGACATTTTACAAATTGGGTATTTAGATCCTGTTTTCTTCCCTGTCAAAGATTTGTGTTTGCTTTTGTTTTGCCAGTGTCTGGGTAGGGATTTGGGACCTTATAAAAACGATGTTCTGATTTTGGGCCATGCTCAAAGAATGAATTATGGAAACTAAAAAGGAGATGTATCAACATATATTGTTGAATATGAATTTGGGATTGGGATAGTCTCTGCTATGGTAACTCAAGAGCAAATTGCTGTTACTTACCCCGTCAACAAGTGATCCCACTAGACGTCTACCCACTTTTTAGGGAATTCTGGATATTGTTACTATAGTTGTGTTACTTAAGCAGTACTCTTTGGTGAGGTCACATCTCCATCAGGTTGTACAAATGAGTATCCACTTATTTTCCGCATGGAGCTTTATAAATATCACTACTTTAAGTCAAGTAAAGTCTCTCCAGGAGATTTTACTTAATTTGATGTACATTCATGTAAGTGAGAAGTACAACCCATTCAGATATTAATATACCTATAGGACATCTGATAACAAGCACCTCAACTGCAGTAGATGTTAATAACTGATGTATCTGAAACTAGAAGGAAGGGAGGTTTGCCTTTATATTTAGTGCATTCTTTTGTTGTAGTCAAGATCTATCACAGAGTTTCCTGTTGTTATACTCTTGGAAATGTGAGTTGTATTCAGATGAGGGCATTTAATGTGCCCATTTTTATCACTAAATTCTGTAGTAGTAGAGAAGAGGCCATCTGAGTAAATTTTCATCTCCCTTTTTTTTATTTACAGAGAATATTTGTTATGTAAGTTGTCCTCTTAGTCTTTTTCATAATAAGTAGATACATTTGTATTTTCATTTTTATTCCTCTTTCCACCCTCCCCCACCCACCCCCATACACGTATATTGGCATCTCTAAACTTTGTTTTGTTTTGTTTTGTTTTTGACAGAGTCTCACTCTGTTGCCCAGGCTGGAGTGCAGTGGTGCGATCTCAGCTCACTGCAAGCTCCACCTCCTGGGTTCACGCCATCCTCCTGCCTCAGCCTCCCGAGTAGCTGGGACTACAGGCGCCTGCCACCACACCTGGCTAATTTTTATATTTTTAGTAGAGACGGGGTTTCACCATGTTAGCCAGGATGGTCTCAATCTCCTGACCTCATGATCCACCAGCCTTGGCCTCCCAAAGTGCTGGGATTACAGGCGTGAGCCACCGTGCCCGGCCGGCATCTCTGAACTTTTAAGAATGAAAGTTCGGCCCAGGCGCAGTGGCTGTCGCCCGTAATACCAGCACTTTGGGAGGCTGAGGCAGGTGTATCACCTGATGTCAGGAGTTCAAGACCAGCCTGGCCAACATGGTGAAACCCCATCTCTACTAAAAATACAAAAATTAGCCAGGCATGGTGACGCGTGCCTGTAGTCCCAGCTATTCAGGAGGCTAAGGCAGGAGAATCGCTTGAATCTGGGAGGTGGCAGTTGCAGTGAGCCAAGATCACATCATTGCACTCCAGCCTGGGTGACAGAGTGACACTACGTCTCGAGAAAAATAATAATAATAATAATGAAAGTTTGAATTGCAAGCATGTTTCTTGCCCACTTATTCTGATTTTTTTTTTTTACTTTTAGTGGAAGGAACAAGCAGTGGCGCCCTCCAGCTTTTTGTTGATGCTGGTGTTCCTGTGAACTCAAATGTGATTAAACATTTTGTTAACGAAGCTCTTGCTGAGACCATTGCTGTCATGCTGGGTGACAGAGAAGCAAAGAAGCAAGGTCCTGTTGCTACAGGTGTTTCTGGGGATGCTTCAACAAATGAAACATATTTGCCGGTATGGGGAATTTTTGAGACATTTATTGAAGAATAGTAAAATAGATGAATTTTAAGCTGCATACCATAAGATCATTGTTTGTGGTAGAAGTATTATTATCATTTTTAGAGACATGGTCTTTATTTATTGCCCTGGCTGGTCTTGAAGTTCTGGGCTTAAGTGATCCTCCTGCCTCAGCCTCCTGAGTAGCTGGGATTACAGGCACCAGCCACCATGCCCAGCTTGTGGTAGAATTTTATTCCTTGTTGCTATGATTAAAGTAACGTTTCCCCCAGCATTTTATTTTAAAAACTTAAATCTATAGAATAGTTGAAAGTGTGATAAAATGAACATCTGTACACCCTTTACCTATACAGTTGTCCATTGGTGTACGTGGAGAATTGGCCAATCCTTGCATACTCGACTCTCACAGTTGGCCCTGTAAAACCAAAGAATATGAAAAGTCAGCCCTCTATATATATATGGATTTCTTATCTCATGAATACTGTTCTTGATCCACATTTGGTTGAAAAAACCAAATTTGTATGATTGGCCTCTTGCAGTTCAAACCTATGTTTTTATTTAGTTATTTATTCAAGGGTCATTCATATTTATTGATTGATAATATTTTGGCACATTTATAAAAATCTGTCTTTATATCTGCTATATATTATATATCCTTTAAAAACCATTTGAAAGTTACAGACATCTTTACCTCAGAAGCATCAGCAGTATCTCCACAGAACAAGTTGCTTTCTTACATAACCAGAATACCATTATCACACCCCCCCAGATTTAACATTGGCGTGTTAATAATATAGAATATAGAGACCATATTTAGATTTCCTTAATTGTTTCAAAAGCATCCTTTACAGTTTTTTTTTAAATCAAGATATAGCCAAGGATCATACATTGCTTTGCGTTATTATATGAACTGATATTTTTAATCTTTAAAAGAAAATACATTTCAGGAACTTTTATTGCTTGTTTAATCAACCTTACTTGTGTTAAAAAGAATTTATAATCTATTATAGCAATATGAAATTATACAAAGCCAAAATTTACTCTGTATTACCAGCTGTTTAAAACTATAGTTACTTCTGATCCTATAGATCACAAGGACATCATTTTATATACATGAAACATTTAAACATCATTTGATGTATAAAGTTATATACTGTATTTTATTTTTGTAGAGATTGTTGTGGTATAATGTGATTAGTGTGCCAAAGATTTGATCTGTAGTTTTGATCTGTGCTTTATTAGCTCATTGGGAATATATGCAGTACAGATGTGGTCAGGGTTATGGTTTTTTCTATGCCAATTACTTTGGTTTGCTTTCTGCCTATATATATTGTATATATTTTCATGAGGGTGATTGGATGAGAAAATGTGGGAAAACCAGTGTAAAGAGCTTGGATTTTGGGGTTGGTAAAAGTTGAATTTGAATTCCAAGCTCCACTACTTTAGTTTTATGTCTATAATAAAGATAGAATACTTAGTTTAAATGACCATGGCTTTGCTGAAATCTGCTTCCTAAATATGTAGTAGGGCAAGCACTACTCGCAGCCTGCAACTTATCATTCTTTATCTTCAGAAGTGTCATGGCTTTTCTTGGCCTTTTAATCTCTCACATATATTTTAAAGTTAGTTCTTAAGTTCCATAAAAAATATTGTTGAGATTTCAGTGGGAATTAAACCAATTTTGACTGGTTTCATTTAAGAAGGATTGACATCTTTATGGTACTGTGTTCTCTTTGCCAAAGTTTTGTGGAAGATTAAGTGAGATGATATATGGACAGAGCTTAATCTAGTGCCTAGAACTTGGTAAATAAACACTCAGTTACTAATAGTTTATCATTTTTATTATCCATTACCAATACTAGAAGAATACCTTCAGATCCTTTCATCATGATGAGTTATATATATAAAATATAGTGTTATATTTGAAAATAACACTTATATGCTATATGTTTATGCAGTCAAGAAGAAAAAAAGACATAGTGTACTTCTTTCATTTTAAAATGAAGACTAAGAGTACATTAATTATTAAGCAATGCTATAGAAATTCTAATATGCTTCATGGTTTTAAATTGCATCTTAATTTGCAACCCATAATACAGAATAAAGGGTAATCACCTTATATAAAGACTTTAGAATGAAGAAAAAGTCAAATTTTATATATATTATATATATATTTATATATATATATATATATATATATATATATATATTTTTTTTTTTTTTTTTTTTTTTTTTTGAGATGGAGTTTTGCTCATGTCGCCCAGGCTGGAGTGCAGTGGCGTGATCTTGGCTCACTGCAACAGGTTCAAATGATTCTCCTGCCTCAGCCTCCTAAGTAGCTGGGATTACAGGCGCCCGCCACCACACCCAGCTAATTTTTGCATTTTTAGTAGAAACGGGGTTTCACCATGTTGGCCAGGCTGGTCTCGAACTCCTGACCTCGTGATCTGCCCATCTCAGCCTCCCAAAGTGCTGGAATTACAGGCATGAGCCACCGCACCTGGCCCAAATAATATATTTTTAAAATGGTCAGAGGACAGACAGTTCATATACATAGAAGAAATACAGATCACCCATGTACATATAAAAAGATGAAGATGATCAACCTCATAGATAATAAGAAAAAAAGTTATTGAAATTGCATTTTTACTGATCAGATCGGCAAAACTCTAAAAGTTTGATAAATCTGGGGGAAATTGTCATTTTCCTACCTTCTGGTGGTAGTATAATATAGTAAAATCTTGTAGTAGGAAATCTGGCAATATCTATTCAAATTAAAAACATAATTAGTCCTTTAATAGAGCAGTCCCACTTCTGGGAACTTATTCCATAGATATATCCATATATCATACATATGAAATGACTGAAGTCAAGATTATTTGATAACTCTGAGGAAGGGCTCTAGGTAGAAAGGACAAGAGTAGGAGAGAGACTTAATTTTCACTATCCTTTTGTACCTTTTGAATTTTGAACCATTTGAATGATTACCTATTCAACAAATTAATATTAAATTGTTACATTTTTCCTTCTCCAGTACTTTCCATCTCCCTGCTGTCTTCATCTTTCCCTAACTCCCAATTCTTCTTATCCTTCCATTACTTTTTATATACTCAGTTTGTGTGTGTGTGCAAAAAGGCTGATTTTTTGGTATGTTGTCAATCACTTAAAATGCTTCCTTTCTGTTCTATGCCTTTCCTTCATGTCTGTAACTGGGTTTGATCATCAGCTTTATCTATTTAATCTTTCAGTCTTCTTTATTTTTAAAATTTCAGCTTTTATTTAGGTATAGGGGGTACATGTGTGGGATTGTTATATGGATATACTGGACCCAGGTAGTAAGTGTAGTACCCAAAAGTAGTTTTTCAACTCATTCCCCTTTCTTCCCTCCTGCCCCCTGCCATCATAGTCCACAGTGTCTGTTTTTCTCATGTTTATGTCTATGTGTGCTCAATGTTTAGCTCTCACTTATAAATGAGAACATGTGGTATTTGTTTTTTTCTTCCTCTGTTTGTTTGTTCAGAATTATGGCCTCCAGCTCCATCCATGTTGCTGCAAACGACATGATTTTTGTTCTTTTTTATGGCTGTGTAGTATTCCATGGTTTATGTGTACCACATTTTCTTTATTCAGTCCACCATTGATGGGCACCTAGGTTGACTCCATGTCTTTGCTGTTGTGAATAGTGTGGCAATGAACATATGAGTGCATGTGTCTTTTTGGTATAATGATCCTTAGGGTATATACCCAGTAATGGTCTCAAAAGAAGACATACAAGCAGTCAACAAACATGAAAAAATGCTCATCATCACTAATCATCAGAAAAATGCAAATTAAAACCACAGTGAGATACCATTTCAGTCAGAATGGCTATTATTAAAAAGTAAAAAAAAGATTGCCATAAATATATACACTTGCTATGTACCCACAAAAATTAAAAATAAAAATTTTAAAAACAAACAACTACAAAATACAAACCCACAGATGCTAGTGAGGCTGCAGAGTAAACAGAACACTTATACACTGTTGGTAGGAACGTAAATTACTTCTTCTCTATTTTAAAAGAGGGTGCCTTAGAATTCTGTGGGGACCACTTCAGAGGCAGAGTTATTTCAATTGCCTGAGACTTGCTGCAGGCCAATCGTAGACTAACAGGTAGAGGTTCAAGAGGTAGGGTACTTAACCCTGCCATCAATTTAAATTATATATAGTCTATGAATGAGTTCATATTATTTTCAAATTACTTTTATTTGGGTGATTATAAACACAGTTTATCTTGTTTTATTTATTTTAGGCAAGAGTGTGCACCCCACTGCCTACCCCACAGCCTACGCCTCCTTGCTCACCTTCATCACCTGCTAAGGAGTGTGTTTTGGTAAAGACTCCAGATTCTTCTCCCTGTGATTCGGATCATGATATGGCTTTTCCTGTGAAAGAAATATGTGCTGAAAAAGGTAGAAACTTTATTTCTATAACTCGGTTTTAATTTTAGCAACTATTAAATTTCATGATTTGTATATGTACTTGTTGCTTACTAGGTTTTAGTAAATCATTTTTTCTCACAAGGAAATTTAGGAATTGATTGCGACTTCTTAAAAGTCTATAATTGAGGCCAGGCAGGCATGGTGGCTCACGCCTGTAATCCCAGCACTTTGGGAGGCTGAGGCGGGTGAATCACGAGGTCAGGAGTTTGAGACCAGCCTGACCAACATGGTGAAACCCCTCTCTACTAAAAGTACAAAAATTAGCCAGGTGTGTTGGCACGTGCCTGTAATCCCAGCTACTCAGGAGGCTGAGGTAGAAGAATTGCTTGAACCCGGGAGGCAGAGGTTGCAGTGAGCCGAGATCGCACCATTGCACTCCACCCTGGGCAAGGGAGTGAGACTCCGTCTCACAAAAAAAAAAAAAGTATACAATTGAATAGATGCTTAGACTACTTTAAGTATATGGTGGTATTAACAATGATGTCTTCTCAAGGTATTTTTTAACGCTTCACTAAATTTAGGAATTATCACATTAATGGCTACCACCATTGTCATTATTATTATTAATTATAATTGCCATTATTTGTGTGCTAAAATGGTAAGGGATATCTGAAGCAATGTATCATGCCATCCTATGGAGTTCTTTACTGACTACTATCTTTTTCTGTCCTTTTAAAAAAAAACCTTTAGGAGATGATATGCCTGCCATCATGCTTGTTAATACTCCAACAGTTACCCCTACTACTACACCTCCTCCAGCGGCGGCAGTTTTTACCCCAACTTTGTCAGATATTTCCATTGATAAATTGAAGGTATCAAGCCCAGAGCTTCCCAAGCCATGGGGTGATGGAGACCTGCCACTGGAAGAAGAGAACCCTAACTCACCTCAAGAAGAACTTCATCCAAGAGCTATGTAAATGAGAACATACTCACTAGTAACTGTACATTTCAACTTATGTTTGACTTATGTGATCCATTGAAAACATAGAAATATTATACAAAGCTTTATAAACCACAGACTACCTTATACTTTGAAAGAAAGAACTTTCATAAGTGTTGAGTTTTGAAAAATTATCAAATTATACCTTCACCTTTTTTCTTAAAAGGTTTGAAATAGCTAGAAATAAAGGTATCTATTATATTGTTAATAAAATAGAAAACAATTTCTCCCTATTGTGGATCATTATTTACTATGATCAGTTAACTTTTATATTATTTTATATCTCTCTGTATGGAAGAGCTTTCAAGATGGCCTATGATTAAAGCATGAAAACAACTTTTAAAAATCTTGTTAATTATAGTAGTGCAGATTTAAAAAAATATTTTGCTAAAGGAGACATAGTCTTCGAGTCTGTTTTTTATATCAAAATGAATACAGGCCTTCAGTGACCTAACAAGCTCCAAATATGTCTTTATTTTCTTAGTGTAATGTCTGTGGCTAAGGATGAAGAACCAGAGAGTATGGATTTCCCTGCTCAGCCTCCACCTCCAGAGCCAGTTCCCTTTATGCCATTTCCTGCCGGCACCAAGGCCCCTTCCCCCTCACAGATGCCAGGTTCTGATTCATCAACACTGGAGAGCACATTGAGTGTTACTGTCACTGAAACTGAAACTTTAGATAAACCCATCTCTGAAGGAGAGATTTTATTTAGCTGTGGTCAAAAATTGGCCCCCAAGAGTAAGTTAATTTGTATTAGTTGATTTTACTTGTTAGATTATGCTAATTCCCTAAGTAATACTTTTCTATTTAAAGTGTTTTTACTTAACTTTCAAGATTTAACATGGTATAGTAGAAAGAATAGGGGACTCAATGCAATTTAGTTAACTTTTCTGGGTCTTAACTTCAGAAAGTAAAATCTTCCTCATAATCCCACCCTCCAGAAATAATATCACTATTAATGGTTTGGGGTAGGCCTTTCCAGTCTTTTTTGTCTATGCATATATAGACACATAAATACATACGTATGTGGATGTATGTTTACCTTTAAAAATAGGATCTTACTATGCATATTGTTTTGAAACCTGAATTTTTTTTTTTTTTTTGAGACAGGTTCTCACTGTCATGCAAGCTAGAGTGAGGTGGCATGATCATGGTTCACTGCAGCCTCAACTTCCTGGGCTCAAGTGATACTCCCACCTCAGCCTTCTGAGTAACTGGGACTACAGGCATGTGCCACCACGCCCGGCTAACTTTTATATTTTTTGTAGAGATGAAGTTTCACCATTTTGCCCAGGTTGGTCTCAGACTTCTGAGCTCAAGTGATCCACCCGTCTTGGCCTCCCAAAGGGCTGGGATTATAGGCCTGAACCACCTCACCCAGCCTGAAACCTGAATTTTTTTTTTTACCAAATAATATATTGTGGATATCTTTTAATATAACTCCATATTTTTCTTATTTTTCTTTTCTGGCTGTGTAGTCTGTTTAATCCCTTAATAGAGGGCATTTAGATTGTTTTCAATGCTTTCAGTCTATACACAACTCTCTAATTACCATCCTTTCATGTATATATGTCTTTGTGCACTTATCTGGTCTCTTCCTTAGAATACATGCCTAAAAGCGAAATTGCTGAGTCTACTTTAAAGATGCATCACCAACATGCTTTCTAGAAAGGATTTTTTTTTTCTTTGCTCTAAGTTCTAGAAAGGATTTTTAGCTCTTAATCAGTTTTAATTATATCAACAGTATATGAGAATACCCGTTTCTCAATTTCATAACTACAATTGATATTTATAGTTTTTAATTTCTAACAAACTGGTAGGTTAAACAAAATTCTCATCTTTGTTATAAATTGTACTTCAAAAAAACTGGTAAGATTGAGTAGTTTGTGAATTACTTGTTTATAAACTTTGCCAGTATTTCCATTGCAGTATAATTTTGAATCTAATATGCTATGGCTTTATGGTCAGATTATTTACTAAGTTTGTGTTTCTTTTTTTTTTCTAAACTTTTATATTTTAATTTCTAGTTTTAGAAGATATAGGACTGTACCTGACAAACCTTAATGATAGCTTATCCAGCACTCTGCATGATGCCGTTGAAATGGTAAGTAACGATTGACTCCAACACTGAATTCTGACAGGAAGAATATCTGTATGAATTGGTTGCCACTGATCAGGTTTTTTCTCAATTTTTTGAGTTATAGACACAAAATTTAGTAAAATAACCATGAAATAATTTAGAGTTTCTTGCACATTTCATTATGTAATCTTATAATTATGAGAATGAAAAAAAGTTATTATTAACCCTCGTGGCTCTAGTAGTAAAAAAATATACATTTAATGTAATTAGGTAATGAAATCTAGCTGATTGCAAATTGTTACCTCTGTATGTTGTCTTTACAATATTTAAGCAGGATCTTACCTGTTTAAACCAACTCTCTTGTAATACATTTGTTATTTTTCCCTAACCATGATTATAATTCTTTGTGCTAATAAATATTTAAACTTAATGGCTTAAAAAGAAAAATGAGGTCCAGGGATGTTAACCCTTTCTAGTTTTTATCTAGCTCTGTAGAAGCAAAAGTTGGTATTTAAAAATATCACATTATATATAAATATATAGAAGTGATAGTAAGAATTTTCTTTTGAAAAAACCGTTAAGGAATAGAAATCTTTACTTTTTATATATTTTTAAACAACCTAAGCAAGGAAAGGTAATTGTACTCAACTATCATCTATGTTTATTCACATCTTTTTAAAGCATTGTTGCTGTTTTTTTAAGTTATTTCACATAGGCCTATGAAAATACTTCATTAAGAAGTTTTTTGATAAGATTTTAATGAAACAATTTTTAAACAGTAATTATTTATTGCAAGTAATTGGTTGAGCTAATTGTGAAGAGAGCATAGCAATCACTTTTATGAAATAATATGGGAAGAAGGCATAAATGAGATATCTTTATTTTCAGAGAAGCATTACTAACATTCGGCCTATTAGTGTACAATTATAGCATTTTTCTCCTCTCTTTGAACTTTTTCAAGTGGCAAAGCATGTTTAAATTTATTTAAAGTAAATAGCTAAACCAAACCAAGACTAAATTATAACTTGTTTCTCTTTTTCTACATTTGAAACTAAATTCTAATGTTGATATTTTTACTATGCCTAAATCACATATGCTACAAATTCATAATAAAGTCAAATACAATAGTACAATCTGGAAAAACCCCAAATAACTTGAAATCATGTACCAGTGGGCATTTTATCTATACATAGCTAGGGGATAGGGACTTATAATCTGGAGTTAATAAACTTTATTTCATGAAAAATAAATACAAATACTTTCAATGAATTTAAAGTCATGTTAATATCTGTATTTACAAGATAATCTACTTTGTTGGACTCTGAGGCCCACACTGTTCCTCATTGTTGGGATGGGCCTATTTTGAGGCATGAGGAAGCCTATACAGGGTGCTCCAGTGAGGGTCTTCAATACCAATGCCCTCGCCAAGTAAGCCAGATGTCAGCCCAAAGGCAAAGGGACATTGAGGTCTATAGCTGCCATACCATACTTCTGCAGTTTTTCATTTTTGCTTGTGGTCCAAGTTGCAGCATTACAGTGCTTTGCCCCCATTGCCACACTGTGGCATTACTTTACTGCAGAAATATGAGGAGGAGGCTGTGACCCAAAAACAATGATATCATATAAAACATTTATGATTCATAGTAGCTCAACTGTGTGGGACAGACTGTTTGATTTTTATGTTTTTATAATCTCCAGTTTATGTTGTACCAAATTATACTGTGGTTTATATTTGAGGCAAAGATAGAGGGCTTTTATTATAGACAAATGGAAATGAGAACTAGATGAAAATAAAGAGTTCATCTCCTTTCCAAAAATGCTAATATCATCATCTCATGACTGATAAGTTTTTATTAATCTTAAATTGAGAAAAATGCAATTGTTCGAAATAATTTATTTTTATTAATTGTCTTTATGTTTCTTTTAGGAGGATGATCCTCCTAGTGAAGGGCAAGTGATTAGGATGTCCCATAAAAAATTTCATGCAGATGCAATTCTTTCTTTTGCTAAACAAAACCAGGAGTCAGCAGTTTCCCAGCAAGCAGTCTATCATTCAGAGGTACTTTTTAACTTTAATGACTTTTTTTTGGTTAGATCTAAATACAGGAAAAAATTAAAATATTCTTACTACTAGTTAAAGCATGCTAGTATTTTGGTTTTTTCAAGGGTCAGTGTTACAGCAACTTTAACTTGGAATCATGGAACTGTAGAGTTTTATAACAGAAAGGAATTTAGACCATCTGTTCCAACCACCTTGTTCTACTGCTAAAAAAGCTGAAGCTTTGTGAGGATTCATTATGCAATTATTTATTAAGTATCCATTATATGCCAGACACAACCTTGGAAAAGATACAAAGATAAGTAAGACATGACCCCTACCTTTAAGCAGCTTACAGTCATGTAGGAAGATAAGGGCTTACACAAGTAATTATTCAACAGTGCAATAACTAATCAAATAGCTGTATTTACAAGTACTATATGAACACACAGGAGAAAAGACTCTGCCTGAAGTTAGATGACACTTCATACACAATATTACATTGATGTCAGTCTTTAAAGATGGAGTAGGACTTTGCAGGCAGCAACGAAAGGGAAGGACATTTCAGAAGCAGAAATACCATTTGTTAAGGGATGACAGCCAAGAAATATTAAAGCATATTTGGAAAGTATTGAAAATCTCTGTGTGGCTAGAACTTTAGATGAAGAATCAGATACATCTGGAGAAGGAGATTGAACCAGATGATCATAAAGAACATTTTATTTAGGCCATGGTAAGGCTTGGGCACTGTGGAGCCCATGAAGGTTTTTGGACAAGGGAGTTGCCTTAGGAAGGAGTATGAAGCCATAAACAAATGAGGGAGACATGGGGGATCTGTCAGAACACCACTGGAGTAGTCCCAGCAAGAGAGAATGAGAACAAAGACAGTTACAGCAGAAATAGAGAGGAGAGAGATTTAAATTTAAGGGCATAGGATTGACAGTAATTGGTCATTGGTTGAGAGAGGTAAAGAAGCTTTTTTTTAAGGATAATCTTGAGGTTCCTACCTTAGGAGCTTGGATGGGTGATTATAGAGTTGTTGGCTTAGAAGTGCAGACAGAAGAGTGCCAGATTTTGTGGGGAAACTAATGAGTTTGATATACACATTATATTTAAGGTGCTTAAGGAAATTCCAGGTAGAAATATACAACATTGTCATTCAGACTGGTTAATGATGGAGCTGGGACTAGGATTCTTGATCTATAGTGCTGTTTCTATCATATCTGGTTGTCTTCGCATGAACAAATGTCAACTGGCTTTAGATGAGCTGGAGATCTGAAGACTATATAGGGCCCAAGGAGATGGTTGGTTTTATTTTCTGTTTTTATTTTTAAAACTTTAAATGATTAGGAAAGGTAGGAGAAGATATAAAATTTAGTAATGGGAAAAAATGAAGGCTTAACATATTCCTTCTGAATTTAAAATAATTAAATTTTCTGCAACTTTAGTTAGCAATAGATCATTTCACTGGAAAAATCTTAGTTGTGATATCTGTGTTGCTAAATTCAAAAACATACTCTCATAGCTGCAGAAATTAAGATGATTAGTATCGAAACCATTAAGCTGAGAGAGAGAAAGGAGGGAGAGGAGAGAGAGAAAGCGCATGTGCGGGTGGAAAGGAGAGAGAAAGAGGGAGAGGGAAGAAGGGAGAGAGAATGAGACAAGCAAATGGTACAAAAAGAGGTGGCAAATAGCAGAAGTGTCTGCATAAATTTATAAATTCCACTGACTAATCCTAGTTTTCTTTCTTTTTGGAAATCACTAATATCAGTGTATTTATTCGTGCAATTGTATCAGACGTTTTTATCTTTTAGATGCTGGGAAATTTATCTTCATTCTTTCTTTCTCTTTTTTTTTTCTTCCTTTCATTTTTCCCCCCTCTCTCTAGAACTCTTATTTCCAGATATTGACACTTCTACTTCTGTTTTTCTTATCCCTTAAATTTTCTGTCTTTCTTTTCTTCTCCATTCTGGGAGAACTCCCCAATCTGATCTGCTAACTATTAATTTGTTCTCTGCTATACTGTTTATCCCGTTTATTGTGTTTTTCATACTTGACATTCTTGTTTTTTGTTGTTTTTTTTTTTGCTTTGCATTTTAATATCTTTTCTTATCGCCTACTCTGTGTCTGTCTGTCTGATTAATATCATTCACTTTGTTGTCTGTTTTTTTTTTCTTTTTTAAACTTATTGACTCCTCAGGTATCTGGTTCTTTTGACCTGTGAGTTCTTATTTCACTGATGGGATCAACTATTCTGTCTGAGAATTTGGGTAAGGATAAAACCATGGTCTGTTTCAGAGAGTTAAAGAAGAGGGGAGGAGAGAGCCCTAGGGAGGAGAGCCTTAGGCAGCACAGAACCACCCTTGGTCACTGTCCCTGCTGTTTGCTGTTACTCCACTATATGGCTCTCCTGGTGATTATTGTGTCTTTAAGCCCTTAGGAAGACGTTGCTTTGGGAGGGTTTGTAATCCACTAGTCCTGGGGCTTGGAGGGGAAGAAGGTGAAGGAATGATGCCCACGGATGGGCTTCTGGACAGATTTCATCTATAGTTGTCACCATAGCTAGGCCTTCATGTTCCCTGATATTACTCTGGGGCGCCAGCATTTGCAGCTGGGGTTGTTAATAAGAAGACTTTTATGGTTGAGGGGCAAGCAGTAATCTCAAATTAATGGAGGAAGAAACAATGACTTTTCTCCATTCATTCCTCTCACAAAGCCCCTCCACACAGCCTCCTCGCTAGGATGCAGCCCCTTTCTTTCCACGCGTTCCAGTTTGAGTTAACTGTCTGTCTTTCCAGGGGCTTTTCACAACTTTTACTTTAGTTCTCAGAATCTATGGGTTCTTTTTCACCTCTGTAGTTACTCCAGTGTTGATTTTGAGAGCTGGCAGCCTTTGTTACTGTGCTGTCCTGGCTAGACCAGCAATGCAGAAGTTAGAATTCTATCTTCTCCAGATCTTTTTCTAAGCATTAAGCATTTATATATGTATAAAAATATATTTGTGTATATGTATATGTGTGTATGTGTGTGTGTGTGTGTATATATATATATGTGTGTGAATCTTTTTGAGACAGAGTTTCAGTCTGTTGTTCAGGCTGGAGTGCAGTGGCTCAGTCAGCTCACTGCAGCCTCGAACTCTTGGACTCAAGCAATCCTCCCATCTCAGCCCCCAGAGTAGCTGGGACTATAGGCGTGTACCATACCTAGCTAATTTTTTATTTTTTGCAGAGACGGGGTCTCACTATGTTGGCTAGGCTGATCTCCAACTTCTGACCGCAAGTGATCCTCCTGCCTCAGCCTTCCAAAGTCCTGGGATTATAGGCATGAGCCACCATTTCTGGCTTAGTATATAATTTTGAGGTGTGTGTATATATTGTTGTGCAATTTTAAATTTTAAAAAGCAGGTTGCAAGGCTTTTTAAAATTTAACATAAATCCTGAAGATCTACTATATTCTTTTTACCTACTATGTAGTATACCATAGTTTAATTATTCTCCTATTGAAGGATTTTTAGATTGGTTCCAAGTATTCTCTAATCAAACTATACTAGGTATAAAATCCTTTTTTTGTACTCATGAGAAATTATTTTTCTAGATTTAGATACTAAGGCATGGAATTGCTGGCTCAAAGATATAAGCATTCATAATTTAAATAGGCACTGAAAAATTGCCCCTAGCTGTATGAGATCCCTTTCCCATGTCACACATAATGCTTTTAATCTTAAATTTTTGCCAGTCTGATTAACAGTGACATTTTGCATATTTTCTTGTCTAAAGGGCTATGTAATAAGAACTAGTAATATTGATACATTATAAGTTAAAATATTGCTTTGCTAAGTTGTGGCTTTTCTTTGTGCTTGAAACTTCTTGCTTAGAGGGGCATTTGGTCAGTGAAAGCTCACTGATGGCAAAACTGTAATTTGTACATATATGTAGATGGGCTAGGTATATTACTCTGCATTATAGGCAACCTGACTTAAATTGGCATGAACTTAAGCATTGAGTATAATCCAAAACTCAGAGATACTTATGAGTATGAGACCATTTTGTAAATAGGCAAGATAAGTCTTCAGTAGGGTCATAGAGTATTCTTAAGGTGTTAAATAGTTCAGCAGTTGCAAATATCCTAGAAAACAGATTCACAACAGAGAAGTTACTGTAGACTGTCAGAGTAATATAGGCATTGTGAAATATTTCTCATTAATTTCTGGGGAAAACATAATTGCCATCATTCTAAACACTGCCCAAGAGTCTCCAAGGGATTTCATATTAATTATGAACAGTATTTTTTAATTTAAAGGATGTTGAGGCAATCAGTATTCCTAAAGAAGAGTCAGGCTAAGGGAATAAGGAGAGATAGAGATGTACATAGGAGAATGAAGGCAAATTGAAGAGAATCTTGAATGTTGAGCTAAGAAGTTTAGATTTTATTTTATAGTCAATGGAATCATCAAAGGTGTTTCAGCAGTGATTTCTTCATATAGTCTAGTTAAAAAAAACACTTGTTGGTTGAAATTAAACCCCTTTTAAATGAGAAACATGGGAGCTTTCAGATAATTGGAATTTTGCTTCAGTTCTTAATTAGTAAATTCATTAATTAGAATATCTCAAGTCATAAAATGTACTAGTGATTAGGATATATAATTTTTTAATACAGAAAGAAAATAGGAGTCTTATATTTTTTCATTTGTTCATTTATTTCATAGATTTCATTTAAAACAATTTTTTTTTTTTTTTTGAGACGGAGTTTCGCTTTTGTTGCCCAGGCAGGAATGCAGTGGCGGGATCTCGGCTCACCACAACCTCCACCTCCTGGGTTCAAGTGATTCTTCTGCTTCAGCCTCTCGAGTAGCTGGGGTTACAGGCATGCACTACCATGCCCGCTAATTTTGTATTTTTAGTAGAGATGGGTTTTTGCCATGTTGATCAGGATTGTCTGGAACTCCTGACTTCAGGTGATCCACCCACCTCGGCCTCCCAAAGTGCTGAGATTACAGGCGTGACCCACCATGCCCAGCCAACGATTTTTGTGCTTTTTGTATTTTTTATTTTTCCCAAGGAAAATAACATTATTAAATATGACTAAAGTATTCTTCTATAATCTGTATACTTTTTTTTTTTTTTGAGACAGAGTATCACTCTGTCGCCCAGGCTGGAGTTCAGTGGCTCAGTCTCGGCTCACTGCAGCCTCTGCCTCCTGGTTTCAAGTGATTTTCCTGCCTCAGCCTCCCAGGTAGCTGGGACTACAGGCACCCGCCACCACGCCTGGCTAATTTTTGTACTTTTTTTTTAGTAGAGACGGGGTTTCACCATATTGGCCAGGCTGGTCTCAAACTCCTGACCTTGCGATCTGCCCGCCTTGACCTCCCAAAGTGCTGGGTGGTGTGAGCCACCACGCCAGGCCTCTATACTTTTATAAAAATCTTATTATTGATATATGGGGTAACCTTTATGCTGTTTAAAGTATATTATTCTCCTCATCAATTGTTTATTGTAAAGTTTACACTAACAAACTTTAGGCAATTTTTATTCATGAAGAATGAGAGAAATTTTCTGTTATTCCCATTTTAAGCTGTATGAACAATGTGTAATGCATACCAGCATTTAGTGGTTTTGATTTTTTTTTTTTTTTTTTTTTTTTTGAGACAGAGTCTCGCTCTGTCACCCAGGCTGGAGTGCAGTGGTGCAATCTCAGCTCACTGCAAGCTCCACCTCCCGGGTTCACACCATTCTCCTGCCTCAGCCTCCCGAGTAGCTGGGACTACAGGTGCCTGCCACCATGCCCAGCTAATTTTTTGTATTTTTAGTACAGACGGGGTTTCACCATGTTGGCCTGGATGGTCTTGATCTCCTGACCTTGTGATCCGCCGCCTCGGCCTCCCAAAGTGCTGGTATTACAGGCATGAGCCACCGTGCCCAGCTGATTTTTTGTGTTTTTTTTGACACAGGGTCTCACTGTATCACCCATGCTGGAGTACAGTCGTGCAGTCTCGCTCACTGCAGCCTCTGCCTCCTGGGTTCAAGCTAGCCTCCTGCCTCAGCCCCTTAAGTAAATGGGACTACAGGTGTGTGCTGTGATGCCCAGCTAATTTTTGTATTTTTTGTCGAGACAGGGTTTCGCCATGTTGCCTAGGCTGGTCTTGAACTCCTGAGTTCAAGTGATCCACCTGCCTCGGCCTCCTAAAGTGCTAGGATTATAGGCATGAGCCACCGTGCTGGCCCCATTGAGTGTTTTAAATTGTAATATAATTTTTCTTATGTATTTTATTGCTATTTAATTGGTGCTTGAAAAACTGGTTAATTTCATAAAATATATGAAATTATTATATTGAAAACAAAGCCTATCACGAGGCTTATTAGACTAACTTCTTGAACTTTTCTTGCATGTAATGTATATGTGGCATAGAAGGCAGTTTGTAAAATACCTTCCAAGGAGTCAAAGGGTATTGTTCATGATATTTGGCAAAGATTTCCTGTTTTGACTTGATTTTAATATAATGGTTTTAACAATTGTTTCTGCTTTTTAAAGGACTTGGAAAACAGTGTGGGTGAACTTAGTGAAGGACAAAGACCCCAGCTAACAGCGGCAGCAGAGAACATCTTAATGGGACATTCTCTCTATATGCAGCCACCTGTCACTAATACACAGTCTTTGGATCAACAATGTGATCCTAAACCATTATCTCGGCAATTTGACACAGTTTCAGGTAGACACCAAAATATTTTTTCTTGATGTGTCATAGTAGTATCCCTAATCTGAGTTGAGGAAAGTATACCTATTTTCAGATAGGGGCTTGCAAAATTTCTTTATTAAAAGGGATTTTAATAATTGGAAAGTTTGGTGATAACTTTTTTTATAGTATATATAGCAGTGTTTCCCCAAATGTGATTCATATATCAGTGTTGGTACATGAACCTTTGGGTGGTATGTGAATTAATTTTGGTAATACACATACATACACTTAAAACTTTTTAACTGTGATACTTTTATTTTATTTCATTCTATTTATTTATTTAGAGACGGAGTCTTGCTCTGTCACTCAGGCTGGAGTGCAGTGACACAATCTCGGCCCACTGCAAGCTCTGCCTCCCGAGTTCACCCCATTCTCCTGCCTCAGCCTCCCGAGCAGCTGGGACTACAGGAGCCCACCACCACGCCTGGCTAATTTTTTGTATTTTTAGTAGAGATGGGGTTTCACCATGTTAGTCAGGATGGTCTCGATCTCCTGACCTCGTGATCCGCCCTCCATGGCCTCCCAAAGTGCTGGAATTACAGGTGTGAGCCACCGCGCCTAGCCTATTTTATTTTATTTTATTTTTTTGGAGACGGAGTCTTGCTTTGTCGCCCAGGGTGGAATGCAATGGCACAATCTCGGCTCACTGCAACCCCTGCCTCCTGGGTTCAAGCTATTCTCCTGCCTCAGCCTCCCGAGTAGCTGGGATTACAGGCGCCTGCCACCATGCCCAGCTAATTTTTGTATTTTTATTAGAGACAGGGTTTCACTATGTTGGCCAGGCTGGTCTCGAACTCCTGACCTCAGGTGATCTGCCCACCTTGGCCTCCCAAAGTGCTGGGATTACAGGCATGAGCCACCATGCCCAGCCGATGCATTTATTGTAATATGTACTAGAAAAATATAACGAATCCATGAAAATTGACATAACAGATCTTTAGGACAAGGTTAAATTAGATAATACTGTAGACATTTATTCTTTATGCTATATGAATTTCAGTAGCACTCTGCATTCAGGACTATTTTAGAATTTAAATAAACTTTCTGTTGTGACACACTGGAAATAAGGATAGAATAGAGAATACCAATCACTAGCATATATAGTTGACTCTCATCTATGGACCATTGTTATATTCTGTGGTCACCACAAACATATTAACAAGTATTGAACCATTACTCCTAGGGGAAATACAGGATTAGGTTTCTGTGAGCCTCTGGTCATAACATTTTTATCAACTGATCAATACATAATCTGGTTTTATTTATGTTTCTGTTTAAAGAAGTCTTATTTAATATATATTTTGGATTCATTAATATTGAACTCACAGCCATTGAACTATCCAGCAGTATAACTTGTGCCTGAAGGAAGCCTATCTAACATGTATATTTTCTCCATAAGACACAGCGGAGCCTTTTTGTGCTTAGAAACACTAGACAGGCCAGATGCAGTGGCTCACGCCTGTAATCCAGCACTTTGGGAGGCCAAGGTGGCAGATCACCTGAGGTCAGGAGTTTAAGACCAGCCTGGCCAACATGGTGAAACCTCATCTCTACTAAAAATGCAAAAATTAGCCGGGCATAGTGGCAGATGCCTGTAATCTCAGCTACTTGGGAAGCTGAGGCAGAAGAATTGCTTGAACCCGGGAGGCTCAGAGGGCAGAGGGCAGAGGTTGCAGTGAGCCGAAATCACGCCACTGCACTCCAGCCTGGGCAGCAAGAGCGAGTCTCTGCCTCAAAAAAAAAAAAAAGAAAAGAAACACTAGACAGTACTTCAGCACTAAGGGGCCATTTTAAACAGTGAAATCACCAAAAAAAAGGGGATGAAATCTGAAAAACAGCTTTACGTATACTGTGAAAAGGTCACTTGTTTACAGTATGAGAGCTGGAATAAGGTGGAATGTATCGTTGTTCAGCATCAACTGGAAAAATGCATGTTAGGTAATTTAAGTTTTTCACCACTCTGTACATGTCCACAAATGACCACAAAGGTGCTGCAAGTATTGATTTGGGGGGTTATAAATACGTTTTAGCGAGTAGATAAATTTGCAAATATGTAATTTACAAATAAATGAGGATCTGCTATATTCTTATTATTGATTTTTAAATGCCCATTGTTTCTTTCTCTTAAGTGAAAAGAAACTTCTGGAGGCATGCAGATTTGCCAGAAATCAGAAAAGGAAAAGCCTGAAGTATTTAGTTTCATATTGAGTGAACACCTTGTATCATTCAGAATTGGGAGAATTCCGAGACTGAATTTCCCATGTGAATAAATGTAAAGATTGGCCTTATTTCTCATTTTGTACACATAATGAGAGTATTAAATGTTTTACATTCTTTAAAATTTGTAGGATTCAAATGGCATGAAATGTGACTTACATTTATGTCCAGCTAAATTTGCAGAATGCAGTTAAACAGAGTTAACACTAGGTGGCTCTCGCAGATCACTTGAACTGCTAGGTACTTAAGAGCTACTAGGTATCTGAGAGCAACTAGGTACTTAGTTGAAATGTTACAGAATAAACTCCCTGAGGAGATAGCCTCTTCAGTCCTTTTTAAATATCTGGTAACCCTAGCAGATTACCTATAGTACAGTGCATTTTTAATCTTAGGTACATTGTAGGTATTTAATTGGAAAAAATAAGTAATATGGTATAACATAAGATTGAACACATATGTAAGGCAGTATAGCAGAATAGCTAAGAGTTTAGGCTTTGAGAGTTTCAGAAATGGGTTTGAATTCCAGCTCTATGTATCTTTGGTCAAATAACTTAATGTTCCTGAACCCAAATTTCTTTATGTGTCAAGTGGGGATAATATTGCTATGTACGAAATTACCCCACATTTAACAGCTGAAGGCAGCAAACATTTATTATTTCACAGAACTCTGAAAGTCACAAATCCGGTAGTGGCTTACCTGGGTGGTTTTCAGGATCTCTCCTGATGTGGCAGTCAAGGTGATGGCTTGGACTGAGGTCATCTGAAGGCTTGACTAGGGTTGAAGGATCCACTTTCCAAGTTCACTCACATGGATTTAGCAAGAGGCTTCACTTCCTCACCATGTTAACCAGTCCATAGGGCCGTGAATGATGTGGTAGCAGACATCTCCCAAGAGAAAGTAAGCAATCAAGATGGAAACCATAATGTCTTTTTTTTTTTCTTTTCTTTTGAGACAGAGTCTCGCTCTGTTGCCCAGGCTGGAGTGCAGTGGTGCGATCTCAGCTCACTGCAACCTCTGCCTCCTGGGTTCAAGTGATTCTCCTACCTCAGCCTCCTGAGTAGCTGGGACTACAGATGCACGCCGCCACCTCGCCTGGCTGATTTTTGTATGTTTTTGTAGAGACGGGGTTTTGCCATGTTGGCCAGGCAGGTCTCAAACTTCTGACCTCAAGTGATCCACCCGCCACAGCCTCCCAAAGTGCTGGGATTACACGTGTGAGCCACTGCGCCCAGCTGATAATGTCTTTTATAACCTAATCTCCAAAGTGACATGCCATCACTTCTGTCATATTCCATTGATAACACAGACCAATCATGGAACAACTTAAGAGGTGACTTTTAAAAGGTGTAGATACCAGGAGGGCAGGGATCACTGGGGGCTATCTTGGAGGTAATAGTGTCTATCTCATTATGGTTATTAGGTACATGTATTTGACAATGCATGTAAAGTACTAAGCTCAGTGCTTGGCACATGGTGTTGTTCTCTTTAATAATGCTTGGAGTATGAAAAGTACTATCTTATATGTACTTAATAGAATCAGAAACTATCAACAGTTGACTAAAAGGACTTTGCCTATAGAAAACTAATTTGTTCCTCTTGTTTCAAGATTTTCTCCTGGTGACCACAGACTATAACTGTGGTCCATAGATGAGAATCAACTATATATGCTAGTGATTGGTATTGCTTTTCGTCTTGATTTTTAATAACTTTGCTTACAGAGGGTCATCTCTTCTTACTTTGCCCCTCCCCACCCCTGCTAATTTTCAGGAAGTGTCCTATTTTCTGTAGTCCTCTATCACTGTCTCCATTCCTGAGGCTCTCAGGTTGGGTTGAGTAACTGAAAGTTGCAAAATTGGCTTTGAGGAGTTGTCTTGGGAAACCTAAAATGTAAGCTGTAATTTGAGTGAATTATTTGTGGACCCTGGGATATACTACCAACTACAGCTTTTTATTTACTCAAAAAACCTGTATTGAATACCCACTGTATACCTAGAACTATGTAAGTACTACATTAAGCACTCAAGATTCAAAGATGATAGATATCTGCTCTCAAGATATTTACTAACTAGTGTGGGAGAAATAAATAACAATTATAATATTGTGTGACTAGTACAACACAGACGGCTGTGGGAGTGCAGAGGAGGAACTTAACTCATTTGTGAGGGCTTAGAAAAGGTTTTCTGCAAGATCCAATGTGAAATTGAATCTTAAGGGAATTAGCCAGATGGTAAATTATGATAAGAATATTCCAGTTTGTTCATTTACTTATTCAGAAGATATTTTTGAGTGCCTGCTATGTGCTGAGCATGTGCTAGGTGCTAGGAATATGAAACTTGGTAAGGCCCTGTTCACAATGATTTTTTTTCTCTAGTAGACATAGTAGATAAGAAAGCAAAAACATGCAATAAATTACTGTAGTTATTGTGAAGAAGCCCGTATAGGATGGAGGTACAGGTCAATTGTAGTTGAAGGGATTCAGGAAAGACTTCATAGATGAGGGAAGTCTTGCTTGAAGTGACTCCTCAAAGATGAATAAATGCTTGCCATGTGGTGAGTGAGGAGGGACCTTTCAGACAGAATATGCAATGAGACAGGGGACAAAGGCAAAAAAAAAAAAAAAGCAAGGGTTAATCGTGGAAATGCAGTGTTTTTGTCAAAGAATTAGAGCTTAAGATGCAGTGAAATTGCAGCAGGGAGCAGAAACCAGGTCATGAAAAGCCCTGGATTATCTATTAAGGAGTACAGTAAGGATCGCTTTGTATACAAAATGGGAAATAATAACAGTCTTACTTTTTACTTTATACTTATTCCCATGAACAATTCAGCCTTAAGTTTCTGTCAGTTCTGAATGTTGTGTGATATTCATCAGTCTGTTAAAGATTGTAAGTAAATGAGTGATGTGATCATATTTACCTTTTATTTAGCAAGATCATCTGAGATGCAATGTGATGGATAGATTGGAAGAGTTAAGACTGGAGGCAAGGAGCCTGATTAGACAACCATTAAAGTTGACCTGATGAGACATTATTCAGTAATGAGGATATATAAAAAGGGAGATTTGAGAGAGAATTAAGGAGATGGACAGGAATTCATTTGAATGTGAGCAGTACAAAAGAAGCAGAAAGTCTAAGAAATCCCTAGGTTTCTGTCTAGAATTATTGGATAGATGGTCATCTCAGTCACTGAGAGAGAGCGAATATGGAGGAAGGACAGAATTAGGAGGAAAGAGATTGAATGGGGTTTATACATACTGAATTTGTGATGCCTTTGACTTTCATACAAATGAAAAAAATCCATTAGATATGCCGGACCAAAAACTCTTGCTGGACTGGCAATTTTAGGCAAACTTAGTCTTCTCTAAAAGTCTGCCATGGTTGCTTTCCACTATAACAAAATTCTAGGAAAGTAAAATTAGGGATTTCTAGTTATGATTAATTAAATTAAATTTGACTTGAATGAAATAATATTTTAAATATCCCTCTTTTAAAGGTCTAACTTGCATTATACAGGTAAGACACCCACACTCAATGAGCCTGCTTGTTAGAAGACACAGCAAATTCAGCACTGTTATGATTGCTGTCAGGGAATCCTTTCCTGACCCTTATCACTGGGTTAAATACCTGTCATGTGTACTCTCTATAATTCTCTAATGTCACCTGCCTAATGTTGCTCTTATCACACTGATATTAATCTCATGTGAGGGTACGGACTTTATCTTGTGTACTCTCATATCCCTGTCACCTAGCAGGTTATATAGTATACAGAACATAGTAAATATCTGTTAAATTATAGGATGGTGTATTATGTGAAAGCTATTACGCACTTTTTGAGTGCTCCCCACCACCACTTTTTTCCTGTCCCATGTATGCCTTATCCCAAGTAACCCATGTTAAGATTCTGGCATATAACCTTCCTGTTTTTTACCTCACACATATAATTATATGCACACATGCATGTACAATATATATGGTATGTGTGATTGCCATTATTTTACAACTTAAGATCATATCTTGCACACTTGCCTGCATTTTGTGTTTTACCCAGTAAACCCTTAGATTATTCCAGGTCAACCGGTATTACTTAAATTTATTCATTTTAATGATTACGTAAAACTTCATAGTGTTGATTTCCAATAATTTATTTAGTTGTTTCTCTATTGATGGATGTTTATTAACATGTCCCTGCACTATAAACAATGCTAGAGTAAGTATCCACACACACATCCTACCAGATTGTTGTGTTTTATATACTCCTCCTTACTCCAGTGTATGTACTCCTGGGAAGCTCTTCTATACACGAGCAAATGTATCTTTAGTTTAGAAATAGATAATGCCAAGTTGCTTTCTTGAAAGTTTAAACCAATTTATTTTTATCGGCAATTTATTAGTGCCCTTTCCTTACATCCCCTCCTGAAATTGTGTTGATTAGTTTTTTTACATACCTCAGTAGAAATATGAAGATATGTTTCTGACTCCTGGTGAGTTTATATGTCTTTTCATTCATATGTTTGTTGGCCATTTGTATGTGCTCCTATAAAGTTCTTTTCCCATCTGGGAGGTTCTCAGTTTTTCTTGTTAGTTTTAAAGCTGTTTCTATAGTTTAGATGTTTTCTACTATTTGTATTGTAAATATCTTTATCCAAATTTATATTTTGCTCATTGACATTGTTGATGATCTTTTTGCCATATAATTTAAAAATTTATATGTAGATATTTCTAACTTTTATACTTTCCGTGCTTTCATGGCTTGATTATGTTGCTATACTGTAGGAAAAAGCTAATCACTTTTATCTATTTATCTGTTATCCAGTCACATTACCAATTCTCTTATTAGTTCTAATAGAGTTCTTTTGTTTTCATTAAAGTCTCTTGGGTTTTCTAGGCATATACCATATATCAGCAAAAGAGTTTTCAATATCTTCTTTTTTTAACATTATATGTAATTCTTTTCTCTTAATTCATTTGCCACTCTTAGAAAAATGTTGAACAAGTCACATAGGAATAGAAAAAGGCGTATCAGAATATAAAGAGACAAATAAAGCCTGAAACATTAGTTACTCTAAATTATAAGTATTATTACCATTATTTAAATTAATCTTATGTTAGATAATTAAATGAGAATCAGGTAATAATTTTGATAAATTGTTTTATACAGATTTAATACCATAATAGTAAAAATCAAAACTCAATGCGGCTGGACATGGTGGCTCATGCCTGTAATCCCAGCACTTTGGGAGAACGAGGTGAGCGGATCACTTGAGCACTTGAGGTCAGGAGTTCAAGACCAGCCTGGCCAATATGGTGAAACGCTGCCTCTACTAAAAATACAAAAATTAGACAGGTGTGGTGGCGCGTGCCTGTGGTCTCAGCTCCTAGGGAGGCTGAGGCAGAAGAATCGCTTGAACCCGGGAGGTGGAGGTTGCAGTGAGCTGAGATTGCACCACTGCACTCCAGCCTGGGTGAGTGAGTCTCCGTCTCAAAAAAAAAAAAAAAAATTAAAACTCAATAGATGTATTTCGCTTTATGTAAAAGCCCATTGAAAACCTAGATTAACATAAAAGATCAATCAGAGTGATTATTTGCTATATCTAGGAAATTGTCAACAGAATGCCTTTAAATGGAAAATATCTATGGCGTCTTTGAAATATTTTTTCAGGCTGGGTGCAGTGCAGTGGCTCATGCCTGTAATCCCAGCACTTTGGGAGGCTGAGGCAGGAAGATCACTTTAGCCCAGGGGTTTCAGACCAGCCTTGGCAACATGGCGAAACCCTGTCTCTACTAAAAATACAAAAAATTATCCAAGTGTGGTAGCGCACACCTGTAGTCCCAGCTACTCAGGATGCTGAGGTAGAAGAATCACCTGAGCCTGGGAAGTCAAGGATGCAGGGGGCCATGATCATGCCATTGCACTCCAGCCTGGGCAACAGGAGTGAGACTCTGTCTTTAAAAAAAAAAAAAGTGTATATATATATATGTGTATGTATGATTTTTATATATATGTATGATTTATATATATAAATCATCTATATGTATGATTTATATATAAATCATGTATGATTTATATATATGTATGATTTATATATATATCATGTGTATGATTTATATATCATATATATTTATATATGATATATAAATATATAATATCATATATAATATATCATATATATGAATTATATATATGATTTATGTATATAAATTTTAAATATATATATTTAAAACTTAATTTGCATATAACTCTTCAGGTCTATTTCTATTGATTATATTTTAAAAGGTTGTCTAGCAAGACTGTGAAACAGAGAGCAGTGACTTAATTCCTCTGTGCTTCTTGCTAGCTCTTTGATTTTGGACAGTTAGTTAACTTCTCTGAACCTTAGTAATGTCAGTGAGAGACAGTTACAATGATGTCTAACCTATCTTACAGAATGATTGTAAAGTTCAAATGTAATAAGATAATGTACTCATATATGAAAGTGCTTGGAGTATATAGTGCAATACAAAGGTACAGTGGTTAGATACATAGATATCTCTGCTCTTGTCTTCTTTTTACTGATTTGACTGAGGTGCCATTTATTTATTTATTTATTTATTTATTTATTTAGAGACGAGGTCTCATTTTGTTACCCAGACTGGAGTGCAGTGATGCGATCTCAGCTCAGTGCAACCTCCGCCTCCTGGGTTCAAGCGATTCTCCTGCCTCAGCTTCCTGAGTAGCTGGGATTACAGGTGCCATGCCACCACACCCAGCTAATTTTTGTATTTTTAGTAGAGACAGGTTTCACCGTGTTGGCCAGGCTGGTCTCAAACTCCTGACCTTAGGCATCCACCCACCTCAGCTTCCCAAAGTGCTGGATTACAGGCATGAGCTACTGCACTCAGCCAGAGGTGCCATTTAGATAAGAAAATAAGAGCTTGATCACTTGAAGAACAAAATCTACAGAATAGAGCTAGGCAATACCAACATTTTCCAGGCAGGAAATTGCCCTTTGCTTTAAGATTACATTTTAGATAGAAAGTATTCTATTGACTCTTAGAGATAGGAAAGGTAAGCAGGAGTATTAAGAGTTCGTATGTGGGAAGGAGGCTGCAGATGAACTGCATGGGCAACTTGTTGACTGGAACTTTACATAGAATATTCCATGGATTTGTTTGAACATAGGTACTTTTTGCATTCTCTCTGAGTTTTGGTTTTAATTGCAGTGAAGGCTTGGTCCAGGTGTTTTTGTTTGAAGTACACTGCTAGTTCTAATTCAGCAGGTGAGAAATATTGGTGGTTTTAGTCAACTACTTGTTCATTTTTGAAGATAAATTTAACACTTTATTTTAACTTTTTATTTACATTTTTGATAACAGGTAGTATTTATGAAGATTCATGTGCTAGTCATGGTCCAATGAGTTTGGGAGAATTGGAGTTGGAGCCAAATTCTAAGCTGGTTCTTCCCACAACACTTCTGACAGCACAAGAAAATGATGTTAATTTACCAGTAGCCGCTGAAGATTTTTCCCAGGTACCAAATTAATAGCACTTGTATTTTACTTAAAATGAGAATTGAAACACTGTTGCCTTAGCGTGGTACCCCGTCAAGAGCCAAGCCTCTGGAGTCAGATAGCTTCAAATCATGCCTCCTTTATTTCCTAACTCAAGTCTGAATATAAATCTAGTTCACCCAAGCTGTGCCCTAGAACACATTACTTAGCCTCTTTTAAGCCTTAATTCCCTATCTTTAAATTAAAGAATAAAATAATGGCCAGGTGCAATGGCTCACACCTGTAATCCCAGCACTCTGGGAGGTTGAGACAGTGGATCGCTTGAGTCCAGGAGTTTCAGACCAGCCTGGGCAATGTGGCAAAATGCCATCTCTACAAAAAATACAAAAATTAGCTCGGCTCCTGTAGTTCCAGCTACTTGAGAGGCTGATGTGGGCAGCAGATTGCTTGTGCCCGGGAGGCAGAAGTTGCAGTGAGCCCAGATTACACCACTGCACTCCAGCTGGTGACAGAGTGAGACTCTTGTCTCAAAAAAAATGAATAAGTAAATAAAACATAAAAATAATATATATAAAAGTAAGGTAGCGATTTCATTTACATCTCTGTATCTGCATGCAATACCTAGCTCAGTAATTTACATATAGTAGGTGCTTGATAAGTGTTTATTACATTGAAATTTGTAAAAAGTGTTTCATAAGAAATGTATTGCATAAGAAATTTAATGCTGAGGTAAGCCAATGGCCCATGCAATCTTGTGTACTGAAAAAATAGGTTAATTACTCACCAAGATGTTAATCTAAAAAAGTTCAATATTAAGTAGTTTTTTATTTGTGTATTGGCAATTCGTTCAAAATTACCCATTTTGAACTAATTTATGAATAAGTATTCATGGTATTATGCAGCAGGACATGTTACGGATGAAACCAAAAAATACGTAAGATAAAG
Organism: Homo sapiens; assembly: GCF_000001405.40. Taxonomy (NCBI): domain Eukaryota; kingdom Metazoa; phylum Chordata; class Mammalia; order Primates; family Hominidae; genus Homo; species Homo sapiens. The sequence continues at coordinate 58,509,635 of NC_000014.9, forward strand.
ATTGTTTATGGAACACATGATTATGTGGGGTTCAGTATTACCAATCTGTGACCAAGCAATGATCAGGAAAAACTAGTTAATAATGAAAAAGTATCTGTTAATAACTTCGATATAAAAAAAATTTTTGTGACCATGATTAGGCAAACATTTCTGGGATATGATACCAAAGGTACTATCTATGAATAATAATTTTTTAAATTGGTCTTATCAAAAATAAGAACTTCTGTTCTTCAAAACACAGTTAAGAGAATTAAAAGGCAAGCCACTGACTGGGAGAAAATATTTACAAATCACTTATCTTATCAAAGACTTCTGTTCAGAATATATAAGGAGCTCACATAACTCAATATTAAGAAAACAAACAATCCAGTTGAAAAATGAACAATAGATTTGGAACAGTCCTTTACCCAGAGAAGATAATATAAATGGCAAATAAGCACATAAAAAGATTCTTAGCTGGGCGTGGTGGCTCACGCCTGTAATCCCAGCACTTTGGGAGGCTGAGGCAGGTGGATCACGAGGTCAAGAGATCGAGACCATCTTGGCCAACATGGTGAAACCCCATCTCTACTAAAAATACAAAAATTAGCTGGGTGTGGTGGTGTGCACCTGTAGTCCCAGCTACTCAGGAGGCTGAGGCAGGAGAATCACTTGAACCCAGAAGGTGGAGTTTGCAGTGAGCCAAGATCTCGCCACTGCACTCCACCCTGGTGACAGAGCAAAACTCCTTCTTGAAAAAAGAAAAAAAGATTCTCAGCAGAGTTAGTCATTAGGAAAATGCAAAATAAAACCACAATGAGCTACCACCACACATCCATTAGAATATCTAAAATCTAAAAGGCGGTCATGCCAAGTGTCGGCAAGGATGTGGAGCAACTGAACTCTCATACTTTGTTGATTGGGAATGTAAAACGATCCAACCCCTATGGAAAAGAGCTTGGCCATTTAAAAATATACACCCACCATATGAACCATGCATTTCACTCCTAGTTTCTCAAGAGAAACTAAAACATATATTTACACAAAGACATGTACGTGAATGTTCATACAACCTTATATTTGTAGTAACCAAAAACTGAAAACAACACAAATGTCAATCAACTGGTAAATGGACAAATTGTGGTGTATCCTGTACAGTGAAATACTTAGCAACCAAAAGGCATGAACTATGAATACAAACAATAACATGGATGGTTCTTACAAAAGTTATGTTGAGTAAAGAAGCCATACCAAAAAAAAAAAACACTGATTTTATTTATATAAAATTTTAGAAAATGCAAACTAATTTATAGTAATAGCATTTCAGTTATTTTGGGGTGATGGTAGGAGTTAGAGGTGGAAAGGGCAAGAAGGAGAAGATAAAAGGGTGTGAGAAAACTTTTGAGATTGATGGATATGTTTATTGTATTATCTTGATTGTGGTGATGGTTTCATGGGTTTATAGGTAGGTCAAAACAGCAAATTGGACACTTTAAATATGTGCAGTTTATTGTCTGTTACATGTATCTCAATAAAACTTTAACAATAAAAGAAAGATTACTTCCTTTTAATTGATGGCTTGTTTTAGAATAAAACTATAAAGTGTTACCAGAAGAAAGGGCCTCAAAAAATTCCCTTGTTAGATTTCTTTAGCTAGCAGGGACTTATGGTTAGTAATAATAGCACACATTTATAGTGCTAGATGCTGTTCTAAGTTTTTTACGTATTTTAACTTATTTAATCATTATAACAGCCTAATGAGGTAGTTGTTACTATTATCCCCATTTCATGAATGAGGAAATTGAGGTATTGAGCAGTTAAATAACTTGCCCAAGGTCAAAGCTAGAAAATGCCTTACCCAGATTTGAACACAGGCAGTTTAGCTCCTGTGGTCACAGCTCTTATTCGCTGTGAGTAAGTAAGGAAACCAATAGAAACGTTCAAAGTCTCAGCAGCCAGAGCCAGAGGTAGTCCTAGTACCCATCTTAGAAATACACACCAAGATAATATTTCCTTCGAGGCAGAAACATACATGACTAACGGCTCTAAACTTGGAAGACCAGAGTTAAGGCTAGTTATTATTACTGCAGCTTAGAGCTACTAATTTTTACCCCTAGATAAAGAGGATGCCTGTCAGAGGTGCAGTGATTACATTGTGTCCATGTGGACAGATGTTTTAGATTCTTCTATGGTTGTATTTATTGATAAGGGTCCAGGGATTTCTTTTTAAGTTCCTGTTAAAGCTATTTTCAGGGGCTCATTTATAATTAAGCGCATAAAATAGGAAAGAGAAGAAAGAAAATCACACAATTTGTGATGTGTGATTACGAAGAGATTTATGACTACTGTAAATTTCAAATTTGGTTATGTTATATGAGAGATGATAGTGCTTATGGTGGAGCGTATGTTTCTTGAATAGCAAATGGAAGATAACAATACCTACTCACACTTCTGAGAATTAAATGATGTTACTATATATAAAAGCTCTTCGAAAATTGCAGTGCATTATGCAGATTTTCATTTTATGCAAAAAGTGGTTATATGGAAGAGTTTGCTGCCAAATTAAGTTCTTATCCTGTCTAAATCCATTATATGTATATAAAGTAGTTTGATTCATAAGTAGCTCTGAATTCTCTAATGAAAATAGACAGAAATGACTTGAATATTTGAAATCTGTATATATGATCCAAATCTTTTTAAAGGTTTTTTTTTGCAACGTCTTTTCTTTTGTAATAGGTACCTCATCACCTATTTATTGGTAGAAGTGCGAATAAATAAAAAGCAATAAAAAGCAACTAGAAAGCAAGCATATTATTAAAATTTTATAAACACTTGAATAATTTGACTTCTCAGATTTTTTTAAGTAACTAAAAAATAATATTATGACTTCATATCTTAAATTATTTAGTACCAACTAAAGCAAAATCAGGATGTTAAGCAAGTTGAACACAAACCATCACAAAGTTACCTACGTGTTAGAAATAAATCTGATATTGCACCTTCACAGCAACAAGGTAAGACTTGTTTTTATGTAATAATACAATAGTTTGATACTTGTCTGAATATTGAACAAATATGAGAATTCTTTACTTTTTATACATCCCACTGCTCTCTAGGTTTTTGTTTTCTTTTGTTTTCTCTCATTTAGTCCATTTACATGAAGAATCGGTATTGTATTTGACTATGTTAGTTCTTTTTACCAGTAAACACTATTTCTAGTGGATTTTTTAAACTCTTAGCTGGTGTCTTTCCTTTACCCTTGCCTTTTAGTTCTTGTTCAATTGAATACCAAGGTCTTTTTATCTGTATATAGGTCTGTTTGACATTACAATATGTTAAAGACAGGGATTATGGCTGTATTTAATATGCTTTGTAAAGCACATTATTTAGTGCGTGGTGGTGCTGACCAAGTATAACTTAAAAGCAATTGCCTCTCATATTACATACTGTGATATGGATGACCATATCATAGTTCTTTATCAAACTCGTGTGGTTACCTTTAATTCCACAGTCAGCGTTCAAGCATTTTGATGTTGTCTCTATGTTTCTACAAGGCTGTTGGCCTTGTGTTTTGTTTGCCATCTTGCTTCTTAGTCATTTACATTTTCTATAACCTAAAATCTGAAATTTGGCAGTAGAAATTAAGATCTCTTCTGTTTAAAAACTTTCTGCCCACAATTCTGGAAGAAGTATTAGAAATATTTTGAGAAGTGGAATTTTTCTTTTTTGCTTTTATAACTGTGATTTTTATTTAATTTTCAAATAATATTTAATTGAGCAAATGCATATTATTGAATGCCGGTATAATTGCGAATGTAACTATGCATTTGGTGTTTTGGGAAGGACCTAAATGAGGAAGTGCTCAAGATAGTAAGATTATGCCACTTAAGGTTTAGGTTTTCACTCTTCCATTTGTTGTCTGTTCCCCTCTTGCTCCAAGTTTTCAGAACTTTGTCCTCCTGACCCTTTTTTTTTTTAACCTCACCATAGTACGTTAATATTAATGTACTATGGAAAATACCTATAAAACTCTTCTTCTGGTGATTTAAGAATTAATCATGATAGTATATCGATATGGGCAGATAAATGTTTCTAAGATAATGTCAGAATTTACTTCATGTTCTTCTACTGAGTTCTCATTTATGAACTGTCCTTCGCAGTCAATGATAGTTTCTTTAATGTTTTTAAAAATCAATCATTTTTGGCATTACAAATGAATTTCATTTTCTTGAGGATGTTGTATGTAATGAAATAATTATTTTTCTCAGCTGATAGGAAAATGTCTCTGGTAAGATGTTAGCTGGTAGAAGGAAGTTTTATGTGGAAAGGGTTTACAACAGTTGGATTTAATACATTTGAAATGTTTTACATTTAATTTTACATCTAATACAAAAGGTAGGAGAGCAGACCTATACCAGCCTTGACTAAAACAAATAAATACCAGTGGGCTATAAAGAGAACATTTTAAATACAGGCGAAGTCTTTCACTCTATAATTGGTACATATCTTTATACTAGAAAATTTCTTGAATGAATATGATTGCCTTGGCAAATATAATCAGTTATGACTTTTTTCCCCATAGATTTTGTGGGTTTTATTATTTTTTTTCTCTGATGAAACTCTGAGACATTGCCAAATGTTGCAGAAAATAGAAGTCAGAGTGCCAAAATAATTCTCTGGAGCTCTCAGGACTTTGGGTGACCTTGAAGGAATTCAATCCTCTCATACATAGAAACCTTGAAGATAATGAAGGAAATTCACCTTATCACAGGGGAATTAAAACCACATCTTTTCTAGCAGATAAATGCTTCCAAGAATACTAGAACCCCAAATTTTGGCTATTTCAGGGGGAAGTATCATGTATTTCACTTGAAATGTGTAGTAGTTTAATATATGTCTATAAAGAAAGGAGCAGTAGCAGCTGTTTTAATGATCATCCATTAAAAATTAACTGAAGAATGGTAGGACACAGATTCCAGCACCATATTGCTAGGAACTTAGTAAAGTACTTAGTTTTTTTCCACCTTGATTATTACTTTCAGATTTTAATATAAAAGAGAGGAATTCATTGTTCTGACAAATGGTATCTTTGGAGCCTTTAAGAGTAAAACCTTTTAATTTGGTATTGAATTTATTGGGTCTATCTTTGACCACGTGATACCACTTACCTGATTCTATGTACTGATTAATGTATCTAACAGTTTTATAGTGAAAGTACTTTTTAAAAAAGTATTTGAATGGTCATTTCTATTTTTCCCCCTTTGCTGTACAAGTTAATTTTTACTCATCTTTTGCTGTACAAATTAACTTTCATCAATACAAATAAGAGGCTAGTTTTAAGTCAATTTATTTGTCATGAGCCCAGGAACAATTAAATTCTATAAAGTAATGTATTAAAATAGTACACTTTAAAAATTATTTTCCTTCTTTTTTTCTCTTTAAATTTTAAGACCATCATAATAAATTATCATTACAAAGTCAAACATACTATATACTACTATCAGTCAATGGGGAAAAAATAAGTCATATGTTTTATGGTAAAATGCTGTAATAGATTGGATTGTCAAATTTGCTTGAAAAAAATCACAGCAGTTTTTAGTTTTTCTTATTTGTAGATTACACGTTACTCAGAAAATAAGTATCAAAGTGCTAAAAGTAATAGGTGTAATTGCTGTTATTTGTCAAAATCAGTTTACATTTTTGTGGGAAATACAGAATCACAAATATTTCTTTCTGGCATTATGTCCTGAGTTAAATTCTAGAAAATTTAGCACCTTTTATACTCATATAGCTGTGACAATAACTTTAAATATGTGAACATTAGGAAATTCAAAGCTTATATATTCTTAGAAGCTAATTTTGACCACGTGCGCAAATTATTTTTCTTTTTTAGTAGAATGGTGCATTTTTTGCCTTTGTATTTGAAATTTAGCTAAATTACAATAGCTATCAGAACTACAATTGACCTTAGTAATTTCAAAACCATAGTTATAAGGGTTTTAAGTTGATTTTTAAAAATCTTAAGATATGATAGGGATTTCAAAACTATGTGTGTGTATCTCTGATAGGGAGGGGTTGGGGCACAGACTAATAAGTGTGCCAAAAATCTGTGAATCCAAATGTGTAACAAGTGTTGTCTGAATAAATGTCCACAAATCCATGCTATTATTGGTTAACAAAAAATAAATTCACTTTGAAATGTTGCTGAATTTGGGAGTTTTGTTTCTACCTAGGATGAGGAAATTGGAAAGAGTGTCACTTTCACCCTAACTATAATAAAATGTCAGATAAACTACAAAATCATTAACATTTCTTGAACCCATCAGAGAGCTTCTGATGCAGAGCAACTAAGTAGCCTAAAGTCCAAGGAAAGACAGACTCCTCCAAAAAGAGATGAGACACAAGCACTGTCTCACTTGTGACAGAGCATGGTTACAGGAAGAGACACCAGGCACCAATCAAGCAGATAAGAAGTATTTGGTTAAACTTTTTAAGTGGGTTTCTAAAGGCCAAGTATAGAACCATTGGTAGTCACAGATACAAGTGGAGTTCACACCCACTTGTAGGCATCTTCTGCACAGACCTCTAGAGAAAGATTGTGGGGAAAGGCAGAGAGTCTCTCTCACTGGTGCAGGCCTGAATGAGAGGAGTGGCTGTCACTGCCAGAAAGACAGGATGCCCCACTTTGACCCTTCTCCTTTAAGAACAAAAGCCTTAAGCCACTGAGGAAGGGGCAACACATCTGTTATTTCCAGGGTATAGGTGAAAACCTATTTGGCTGGGGGAAGGGTAAAGAAAAAAAAAGAATCCACTCCTGGCGGAGAAGAAGGAAATAGTCTTGGTCCCACAATCTTTTATTAGCACTATTAGAAGTTTCTTACTGTTGGGAGAGTGGTTGGAAACTGTCCTGCACAAAATTTGCCAAAGGGACAAGGCAGAATTTAAAATGTCAGTTCCCTCCAAATTGATCTATAGATTCAGTGCAATCTCAAAAACATTCCAGCAGGGATTTCTGGGTAGAAGTTGACAAGCTGAAGCTAAAACTCTTGAGAAAATGCAGAGGACCTAGAATAGCCAAAATAACTTTTAAAAAGAAAAATAAAGTTGGAAGATTATACTATATAACTCTAAGACTTATTATAAAGCTACAGTAATCAAGACAGTGGAATATTGGCATAAATATCAATGGGATAGAATAGAGAATTCAAAAAAAAAGTCCACACATTTATGATTAGTTGATCAATTGATTTTTACAAATGGGAAAGACGATTCCATGGAGAAAGGATAATCTTTTCAACAAATGGTGTTTGGACAGAGCTCATCTATATACAAAAAAAAGAACCTCAATCTATATTTCACCAACACACAAAAATGAGCTAAAAAATGGATCATAGATCTAAATGTAAAGCCTAAAACTACAAAACTTCTAGAAGAAAATATAGGAGAAAATGTTTCTTTGTGACCTTTGGTTGGGCAAAGATTTCTAAGCTATTGCAGAAACTAATGATAATTGGACTTAATCAAAATAAAAATTTCTGTTCTTCAAAAGACAGTGTTAAGAGAATGAAAAAGGACAAATCACAGACTGGAAGAAAATATTTGCAAATTTGCTTTCTGATGAAGCAGTTATGTCCAGAATATATTTTTAAACCTTACAAAACTCAACACTAGGAAAACAACCCAATTTTTAAAATGCATAAAAGATTTGAACAGATACTTCACCAAAAAAGAAATTTGGATGGCAAATAAGCACATGGAAAATTGTTCAACATCATTAGTAATTGGGAAGATGCAAATTAAAAATTAAATACCACTGAATACCCATTAGGTTGACTAAAATCAAGGAAACTGATACTACCATGTGTTGGTGAGGATATAGATCAATTCTAATTCTGATACATTGCTGGTGGGAATGCAGAATGCAACATGCACCTTGGAAAACTGTTTGACAGTTTCTTATAAAATTAAACATAAATTTACCCTATGACTCAGCAGTCCATTTCCTATGTATTCATTCAAGATAAATGAAAACTTATTTTCACACAAAACCTGTACTCAAAACTTTTTTAGCAGTTTATTTTATAATTACCCAAAACTGGAATCAACCAAAATGTCCTTCAACAAGTAAATGGATAAACAATCTGTGTGGTACATCCATACAATGGAATAGTACTCAGCAATGAACAGACGTGAACTACTGATACACACACAACAGCACAGATGAATCTCAGTTGCATTAAATGTAGTGAAAGAAGTTAAAAGGCTACATACTGTATGATTCCATTTATATGGAAAAGGCAAAATTTATTGGAAAAGGCAAAACTATAGATATGGAGAACAGGTCAGTGGTTGCCTTGAAGAAGAGTTTGACAACAAATGGCAGGAGGGAACTTTTTTCCATTTTGATGGAAATATTATATATCTTGATTGGGGTAGTGTCTATATAACTAAGAATTTTTCAATGGTTAGTCTTACTGGTTATAAATTATACTTCAATAAAATGATGTACATATTACTAAGTTTATGACACTTTTGCTTATTATGAATTTTCTTAATTAGCTTATACTAAAAGCTTATCACTTGGGAAAGTATAAAAGGTTTTGTTGTTAAAAGGTGTGTAAATGTGATACTGTATTACATTTATTTACTCTTACATCTTTTTCTTATATTAACACTTTAGGAGGAGATAGTTTGATGTATTTTATAATACAGTATATTTTCAATACAGTTAAATTGGATTTTTAGGTGTTTATTTAAAAATACATTCCATTTAGACTAGAAATCTGAAACATTTATGTTTTATAATTAATAGTGACTAACTGGAAACAAAGAAAAATTGTATGTGCTAATCTACAGTGGAAGTACTCTTGTTTAAAATTTTCTTTTTTAGATTTCAGAAAGGGAAGAACTGTCAGCTCAAAAACTTGTGTTTTTTACTGGCACATCCAATATAATGTGTAATCAACACAGTTTAACTCAGTAAACATTAATTGAGGGCCCTCCACACTCTACGCTACTAAGCTTCAATGCCTTTTTGCATTATCTTCTTTCCACCCAGAGTTACCTTCTCTCCCCACTTCTATATGCCTACAAATTACTTATTCTTCAACATTCAGCTCCATCTTTCTGAGTTCTTACTGAACCTCCGATTGAAAACGTCTTATTCATTTTAACCCACTCTCTTCCCCTAGCTCTTTTCTGCCTTGAACATAATCATAATCTTAACAACAGTTTTTTGCTGGGCACAGTGGCCCACACCTATAATCCCAACACTTTGAGAGGCCGAGGCAGATGGATCACTTGAGGTCAGGAGTTCGAGACCAGCCTGGCCAACATGGCAAAACCCCGTCTCTACTAAAAATACAAAAATTAGCCGGACGTGGTGGCACATGCCTGTAGTCCCAGCTACTTGGGAGGCTGAGACATGAGAATTGCTTAAGCCTAGGAGGCGGAGGTTGCAGTGAGCTGAGATCGCACCACTGCACTCCAGCTTGGGCCACAAAGTGAGACTCTGTCTCAAAACCAAAACCAAAACAAAACAAAACAGGGGAATACATTTACCAGAGGTTTGCTAGGTGTGTTCTATGTTAATTTCATTTATTCATCACAATACCATGCCATGCAGGTAGTTTTGTTTGTTTGTTTTATAGAGATAGAGTTTCACTGTCACCCAGGCTGGAGAGCAGGGGTATGATAGTTCATTGCATCCTCAACCTCCTGGGCTCAGGAAGTCTTCCTGCCCCAGCTTCCATGTAGCTAGGACTACAGGTGTGTGCCATCATGCCTGACTCAGGTAGTTTTATTCCTGTTTTACAAGAGAGAATGATAAGATTCTTGAAGGTTAACTAATTTTCCCAAAGCACATAATTTAGAAAATGAAGATCTGGAATTCCAGCCCAGATCGACTTGATTGCAAAGCTGATGCTCCTTTCCTTGTGTAATACTATTTATTGAATAAGCATTTAATAAATATTTATCGTGTGACTTAACAGCTTGTTGATAAGAGCTGCTTTTATCATCTCTATATTTCCAGGACTGATTATTTAATATTCCAAAGAAAGTGATATATGGGATAGTGTTGTGATTTGTTTTTAAGATATGTTATCTGTTTCTTATTTAAGAGAGCTTGTTTCCCAGTGTAGCACTGTGGTGATCAGTAAATGTTCATGGAATTGAATTTGATGATTACATCATTTGCTATTAACCCCAAACAACATTTAATTCTGTTATTTAGTAATAAGACGGAAGAAGGAAGGGAAGAGAAAAATGAGAATATTTCATTACAATCATTTTTCCATTACTGTCTCTTTTTAATGTAGACAGTCGTGCAAACAGCCACAGTGGACTAATCTAAAGTGATTTTTATTTGCTTTTCCAAAAGATTGATTTCTTTTATAGTATTAACATACATTTTTATTATTTGAGGACAAAATAGTTGAACAGAGGGTAGGGGCAGCCGAGAATATGCCCAAGGGTGGGGAAAATTAAATCAGCTTAGATACTAGTTCATGGGGAATCTTTTTGAACTTTAGATGAGAAAGAAAAATCGTGTTGACATTCATTCACTCTTTCTTTTTAAATTGAGATATAATTCACATACTGTAAAATTCTCCCTTTAAATTCTCACTGGTTTTTAGTATATGCAAAAAGTTGCTGAATTACCATCCCTTTCTAATTCCAGAACATTTTCTTCACCCTAAAAAGAAACTCCATATCTATTAGTAATTGTTTTCCATTCTACCCTCCCCAACCCTAACCCTGCCAACCACTAATCTACTTTCTGTCTCTATGGATTTCCCTATTCTGGACATTTCATATAAGTGGAATCATACAAGATGTGGTTTTCTTTTTGGCTTCTTTCACTTAACATAATGTTTTCTTTTAGTTTTTTGGGGTTTTGTTGTTGTTGTTGTTGTTGTTGTTGTTGAGACAGAATTTTGCTCTGTCACCCAGGCTGGAGTGCAGTGGCGTGATCATGGCTCACTGCAGCCTCTGACCTCCCGGTCTCAAGCAATTTTCCCACCTCAGCCTCCTGAGTAGCTGGGATGGCAGGCGTGTGCCACCATGCCCGGCTAATTTTGTTTTCATTTTTTGTAGAGACAAGGTCTCACTCTGTTGTCCAAGCTGGTCTTGAACTCCTGGGTTCAAGCAGTCTGCCCACCTCAGCCTCCCAAAGTGCAGGGATTACAAGTGTGAGCCACCGCACCTGGCAACATAATGTTTTCAAGGTCCATCCATATTGTAGCAGGTATCATTACTTTATTTTTTTTTGTAGATGAATAATATTCCATTGTGCATTCATTCTTAGGTTAATCTTTTTTAGCATCCCTTTACATAAAGTACCATAGAAAGTGCTGTGGCCCTAGAGAGATGGATAAAACAAAGCATCTGCTCTCCCGGGATAAAAAGAAGAAAGGCCATTTTGTGAAGAGATGAAGACTGAGCGGTTGTGGCCGCCTTGCCGACCTTGAGCAGCAGTTGGCTTCTCCACATAGTACCCGGGAATAGGAGTCTCAGAATCGAATCTCTTCTGCCTGCTCACTTCTGTGAGATTTTTTTGATCTTCAGCTACATTTTTGGCTTTGTGAGAAGCCTCATCATCCAACACAGTGGCCAGCAACGTTGCCGACAAGACGGATCCTCACTCCATGAACTCCCGTGTGTTCATTGGGAATCTCAACACTCTTGTGCTCCAGAAATCTGATGTGGAGGCAGTCTTTTCAAAGTATTGCAAAATTGTGGGCTGCTCTGTTCATAAGGGCTTTGCCTTTGTTTAGTATGTTAATGAGAGAAATGCCCGGGCCGCTGTAGGTGGAGATGTACAGCTCCTCTTTTGACTTGGACCATGACTTTCAACGGGATTATTATGATAGGATGTACAGTTACCCAGCACATGTTCCTCCTCCTCCTATTGCTCGGGCTGTAGTGCCCTCGAAATGTCAGCATGTATCAGGAAACATGAAGGGGAAAAAGTGGCTTCAATTCTAAGAGAGGACAGCGGGGATCTTCCAAGTCTGGAAAGTTGAAAGGAGATGACCTTCAGGCCATTAAGAAGGAATTGACCCAGATAAAACAAAAAGTGGATTCTCTCTTAGAAAACCTAGAAGAAAATTGAAAAGGAACAGGGGAAACAAGCAGTAGAGATGAAGGATGATAAGTCGGAAGAGGAGCAGAGCAGTAGTTCCATGAAGAAAGATGAGACTAATGTGAAGGTGGAGTCGGAGCGGGGTGCAGATGACTTTGCTGAGGAGGACCTACTAGATGATGATGACAATGAAGATGGGGGATGACCAGCTGGAGTTGATCAAGGATGATGAAAAAGAGGCTGAAGAAGGAGAGGATGACAGAGACAGCACCAATGGCGAAGATAACTCTTAAGCACATAGTGGGGTTTAGAAATCTTATCCCATCATTTCTTTACGTAGGTGCTTGTCTAAGATCAAATTTTTCACCAGATCCTCTCCCATGGTATCTTCAGCACATGCTCACTGTTCTCCCAATCCTTGTCCTTCCCATGTTCATTAATTCATAGTGCCCTGCGCCTAGTTCCATTTTCACCTCCTTTGATGCCCTAGTAGTTTTGTTAAGTCTTACCTTGTAATTTTTGCTTTTAATTTTGATACTTCTTTATGACTTAATAAAAAGGATATGTGGTTTTTATTAACTGTCTCCAAAATAATCTTTTGTTATGCAGGGAGTACAGTTCTTTTCATTCATACGTAAGTTCAGTAGTTGCTTCCCTAACTGCAAAGGCAATCTCCTTTAGTTGAGTAGCTCCTGAAAGCAGCTTTGAGTTAGAAGTATGTGTATTACACCCCCACATTAGTGTGCTGTGTGAGGCAGTTCAACACAAATGCAACAACGTAGTTTTGTGAATGAGAGCTGGCATGTCAAATGCATCCTCTAGAAAAATAATTAGTGTTGTAGTCTTAAGATTTGTTTCTAAAGTTGATACTGTGGGTTATTTTTGTGAACAGCCTGATGTTTGGGACCTTTTTTCCTCAAAATAAACAAGTCCTTATTAAACCAGGAAAAAAACAAAAAAAGAGGAAAGGGGTAGTTGAGAAGAATAATTTCTTTAAAACACTGCATCTCAGAAATAATTTGTTAGAATACTATTAAATATGAAAAGGCAAACATCTTTCTATAATTAAACTGTCAACTTGTCACTGTTTTCTTATAGTGCTGAAAAATAAGCGTGGCAACAAGTGTGTTAGGTCAACTTGCAGATTGTTTTTATGTATATACATTTCTTACATTTTATGTGAGGATGTTTGGATGAGAGAGGCATAATCCATATGAGAAAAAATATTTCTCTGGCACAATAATGGATTTTTAAACATAGGTGATTATTTTAACTGTTCCAATGTGAAAGGATTTATACTTTTTATTTAAGAGGTAGAATATGTATATGCATATCTATATATAATATCTATATCTATGTCATATATATATATATAGTCTAACAGACAAATGTGCGTAACTAAGGATGATCCCTCAGAATGAGCAAAATGCATAAAGGATTGACATGGAAAATCTGTTAAATAAGACATTGAATATTATGCAAGGATTTCTATAACATTTTTACTTGTTGGTACTAAAAGTAATTTCCTTTTCAATACAGAAGCATTTTAATTGTGGAAATTATTTGATTTCCTTTTTGTGGAATTAATTATATACTGTGTATGGAGAGCTTGGGTTTTTCTCATCTTTTTGACATTAAACACATCTCACCAAAACCATACACGAGGATTGTTTTGAAGACTTGCCAACATTCCAAAAACCTCTTCAGCCCCTTCATTGTTCTTAACCAGATTTCCTGAAACTTGACTTTAAAGTTTTTATTATGATTTTTAAAATAGATATCAAATTGATATAAAATATAATTTAAACTATTAGATCAATTAGTAGCCTTTTTATTCAACAGCTATTACAAATAATTTAACCTTATAATCACAGAGGTAAATACAGATTTGATAAAAATCTTTACATTTTGAAATTAATGAGGTAAATACTTAAGACTTGGGAGCAGAGGAACCGTCTCCAGTTCAACAGAACCAAAGGTTGTGATTACGATTAGGAGTAGCATCTGATCTTTTAATTGAATATTATTATTATTATTATTATTATTATTGAGATGGGGTCTTGCTATATTGCCTAGGCTGGTCTTGAGCTCTTGGGCTTAAGTGATCCTCCCACCTTGGCCTCCGTAAGTGCTGGGATTACAGGCATGAGCCACCACTCCTGGCCTCAGTATTATTTTTATTATACCACAATGCCCTCCAAATTAACTGCAAGTTGATGTATTACAAATGCTATTCTTCTAATCAACCTAGTAACGATTTACTAAAAATTTTTTAGTGATTTTAATTTTATATAAATTAGGCAGACTATTTCAAGCAGGTAACAGTGGATTATTCCACTAAACCAGTTCTACCCTTTTTGTTCATATAATGAAAATAAAAAGAGAAGCTTGATTATTTCAGTTCAGAATACATTACCCTCAAATAAATTTAGGCCAGAGATGTAGCTACGCAGCTGTCCAGTGTCATAAAAAAGCAATTCACCGGTGAGTGATCTCTCCATTCAGAAGTGTGCAGTCTTAATGTATGGCTGTAAGAAACTGTTATTTTATGATCTTTTTACTAAAAGCTTGACTGAAAACTAAAATAAATTAATAAATTAGAACAGAGAAGTGATATAGTCTTATTATGCATATAGGATGAACCACTACTAGATTGTTAGTCTCTAATACAGTATTCCTCAAACTTTAACAGACATAGAATTCTCCGGGAGTATTTATTAATAAAATGTAGATCCTAAAGTGATTGTTTGCCTGAGACGGGGCCTGGGAATGTAAACATTAAACTAGTACCCGTGGTTATTCGGATGCAGAAGAGGGAGGACCACCCTTTGAGAAACACTGATTAAGGACTCCAGTTGTTTTTGATGATTCTGTTCTATTTAGAATTAGAGGCACTTTGGAGACAAATTGCATGAGTTCAAATCCTAGCTCAGCTATTTACCAGCTGGTGACCCTGGGTGAAATACTTAACCTCTCTGTGCTATTCTTATCTGTAATATAGTATAGATATTTCATGGTAATTAAAGACATAAAATACACTTTTACTAGAACCTGACATATATTAAGAGCTATTAAAGTGTTAGCTTTGCTCATTGCAACCTCTGCCTCCCAGGTTCAAGTGATTTTCTTGCCTCAGCCTCCCAAGTAGCTGGGACTGCAGGTGCGTGCCACCACACCCAGCTATTTTTAGTAGAGATGGGGTTTCACCATGTTGGCCAGGATGGTCTCAATCTCTTGACCTTGTCATCTGCCTGCCTTGGCCTCCCAAAGTGCTAGGATAACAGGCATGAGCCACCATGCCCAGCCCTGAAAGTGTTAGCTTTTATTAGCATGACTGTTTCTAGGAAATCTCTCCTTTTTGAATACTCATGTTATAATCAGCTCTCCTTTAACAGATAGGAAATGAACCTATATTTGTCCTAAGCTTTAAAGGATGCTGGTGAGGAAATGCTAAAGATGGTACATGTTCAATATAGTGTTAGGGAGATAAATTAAGTTTCAACAAAATTGTTTCTCTTCAGTGAATATATTTAAGATTATATGTATAAGATATATCTTAGGGGCCTGGGCAAGATGGCTGAACAGGAACAATTCCATTGTGCAGCTCCCAGCGAGATCAATGCAGAAGGTGGGTGATTTCTGCATTTCCAACTGAGGTACCTGGCTCATCTCATTGGGACTGGTTAGACAGTGGGTGCAGCCCACGGAGAGCAAGCAGAAGCAGGGTGGGGCGTTGCCTCACCCGTGAAGTGCAAGGGGTCGGGGAACTCCCTCCTCTAGCCAAGTGAATCCATGAGGGACTGTGCCGTGAGAAACGGTGCATTCCGGCCCAGATACTATGCTTTTCCCATGGTCTTTGCAACCTGCAGACCAGGAGATTCCCTCAGGTGCCTACACCACGAGGGCCCTAGGTTTCAAGCACAAAACTGGGCAGCCATTTGGGCAGACACCAAGCTAGCTGCAGGAGTTTTTTTTCATACTTCAGTGGCACTTGGAATGCCAGCAAGACAGAACCATTTGCTCCCCTCGAAACAGGGCTGAAGCCAGGGAGCCAAGTGGTCTACCTCAGCGGATTCCACTGCCACGGAACCCAGCAAGGTAAAGATCCACTGGCTTCAGATTCTCACTGCCAGCACAGCAGTCTGAAGTCGACCTGGGATGCTCAAGCTTGGTCGGGGGAGGGGCGTCCGCCATTACTGAGGCTTGAGTAGGCGGTTTTCCCCTCAGTGTAAACAAAGCCGCCAGGAAGTTGGAACTGTGTGGAACCCACCATGTCTCAGCAAAGCCGCTGTAGCCAGACTGCCTCTGTAGATTCCTCTTCTCTGGGCAGGGCATCTCTGAAAGAAAGGCAGCAGCCCCAGTCAGGAGCTTATAGATAAAACTCCCATCTCCCTGGGACAGAGCACCTGTGGGAAGGGGCGGCTGTGGGTGCAGCTTCAGCAGACAGATGTTCCTGCCTGCCAGCTCTGAAGAGAGCAGCAAATCTCCCAGCATAGCGCTCAAGCTTTGCTAAGGGACAGACTGCCTCCTCAAGGGGGTCGCTGACCCCCATGCCTCCTGACTGGGAGACACCTCCTAGCAGGGGTTGACAGACACCTCATACAGGAGATCTATGACTGGTATCTGGTGGGTGCCCCTCTGGGACAAAGCTTCCAGAGGAAGGAACAGGCAGCAATCTTTGCTGTTTGGCAGACTCTGCTGGTAATACCCAAGCAAACAGGGTCTAGAGTGGACCTCTAGCAAACTCCAGCAGACCTGCAGCAGAGGGGCGTGAATGGTAGAAGGAAAACTAACAGAAAGGAATAGCATCAACATCAACATAAAAGGACACCCACGCAGAAACCCCATCTGAAGGTCACTAACATCAAAGACCAAAGGTAGATAAATCCACAAAGATGAGGAAAAACCAGTGCAAAAAGCCTGAAAATTCCCAAAACCAGAACACCTCTTCTTCAAAGGATCACAACTCCTCGCCAGCAAGGGAACAAAACTGGATGGAGAATGAATTTGATGAATTGACAGAAGTAGGCTTCAAAAGGTGGGTAATAACAAACTCCTCCGAGCTAAAGGAGCATGTTCTAACCCTTTCTATTCCTTCAAATTAGCTCTGGAAAGGACTACAGAAAGCTGGACTGTAATTTCCCTTTGCTTACTCAGGTCATCTAAACCTAAATAGTCTGAGTATATTGCCTTAATCAGAATCACATTTTCCCCTCTTTAATTCCTTCCCCCATAATAAAGGAAGCTAAGAACCTTGAAAAAAGGTTAGACAAATTACTAACTAGAATCACCAGTTTAGAGAAGAACATAAATGACCTGATGGAGCTGAAAAACACAGCTCCAGAACTTTGTGAAGCATACTCAAGTATCAATAGCCAGATTGATCAAGCGGAAGAAAGGATATCAGAGATTGAAGATCAACTTAAAGAAATAAAGCGTGAAGACAAGAATAGAGAAAAAAGAATGAAAAGGAATGAACAGTGTCTCCAAGAAATATGGGGCTATGTGAAAAGACCAAACCTACATCTGATTGGTGTACCTGAAAGTGACGGGGAGAATGGAACCAAGTTGGAAAACACTCTTCAGAATATTATCCAGAAGAACTTCCCCAACCTAGCAAGACAGGCCAACATTGAAATTCAGGAAATATAGAGCATACCACAAAGATATTCCTTGAGAAGAGCAACCTCAAGACACATAATCGTCAGATTCAACAAGGTTGAAATGAAGGAAAAAATGTTAAGGGCAGCCAGAGAGAAAGGTTGGGTTACCCACAAAAGGAAGCCCATAAGACTAACAGTGGCTCTCTCTGCGGAAACCCTACAAGCCAGAAGAGAATGGGGGGCCAATATTCAGCAGTCTTAAATAAAAGAATTTTCAACCCAGAATTTTATATACAGCCAAACTAAGCTTCATAAGTGAAGGAGAAATAAAATCCTTTAGGGACAAGCCAATGCTGAAAGATTTTGTCACCACCAGGCTTGCCTTACAAGAACTCCTGAAGGAAGCACTAGACATGGCAAGGAAAAACTTGCACCAGCCACTGCAAAAACATAGCAAATTGTAAAGACCATTGACACTATGAAGAAACTGCGTCAACTAATGGGCAAAATAACCAGCTAGCATCCTAATGACAGGATCAAATTCACACATAACAATATTAACCTTAAATGTACATGGGTTAAATGCCCCAATTAAAAGAAATAGACTAGCAAATAGGATAATGAGTCAAGACCCATCGGTGTGCTGTATTCAGGAGACCCATCTCACATGCAAAGGCACAGATAGGCTCAAAATAAAGGGATGGAGGAATGTTTACCATGCAAATGGAAAGCAAAAAAAGCATGGGATGCAATCCTAGTCTCTGATAAAACAGACTAAACCAACAAAGATAAAAAAAGACAAAGAAGGTTATTACGTAATGGTAAAGGGATCAATGCGACAAGAAGAGCTAACTATCCTAAATATATATGCACCCAATACAGGAGCGTCCAGATTCATAAAACAAGTTCTTAGAGACCTACAAAGAGACTTAGACTCCCACACAATAATAGTGGGAGACTTTAACTCCCCACTGTCAATATTAGACAGAACAATGAGACAGAAAATTAACAAGGATAATCAGGACTTGAACTCAGCTGTGGACCAAGCAGGCCTAATAGACATCTACAGAACTCTCCACCCCAAATCAACAGAGTATACATTCTTCTTAGCACCACATCACACTTATTCTAAAATTGACCATATAATTGGAAGTAAAACACTCCTCAGCAAATGCAAAAGAACAGAAATCATAATAAACAGTCTCTCAGACCACAGTGCAATCAAACTAGAACTCAGGATTAACAAACTCACTCAAAACGGCACAACTACATGGAAACTGAACAACCTGCTCCTGAGTGACTACTCGGTAAATAATGAAATTAAGACAGACATAAATAAGTGCTTTGAAACCAATGAGAACAAAGACACAACGTACCAGAATTTCTGGGACACATTTAAAGCAGTGTGTAGAGGGAAATTTCTAACACTAAATGCCCGCAGGAGAAAGCAGGAAAGATCTAAAATTGGCACCCTAACATCTCAATTAAAAGAACTAGAGAAGCAAGAGCAAACAAATTCAAAAGCTAGCGGAAGACAAGAAATAACTAAGATCAGAGCAGAACTGAAGGAGATAGAGACACACAAAACCCTTAAAAAAATCAATGAATGCAGGAGCTGGTTTTCTGAAAAGATCAACAAAATGGATAGACCACTAGCTAGACTAATAAAGAAGAAAAGAGAGAAGAATCTAATAGACATAATAAAAAATGATAAAGGGGACATCACCACTGATTTCACAAAAATACAAACCACCATCAGAGAATACTATAAACACCTCTACACAAATTAACTACAAAATCTAGAAGAAATGGATAAATTCCTGGACACATACACCCTCCCAAGACTAAACCAGGAAGAGGTCGAATCCCTGAATAGATCAATAACAAGTTCTGAAATTGAGGCAGTAATTAATAGCCTACCAACCAAAAAAAGCCCAGGACCAGACAAATTCACAGGCGAATTCTACCAGAGGTACAAAGAGGAGCTGCTGCTATTCCTTCTGAAACTATTCCAAAGAATAGAAAAAGAGAGACTGCTCCCTTACTCATTTTATGAAGCCAGCATCATCCTGATACGAAAACCTGGCAGAGACACAACAAAAAAAAGAAAATTTCAGGCCAGTATCCGTGATGATCATCAGTGTAAAAATCCTCAATAAAATACTGGCAAACCGAATCCAGCAGCACATGAAAAAGCTTATCTACCTCAATCAAGTCAGCTTCATCCCTGGGGTGCAAGGCTGGTTCAACATATGCAAATCAGTAAACATGATCCATCACATAAACAGAACCAATAACAAAAACCATGTGATTATCTCAAAAGATGCAGAAAAGGCCTTCAGTAAAATTCAACGCCCCTTCATGCTAGAAACTCTCAATAAACTATCTATTGATGAAACATATCTCAAAATAGTAAGGGCTATTTATGACAAACCCACAGCCAATATCATACTGTATGGGCAAAAGCTGGAAGCATTCCCTTTGTAAACCAGCACAAGACAAGGATGCCCTCTCTCACCACTCCGATTCAACACACTACTGGAAGTTCTGGCCAGGGCAATCAGGCAAGAGAGAGAAATAAAGCATATTCAAATAGGAAGGGAGGAAGTCAAATTGTCTCTGTTTGCAGATGACAAGATTGTATATTTAGAAAACTCCATCATCTCAGCCCAAAATCTCCTTAAGCTGATAAGCAACTTCAGCAAAGTCTCAGGGTACAAAATCAATGTGCAAAAATCACAAGCATTCCTATATGCCAATAATAGCCAAATCGTGAGTGAACTCCCATTCACAACTGCTATAAAGAGAATAAGATACTTAGGAATACAACTTACAAGAGGTTTGAAGGACTTTTTCAAGGAGAACTACAAACCACTGCTCAAGGAAATAAGGACACAAACAAATGGCAAAACATTCCATGCTTATGGATAGGAAGAATCAATATTGTGAAAAAGACCATACTGCCCAAAGTAATTTATAGATTCAGTGCTATCCCCATCAAGCTACCAATGACTTTCTTCACAGAATTAGAAAAAACTACTTTAAATTTCATATGGAACCTAAAAAGAGCCCATATAGCCAAGACAGTCCTAAGCAAAAAGAACAAAGCTGGAGGCATCACGCTACCTGACTTCAAACTATATTACAAGGCTACAGTAACCAAAACAGCATGGTACTGGTACCAAAACAGATATATAGACCAATGGAACAAAACAGAGGCCTAATAAATAACACCACACATCTACAGCCATCTGATCTTTGACAGACCTGACAGAAACAAGCAATGGGGAAAGGATTCCCTATTTAATAAATGGTGGTGGGAAAACTGGCTAGCCATATGCAGAAAACTGAAACTGGACCTCTTCCTTACACCTTATACAAAAATTAATTCAAGATGGATTAAAGACTTAAACATAAGACCTAAAACCATAAAAACCCTAGAAGAAAACCTAGGCAGTACCATTCAGGACATAGGCATGGGCAAAGACCTCATGACTAAAACACCAAAAGCAATGGCAACAAAAGTCAAAATAGACAAATGGGATCTAATTAAACTAAAGAGCTTCTGCACAGCAAAAGAAACTATCATCAGATGAACAGGCAACCTACAGAATGGGAGAAAATTTTTGCAATCTATCCATCTGACAAAGGGCTAATATCTAGAATCTGTGAGGAACTTAAACAAATTTACAAGAAAAAAACAACCCCATCAAAAAGCGGGCAAAGGGGCCGGGTGCAGTGGCTCACGCCTGTAATCCCAGCACTTTGGGCTTTGGGAGGCCAAGGCAGGTGGATCACGAGGTCAGGAGATGGAGAGCGTCCTGGCTAACACAGTGAAACCCCGTCTCTACTAAAATGTACAAAAAAAAAAAAAAATTAGCCGGGCATGGTGGTGGGCACCTGTAGTCCCAGCTACTTTGGAGGCTGAGGCAGGAGAATGGCCTGAACCCAGAAGGCAGAGCTTGCAGTGAGCCGAGATTGCACCACTGCACTCCAGCCTGGGGGACAGACCGAGACTCCGTCTCAAAAAAAAAAAAAAATAAAATAAATAAAAAATAAAAAAAAATTGGGCAAAGGATATCAACAGACACTTCTCAAACGAAGACATTTATGTGGCCAACAAAGATCTGAAAAAAGGCTCATCATCACTGCTCATTAGAGAAATACAAATCAAAACCACAATGAGATACCATCTCATGCCAGTTAGAATGGCGATCATTAGAAAGTCAGGAAACAACAGATGCTGAAGAGGATGTAGAGATATAGGAATGCTTTTACACTGTTGGTGGGAATATAAATCAACCATTGTAGAAGACATTGTGGTGATTCCTCAAGGATCTAGAACCAGAAATACCATTTGACCCAGCAATCCCTTTACTGGGTATATACCCAAAGGATTATAAATCATTCTGCTATAAAGACACATGCACACGTATATTTATTGCAGCACTATTCACAATAGCAAAGACTTGGAACCACCCCAAATGCCCATCAATGATTGACTGGATAAAGAAAATGTGGTACATACACACCATGGAATAATATGCAGCCATGTGTATTATGACTAGTTCATGTCCTTTGCAGGGACATGGATGAAGCTGGAAACCATCATTCTCAGCAAACTAACACAGGAATAGGAAATCAAACACCTCATGTTCTCACTCATAAGTGGGAGTTGAACAATGAGAACACTTGGCCACAGGGAAGGGAATATCACACACCGGGGCCTGTCGGGGGGTGGGGGATAGGGGAGGGATAGCGTTAGGAGAAATACCTAATGTAGATGATGGGTTGATGGGTGCAGCAAACCACCATGGCATGTGTGTACCTATGTAACAAACCTGCACGTTCTGCATATGTATCCCAGAACTTAATGTGTAATTGAAAAAAAAAAGGAAAAAAAAAGTATGCCTGAACATGTATGTGTATGCAGCAGACAAGAGGAGGTAAATACCTATGGCTGATAAGATGGCATCAAACTACATACCAAATTGTTACTTCACTTCTGTTTCTCTGGCTTACTTCAGAATTACCTTGCATAGGATGAAAGATTTAATGGAACAGGAAAGGGTATTTGTGTTCAGCCTCAGCTTTTAGGATGGGAGTAGCCAATGGGTATAATCTGGGCAATCCTGCATGTGCAGACTGGGAAACCCAAGTCTTATATCTCATATACCATAGTAATTTTTACAGTTCCACAGATGAAAATGAAATGAAATCAATTCCATCATTTTCAGAAAAGATATCTTTTAAGAAATCTATTATTATTATTATAAGAGCAAAATAAAACAGGATCACTCTTTTATATAATTACAAAATATTTTTAAATATGTGCATGACAAATGCTGTGTAATACACCTCATTATTTTCAGTGTCCCTGATGGGCTCCTTATCCTTGACCTAAAAATGGTGATTCCAAATTTAAGACTTTCTTGGGTATATTTTTTAATTGGAATAAATACAGAGGTCAAAATTACTCTTGGGTTTCTAAGTAAGAAGAAATGCAATTACTTGTGAATTATTTTAAGCTCGAATGCTATTTGCTCTCTGTTAAAATGGTAAAACAAATTACTCGTTATGGAATATATACCCACAAAAGTCTTTCAGTAAAATGTTATTGCTAAAATGTATCTTAAAATCTAATTGTTAGTCTTTGTTACACTTGTCAGCTCAGAATGGTCAGGAACCTTTTTTTGTGATAAGCCTCACAGAGGCTATGGAAAACAGGAGCACTTTTTTCTTGGGAATATAATTGCAGTAATACTGTACCACCTAATGGAGTCAGAAAAAACAATTTATGTAGAAATATAGTTCTGAGAGCCTTGCGATTATTGCCTTTTGTGTCATTCTACCTACATTACACAAAGTAGGACTTAGGAAGTCCTGGAAATCATATGTTGGATATTTTCTAATTACTGTGTCAGCATGATCAATCATTTTCTAAATTTGCCAGTTTCCTGAAATAGCTTAGCTTATGTTCATAGCACTTTAGAGGAAGCAGCATAAAATTAGTTTCTATTGGTGTCACAAAAGAAATGAAATATTTATCTTTGGCAAAAAGACCTGTACACCAAACTTCAATTAATGAGTACAAGAATTAGAAATCAAAACTTTGTTTAGTCTAAGGAAAAACAGTTCTTTAAACTGTAACCACATGGCTGTTTCTTGTTTGCATCAACTCTGGGTGACTGTTATTGTCTTCTGTGAATTCTCTGGGGCAGGGGCCTGACTTTGTTGAATGAGCCAATTGTTTTCATTTGTGTTGCCCATCTAGTAAGTTCCCATCTGGTTTGTATCAGACTGTTTTCACAGCCAACAACTGCTGCCTTCTCTATATCCTGACACTTCAGGGCCCCACGCTATCAAAGCACTGCTGCGATGGCCTTGCTGGCAGGGCCTATACAGCTGTGCCTTACAGCTTGGAACTATTACCCAGAGTAATGGTAACGTAGAACTTGGACTGGCCCTTATTCCCACTGGTGTCGTGTGTACAGTGAGCAGAAACCCACCCTCTCCCTCTCTCCCCCTTGCCCCGAAACTTGCTATTCAACAGAAAATCTTTAAAGCTCTTATTTTAGGATGTGGAATGGTGGTGTTTTTATTTTCTAGTGGCTTCCTGTATTTGAAAGCTCATTTTTCATTCTTTCACTCTTTCAAAAGTTACCAGGTCTGGCCTTAGGGAAGTGAACTGGTCACTATGTCACATTTAATTTTTGTTTCCATATTTAGTTAGGAATGGCTAGAGATGTCAAAACCCACTGTCAAGGCTACACAGATAATACAGTATATTTTTAGTGATAACCACAAGCCATAATTTGAGAGAAGTCTTCATATTTAGGAAGGGTTTCCATCTCAGAAAATAGATTTTCTGTGTATAGATACAGAGGCACTTAGCTTCAAACTGCTTAGTAAATATTAGGGAGTTACTTTGCCATCAGCTTTGGTAATTATCAAATGTCATTTATAAGAATGTTATAATAGTGACCTTCTCTAACAGTCTGTGGCCTGGTATAATATAGGTGTATTAGAATTATGGGTGTTATTATTGACAAAGATATGGTTGAGTTTAAGTGTAGTTATGATATTATTGCTTAATAGACATAAACTGAAACAGCAAACTTCTTTCCTACCAAAGAAAGGAATTAAATGTGAATTTACAATGTATTAAGATTTTTTAAATGCTGAAGATTAGTTAAAACTGGATTATAGTTTGTGCTTTCAATTAAATCAAGTGGCTGATTGTCGTAGAGCACGAAGTATCCTAGATAGTAAGCCCTGTGAGAGTTAAACTACAGCAACAACAAAATCTCACCTTCTGCTTCTGAATAATTTCAGTGCACTGGTATTTCAAGGTTTTAGGAAAAAAAAATAGAAAGGAATTCATCTTTGTAGTCAGCAGTACGGCCTATGACTTAGTGTAACTATTTATTTGATATTAAAGGTTACCTAGTAATGCCAGTAATTTGGCTTAATTTTATCATTGGAAAAAAGTTTAAAACTACAAAGGTATCATCTTTTAATTGCTGAAACTGCCCTATTGGTTTCTTCCATTTTAACTTTTTTATGGAAGAATAATATACATTCAGAAAAGTACACATATTGTAAGTGTACAGCTCAAAGAATTTTCACAAATACAGTACACTTGTGGAAGCAGTATCCAGCTCAAGAAATTGAACACTGCCAGACCCCCAAAGGCCCTCATGCTCCCTTTCAGCCACAGTCTCTA
The DNA here is from genome assembly GCF_000001405.40 of Homo sapiens. Taxonomy (NCBI): domain Eukaryota; kingdom Metazoa; phylum Chordata; class Mammalia; order Primates; family Hominidae; genus Homo; species Homo sapiens. The sequence continues at coordinate 58,535,028 of NC_000014.9, forward strand.
CTCCCACAAGCATAAAGCCACTACTCTGACTTCCAACAACCTAGATTAGTTTCCTTGTTTGCACTTCACATAAATGAAATCATACGGTATGTATGGCTTCTTTCACCAGGCAAACCTATTGTAGTTTTTAAGATTCTTTTAGTTTTTAAACTATTATGGCATGCTTTTATAAAGAATGATCTGAGAGGAATTTGTTTTAGTAGCTGTTTCACAGGCTGTTCAACTAACAGGAAGTGAGTTGTAGATAAAGTTGTCTATTAAAACATAGAGTCTCTCAGTTCTCAACCAAATTTTAATGCTGGAATGTCCCTCTAGACATTCTTGCCCCTAAAAGGCAGGCACTCTCTCTGTCATAACACCAACAGGAATACAGTCAAGTACTTAAATGCTTTTTAATAAGCTTTAATAATTGAATGTACATTACTCAAGTTAATTGTGATTTGCATTCAGGATAGGTGGGTCATCTATTTTCTGAATTAACTATCAACTTCTTGGCAGTGGGATATATACTTTTATGCCGCCAGGATCCTATTTCTGAAAATGCTATTATTTAAGAGAGTTGGTATACCTACTAGAGCCAATGAGTAACTTAATTTGGAGGATCTGGCCAGGTTATTTAACAAGTACTAACTTCTTTTTATATATTTTTAAGTACCCTAATAATTTATTGGATTTTTTTTTTTTTTTTTAGTGAACTCAAATTAGTATAAAAATGTAGCTATCCTGACTGTTACTAATTTTAGATGTCTCCTTATTGAGTTTTGTTTTAAATTCTGTACATCGTCCCTTTAAAAATTTATGTTGTTTTGTGGGTTAAAAAATTCACATTTTGGGGGGCTTCATCTTTATATCCTTATTTTGCAGTTAACAGCCTTATAGTTTTATGCTGTTTTCTTAGATAATCCATAAAGAATTTGTTTAAAATAATACTATAAAGATTTACAAATGTAAGTATTACTATACCAGTGACTCTTACTGAAAATAGCATTGAAGAGTCAGAAAGTAAGCTTTGAAGCCCAAAATAATTTTTTTTTAAATATGAGTATAACTGTTATAAAGCCCAAATTTCAATTTTTTAAAAATACCAATTTTTATAAATGTCATTTTATTTTAGATTTGGGGGTACATGTGCATGTTTATTGCATGGATATATTGGTTTATTGCATGGATATATTGGTATATTGCTTAATTGTGGGGATTGGGCTTCTAATGTACCCATTACCCAAATAGTTAACATTGTACTTGATAGGTTATTTTTCAACCCTGCCCCCCCTTCGCTGGCTTTTGGAGTTTTCATCGTGTATTATTTCTATCCGTATGTCCATGTGTACCCATTGTTTAGCTCCCACTTATAAGTGAGAATATGTGGTAATGAATTTCCTGCTTCTGAGTTAGTTCACTTAGGTTAGTGGCCTATGAGCTCCATCTATGTTGCTGGAAAGGACATGATTTCATTCTTTTTTATGGCTGTGTAGTATTCCTTGAAAAATACCAATTTTTGAAAAGGATGTACACTAACTATAACATGGTTTACTTTCACTTGGCACCAGAGATAGCAACAATATTTTGAACGACTATTTGAAATGAAAAGCTAAAATATTGAAATAAGGGGGGTATTTGGAAAAGGCACAGTGTGTACAAGTAGTGCAATCCCAGTACTCCCTGTGTGCCTTCAATTAAAGCTTTTTCAGCCAGTATCCCTGCTTTTCCAGGCTGGAATTCTATTTCCAAATCTAAGTTCACTTGTTCTTTATTTTGTAGTATCTTCAAACATTTAAGTAAAAGCTAACAAGTCAGCTTTTTGTGGTAAAGATAAAAATATAAATTATATTTATAGTTAATATATAACTCAATTTCTAGTCAGCATTGCTCATTCAAAATTTCCATAGAAATGTTAATAGAACTTTATAGATCAAATAATTCCAAAATTTTCCTTCTCATCTTTTGACTTCAATACCAGTATTATGTTTTTTTTTCAGTTTTGATCAGCAGGATAAAGAATTGTAAGAACTGACAAACTTGAGAAGCAGTTTTCAAGTTGTGTTGACCTAGTTGTAGGCCGTGTTTGCTGTTTTAATCATCAACTGCAGAGCACAATACTCACCCTTCCAGTAAACCTCGTAAATCAACAAGTGAGAATTATGAAGCCACTTACTTGTTATAAGAATAAAAGTGGTCAACTCTGATACTGTGATAGTGGCTTATTTTTTTTAACTGTTAAGACGTATCACTGCAGAAGTCAAGATCCTCCCCCAGTTTTGACTGAGGAGAGTTTTATGTTTACAATAACAGCAACAACCATATGTCATAGTAACCATTTATGTACCCTTCCTTTAGGTGGCATACTCTGCTAAGATCCTTGATCAACTCAATTAGGGAGTTAATATTCTCATTACTTGCTATAAACAAGTGGTTCTTCAATGGAAGGGATCTCTGAGGTGGTATTGATACCTTTGTTTTCATGTTTATACTCTGTGTTCTCTGTAGAATTTGAAAGGGAGCTCTATTAAACTGGAGGGACCAAGCAGTAATAATTTCTGTCCCTCTCTAACTCTTGGAAGTTTAGAAACAAAGTGAGAAGTGAACACAGATAACATTTAAACATTAACATCATAGTAAGCACTTTTCTTTTTTTTTTGAGACGGAGACTCGCTCTGTCACCCACGCTGGAGTGCAGTGGCGTGATCTTGGCTCACTGCAAGATCAGCCTCCCAGGTTCACGCCATTCTCCTGCCTCAGCCTCCCGAGTAGCTGGGACTACAGGTGCCTGCCACCACGCCCGGCTAATTTTTTGTATTTTTAGTAGAGATGGGGTTTCACCGTGTTAGCCAGGATGGTCTCGATCTCCTGACCTCCTGATCTTCCCACCTTGGCCTCCCAAAGTGCTGGGATTACAGGCGTGAGCCACCGCGCCTGGCCCATAGTAAGCACTTTTAATACATTTAAAGATTTTTTAAAATTGTATCACAGTTGAGCTGGGCATGGTGACAGACACCTGTAGTTCTAGCTACTAGGAAGGCTGAGGTGGCAGGATGGCAGGATCCCTTGAGCCCAGAAGGTCGAGGCTGCAGTGAGCTATGATTGTACCACTGCACTCCAGCCTGGGTGACAGAATGAGACCCCATTTCTTTAAAAAACAAACAAACAAAACCTATATCACAGTTGTATGTTCAATTTTGGTCTATTTGTGGATATCAAATATATGTAACTTGTATTTGTCCACACTCTTGTCCTTATAAAACATTAAATTTTCTACAGTATAACAATAATAGTTTAACATGAATGTTTATCTCCAGTGAGAATGTATTGCCCAGCATAATGAAATATGGAATGCTTATAAACTTGCTCATTTAAATATCTTCTTATAAAAATCCACCCAAAAATTTTTTTAATTTTTAGTATAAATTTTTTTTAATTTTTAATTTTTGTGAGTACACAGTAGGTATATGTATTTACGGGTTACATGAGATATTTTGATACAGGCATGCAGTGTGTAATAATCACATCAGGGTAAATGGAGTATGCATCTCCTTTGTGTTACAAACAATCCAATTATACTCAGTTATTTTAAAATGTGCAATTAAATTATTTTTTACTATAGTCACCCTGTTGTGCTAGCAAATTACTGGGCCTAATTCATTCTTTCTATTTTTTTTTTTTTTTTAACCCATTAACCATTCCCACTTCCCTTCCGCTCTCACTACCATTCCCAGCCTGTGGTAACCATCCTTCTACTGCCTATCTCCATGAGTTCAATTGTTTTTTCTTTTCTTTTCCAGCCTGGCTCTGTCGTCCAGGCTGGTAGGCAGTGGCACCATCTTGGCTCACTGCAACCTCTGCCTCCTGGACTCAAGCCATCCTCCCACCTGAGCCTCCCAAGTAGCTGGGTCTACGGGCGCGAGCCACCACACCTGGCTACTTTTTGTATTTTTTGTAGAGACTAGGTCTAGCCATTTTGCCCAGGCTGGTCTTGAACTCCTAAGCTCAAGTGATCCACCTGTCTCAAACTCCCGAAGTGCTTGGATTACAGGCATGAACCACCTCACCCAGACTGTTTTTATTTTTTAGTTCCCACAAATAAATGAGAACCTTCAAAGTTTGTCTTTCTGTGTCTGGTTTATTTCACTTAATGACCTCCAGTTCTATCCATATCATTGCATAAGACAGGATCTCATCCTTTTTTATGGCTGGATAACACTCCATTGTGTACATGTACTACCTGAAATTTTTGTGAAATAAATGAAGCTTAAGAGATAACTGATTTTTATCTTAAAGAAAATTAGAAAAGAAATACTGATTATACAACGTTCTAATTTTTTTCATATCACCCTACCCCAAGAATTTGTTTGAAATAAGTTATAGAAGGTTGTTAATTGACTGTACTTCACAGCACAGATTAACAGCATCATAACGGAGCCATGCCCTTAGTATCCAGAGTGTCTTGTTGGCCTGAGACCTATATGTGCTATAGGTTTCTCTCAGTTAACTTTCCGATTCTCTGGCCATAAAAAAGATTTTTTCCTCAGCCTATTTTATCTCAATACTAAAAATTTGCTTTGCTATAATAGTGTATTGCTCTTCTGTGCTCCCTGCCAGCTTTATGGGTTGTTTCCTACGGATTGTATTGAGTAATATGCTCCAGGCTGGCCTAGGAAGAAGGGAGATTCTAAACCTCTTTTTGTAATTATTAAATTCTTAGGTAAGAGAATCTGTGAAAACTTTTCACCTTTGAAGAAATGGCCCATTAATTTCCTTTATTTGATACAAATTTCAGATTTTCTCATGACCCTTTGCTTCCCCCCCCCATCTGTGATGCATAAAGATAATAATCCGTTAAAGTATTTCCTATTGATAGTCATTAAAATTCAGCTGTTTAACTTCCTTCTTTACATTCAGGCCACTAGATCAAACTTCTGTTTACCTGGTTTTATGAGAATAACGGTGGGAGTGCATTTGGTTTGTGTTCTTTTAGTGAATAGGAATGAATCATGATTATTTCTATGCTTAACTGATTTTCTTCTGAAAAAATAAATTTTTATGTAGTTTCACCAGGTGATATGGATCGGACACAAATTGAGCTTAATCCGTACCTCACATGTGTATTTTCAGGTAAGATTTTTACTTTAAAAGTTCTTGAACTTGGAGCTGTTCAGATTTTTTCATTTCCTGATGATTCTTTCTCTCATAATAATCAACACAGTAGAAATACTAATAGCAATTTTTAATTCTTCTGTAATATCTGTAAATTCACCCCAGGTTACAAACTCAGCTCTCCAAAAGGCGTAAGTTAGGGGACAGGAAAGAAAACCTATCGTTTCGCTTTGGAAAGTTTATAAAATGATGAATTAAAAGGCTGCAGGTGTGGTATTCAGAGCACTAAGGATAAGACTCGAGATAATTCCATCTGGGGGAGGTTATTTGTTGGGACAGGACAGTGTTTAAACTTTGAAGTCATTTTAAACAAAGTGAAGCAGCTGGAACCTGGCATAAAAAGAAACAGATCTTTCACATTAACGATTGCTTTTTAGAGGAAAAAATTGGAGTTGTTTTTACAGGTGTCGGAACATTTATTCTTCCTATAAGAACTGCTTTGTTTTTACCTTAAATTATAAATTTTAAAATAAGCATTTGTCAACTCATTTGAAAAATAAAAAAAGTAATAGGATTCATATGCCTAAAAGATATTTTGGGATAAGATCATTGTAACATTTTAAGTTACCCTTTCTAAAACATGAGTAAGGAAAGAAATGTTTAATAGTGACTAATTCTGGAAAGCAAAAGTAAATAAAATATTGCATACTATACTTAACATCAAATGATGAGGCACCTTCTTCATCAAGTCTTTCATTTATTCTCAAACACTGGGGCTATGATGTTGCAAATCTGTAGGACTGGGTTAAGTATGTGAGGAGAATTGAATACAGCAGGATAGTTTAGCAGCTGCTTACACAGGAATTGGAGCAAGAGTGGATGAGTCCAGGGTGTACAGGAAAAATGCTTCAAGAACTCAATAAAACACAGCTGAAATACTGTAACATTTTCACAGACAGCTGGGAAGCAACTGCATTGCTGGAACTCAGGGCTGATTTTAAAGACAAGATCTGGTCAGTGTGAATCTAAGCAAGCTGTTAGCAAAGAGAAACCACAGACTCTCTAGGTAGGAACAAATCAATTTGGTTCAGCAGTCATTTCAAGGTCCACTGTTTGCCCAGCATCATGCTGAGGCTTTGTAGAATGCAGAGGTAAATAAGACACAGTCACTGTCCTAGTGGAGCACATCTTTAATGGAAACAACAGACTTACAAGTTAGTAACAATAATACAAGGTGATAAGGTCACAGATACTTACTGTGTACCTGCTATCCTAGTCACTCAGAACACAAAGACTGTCAATTCCAAAGACTGTCCATGCCCTTAAGGAATGCATTGTCTGGAAGAAATGACAGATACATAAATAATTACAGTGCAGTCTGGTAAGTGCTGCAATCAGAATAAGACAGCCACAATTAACAGGAGAGGAACTAATATTTCACCACTATCACTGGAAAAACAATTCAGAGAATTGAATCCTACCATTCGTTACATAACTTATTACTCAGAATAAATTATAGTTTTTCTTTTACTTAGTTTTATAAATCTGACATCCAAAAACAGAAAACATAAAATTTCTTTATGAATTTTAAATATTTTTAAAGCAAAAAATTGGAATTTCAAATGTCAAAAACGTGTATTAAATTATGTCTCAGGAAGCTTCTAACGCATGGTCTGACTCCATGGCATGCCCCACTTAAATGCATGCCAGGTTAAATGACACACTGCAAACCCATGGAATCAAGGAATAGTCTTTTTTATAGACCTGAAAACAGCTGTTGAAACAATTACATCATAGAGTAATGACTTGACTGTGCAAATTTAAAAAGTCAAACTTTAAAAGCATCAAACTATATTTAATAGAGGTAGAAGATTTATATTTGCTTTCATGGTGATTTATTAAAATGTTATGTCTTTTCTTTAAAAAAATTAATTTTTTTATGAATGTTACCCTTTTCGCCTGTTCACAGTAATCTAAGTGATGCTTTTTTTAATGTTCCCAGTCTAAAGAGTTCTCTTACAAAGTTCTAAAACTGTGATTTAGCTTGTGTAAATGAATACTTTAAATAAAAAGTTTTCAGCCGGGCGCAGTGGCTCACGCCTGTAATCCCAGCACTTTGAGAGGCCGAGGTGGGCAGATCACGGGGTCAGGAGTTTGACATCAGCCTGACCAACATGGTGAAACCCCGTCTCTACTAAAAATACAATAATTAGCTGGGTGCGGTGGCACACGCCAGTAATCCAAGCTACTCAGGAGGCTGAGGCAGGAGAATCGCTTGATCCCGGGAGGTGGAGGTTGCAGTGAGCCAAGATCATGCCATTGCACTCCAGCCTGGGTGACAGAGCGATACTCCGTCTCAAAAAAAAAAAAAATTCCCAAAATATACATTAACAAATACCTTTTGATAAGATGGTACATTTTATTGCTATAACTTCTTGATTAAAACACAGTTAACTAGAGTTTAAACTAGCATAACTATTTAGAGGCCTTCCAGAGTGTACTCTCTCTTTCCCCACTCCCTCTTTTTTTCTTAATTGTATTTCAGTGAAACATTCTTATTCCTCCTTCTAAAGCAGAGTACCTTTTGCAGCCCACCCTGAGCCTCATTGCCTCTTAGATAGTGGCTTTCCAATTACATAAAAGTAAGAGCTGATATGTTTGTGTGCTTTCTATGTTCCAGCACTATATAAAACACTTTGTATGTATTATCTGGCTGAATCCTCATAAAAACCTCTGAAGTCAGCCGGGCGTGGTGGCTCACACCTGTAATCCCAGCACTTTGGGAGGCCGAGGCAGGTGGATCACGAGATCAGGAGATTGAGACCATGGTGAAACCCCGTCTCTACTAAAAATACAAAAATTAGCCGGGCGTGGTGGCGGGCGCCTTTAGTCCCTCGCAGCTACTTGGGAGGCTGAGGCAGGAGAATGGCGTGAACTCAGGAGATGGAGCTTGCAGTGAGCCAAGATTGCGCCACTGCACTCCAGCCTGGGTGACAAAACGAGATTACGTCTCAAAAAAAAAAAAAAAAGAAAAGAAACACCTCTGAAGTTGGTACTCATATTTTTTTTATAGTTGAGAAAACTGGGGTTCAGAGAAGTTACGTAACTTTTTCAGTCTCTTATTATTTTCTATCCCTCTTACCTTTTACCTATTTTTCTTTATAGTACTTAGCACTTCCTGTTATATTAGATGTTTATTTCCTTACTTGTCATTCATCCCCTAAACCCAACAGAATGTGTGGCCAGTGAGGTTAGACCCTTTGTTTTCTTCACTGCTGTATTCTCCAGAGTCTAGAACAGTGCCAGGCACATAGTAGGTGCACAGTTGATATCTGTTGGATGGATGGATGAGCTCAGCTCTGCCCTGTTCCAGAATCCATTCTCTTATCCCCTCTGCCTTTTACTCCTTCCCATACAGAAGCCTCACATCAGCAGTCTGGGTGGGGCCATTCCTAAGTGACCTGATTTGGACCCTACTCTTGATCTGTCATGAAGAGACTTGTGCTTAAAATTTCATCACCGCTCCCAAGTTTGTTGGTGTTCTTATTACTGCCTAGTCAGTCAACCAAATCTGTCATTTCAGAGTGAAACTTGGTTCTTTATAAGTACTAAGTCTCCATCCAAAATATCTTGACCCTATTTCCACTGCCAAGGATCATTAGTTCTTCTATGGACTATTTTTATAGATCCGTCTCCCGTCTCTCTATTTTCCACACAGCTATTAGGATGATTTTTACCTCTTTTTTTTTTAACTTTTATTTTAGGTTTGGGGGTACATGTGAAGAAGGTTTCCTGTATAGGTAAACTCGGGCTGTGGAGGTTTGTCATACAGATTATTTCATCACCCAGGTATTAAGCCTAGTACCCAATAGTTATTTTTTCTGCTCCTCTTCTTCCTCTCACCCTCCAGTCTCAAGTAGATCCCAGTGTTTGTTGTTTCCTTCTTTGTGTTCATGAGTTATCATCATTTAGTTCCCACTTATAAGTGAGAACATGCAGTATTTGGTTTTCTGTTCCTGCATTAGTTTGCAAAGGATGATAGCTTCCAGTTTCATCCATGTTCCTGCAAAAGACATGATCTTGTTCTTTTTTATGGCTGCATGGTATTCCTTGGTATACATGTACCACAGTTTCTTTATCCAATTTGTCATCCATGGGCATTTAGGTTGATTCCATACCCTTCCTGTTGTGAATTGTGCCGCAGTGAACATTTGCATATATGTGTCTTTATGGTAGACTGATTTATATTCCTCTGGGTATAAACCCAGTAATGGAATTGCTGGGTCGAATGGTAGTTCTGCTTTTAGCTTCTTTGAGGAATCATTATATTACTTTCCATAATGATTGAACTAATTTACCCTCCTACCAAGTGAATAAGTGTTCCCTTTTCTCTGCAACCTCACCAGCATCTGTTATTTTTTGGCCTTTTAATAATAGCCATTCTGACTGGTGTGAGATGGTATCTCATTGTGATTTTGATTTGCATTTCTCTAATGAGCAGTGATATTGAGCTTTTATTCATATACTTGCTGGCCTCATGTATGTGTTCTTTTGAAAAGTGTTCATGTCCTTTGGGGTTGTTTTTCTCTAATACATTTGTTTTAAGTTCCTTATAGATGCTGGATATTAGACCGTAGATTTGCTCAAATTATTCCTGTGGTCAAAATTTTTTGTGACTCCTTACTGCTTTCACAGGACTTGGCCCTGGCCTTGCTTATCTCACCATTTCTCCTATCCAAACAATATTTGATATCAGAATACTCAGAGTTCCCTTAACACATTAACTTTATCTTGACTTTATTTTGTTATTCTGTTTTCCTTCATTGCCTTCCCACCATCTTTTCAGTCCCAACTCAATGGCTACCTTCCACTTCATTTAAGTATTCCTATACATGTTTATCTCCTCTACTAGGTGATGAACTTCTTGAGGATGAGGACTCTGTCTTCTTCATCTGCATATGCTCTTAGCTCCATACATGCAGAAGATTCATATAGATGTTTAGTTAGTGCATATATGCTTTTGGAGAAGCCCACTTTAATGTCTCTGGGCCTCAGTTGCCTTGTCTGTTTCTGAGAATTACTGTTAGGATCAGATAATATGATGAAAACGTATTTACAAAATTTGAATTGTTATACAAATATAAGGCAATAACTGCAAGAAATGCTTACAGTGATTGAATTCAGTATGTTCCTTGAGACTTGGAAACTTCTAGGAGATCCCTCCACCCTAAAAAGTTATAGCTCTTATTACAACATTGAGCAATTTAATCTGTAATTTTATGCACAAAGTAGAAAACGAAGGTATATACAAAGTGGTTTTGTGAAATTAAATAACAGAGAAAAGAAGAGTATTTGGTATCACTGTTGTTTTTGGCAGATGCATAACTCAAGGAATGGATTAGAAGGTAACATTAAGTTGTTTGTATGAGTGGAAAATTAATTTGCCCTAGGACTTAGTTATATCCAGTGTTAGTTTTTACTTTATTCATGAGGTGAGCTCTGATATTGGCTGCTTCCCTCAGTTATTTTGTGTATTCTGCATCATGGCTTTGTAAAATATAAGAATGTTTAAATATTATATATTATTAATGCTTGTGTCCTATACACATTTTTAAGGCCAGGCATGGTGGCTCACATCTGTAATGTCAGCACTTTGGGAGGCTGAAGAAGGAGGATCACTTGAGACCAAGGAGTTTGAGACAAAGGAGTTTGAGACCAGCCCCGGCATCATAGGGAGACCCTCCCTCTACAAAAAATTTTTAAAAATTAGCCAGGCATGGTGGTACATACCTGTGGTCCTAACTACTTGGGAGGCTGAGGTGGAAGGATCGCTTGAGCCTGTGAGGTTGAGGCTGCAGTGAGCCATGATCATGCCACTGCACTCCAGCCTAGGTGACAGAGCAAGACCCTGTCTCAAAAAAAAGATTTAAAAAATACAGTCTTTAGTGTCTATTCATTGCATTTTTATTACATCCTGACAAACTGAAAAGACTAAAATCTTTTCCTATTTGAAATATTCTATTTAAATTCACATAAAACTTGTTTTCTTTTTAAATACTATGGTATTATATTATAGTTTGTGATATTGCTGTAATGATACCAAATCTTATCTTCCTCTCTCTTTTTATAAAAAAATGAAATAGTAACAAAAAGGAGTGATACAGTATTTAAAATAGTCTTTATTAAATTTCCTTATATGAAAGGAATTTTCCTTTTACAAGTATTCTGAGCTTGGACAGCTATGATTGAGACATCATTAAAATCTCCAGAACTGTCTAATTATACTGTGGCCCCTATAAAAATTTAATGAAAAATTCTATGTTATTACTGTAGAAACTACTTGAAAAACATAAAGGGATTTTAGAAAAATTACTGTGACTCTTGTCTGAAATATGTCTTTAAGATTGTTTAAGGTAATTTATTTTTAACGTATTTATTATTCTTATGTCTATGGTAAATCCATGAAATTTTAAATGAGGATTTTTGTTTGTTTGTTTTAAATAATACCAAGTTGACAGTCTTTATATTCTTAGGCATTGTGCTTTAAACTTACAGGGGTGAATTTGGGTATAGGCAGATACATACACTTACGTAGTCAACTTTGAATTTTTTACATATTAATGAATTATTTATCCCAAACTGCCTGCCCTCTGCCACCAGCCAGCTTTCATATTAGACATTATAATATTGCTCTCAATCCATGAAGTGGGAATTTTTTTTCATATTTCATTAAATGTAGAGATAATGTCTACTTTACAGTAGAGAGAAAAGTCTATTTTACAGAGAAAAATGCTTTCCAAAGTCAAGTGTCAGTAATACTTGGATGACCACTGCAGTATGTTTTTCCTCTGACATTGCTAACCTTATATCACTTCTGTTGGCTAATAGCATAGCACCCTTAGGCACTCAGTAAATCATTATTAATGACATGCTCTTGAGTTTAAGAGTCCATTTTTTAGGAATAGGAGGAAGAGCAAAGTGCCTTGGCAACCTTTGACTTCAAATGCCTTTTACATGGCTGATATCTTACCTCTTTTAAAAAAAAAAAAAAAAGTTCTTGCTCTAACCACAAACCTTTAATTTCTGGCTATTATAGTGTTTTATTGCTCTCCTAGCTATTTACTTAATGGTAACAGTAGTAATAATGGCTATCTTTTAATGGTAATGGGAGCGCTTAGTTTTTGACCACTTACTGAGTGCTAAGCTCTGTTGTTGAGCTCTTCACTGACACTATTTTATCCTCACTATACTGTGCAAAGTAGGTACTATTATCCCATTTAACATATGGGAAACTGAACTTTTGAGTGGTAAAATAACTTGGTGACAGTCACACAGCCAGCAAGAAGTTAAGTCTGGATTTCAGAGACTAGGCCCTTAACCCGTTACATTTGATCTTACTTAGCATTTATCATCTGTATCACAACTTTTAGCTTGTATACTGATGTTGTCTCTGACTGATTAGGAGTGAGGGTGGAAAGGAGGAAGGTGTATTTTACCTCTCTGACAAGTTCTGAGCACCTTGGGACAAGAGAGTCCCTTGTAGGCAATCCTTATTTGGAATCCGCGCCCCCCCACCCCAACCTCATATTATTTCGCAAAGCATAAAGCACGTAAATACTCAGGTTACGCATGTTGAGCTGAATGAGCTTCTCCTTTGTGCAGGTGGGAAAGCAGTGCCACTCTCCGCTTCACAGATGCCCCCTGCCAAGATGTCAGTGATGCTGCCGTCAGTGAACCTCGAGGACTGCTCTCAGTCTCTGAGTCTCAGCACAATGCAGGAGGACATGGAGTCTTCGGGGGCAGATACCTTCTGAACGGGAAGAGACAGCCAGCACAGTGTTTATGCCACTGGTTTTAAAGTCATTTTACCTTGGCTTAAAACCCTCTCTCAGACTGTTTGGTTTTTGAGCATATTCTGAAAAAAAAATTCCAATATTTTAAAATAAAACAAAAAGCATAATTTGGGTATTTAAAGTTTTTAAATAAAATAAGTATAAGTCATTATAAGTCTGATTGTGAGTTGTTTCTTAGAATCCTGAGATAGCATAGAGTAGTGAAAGGGCATGGCTTTTGACATCTAGGCATTTAATCTATAGGTGTAATTATCTGTATGTATTTATAAAATTATGTAGCTCAAGGTTATTCATTCTAACATTTTTATAACAGCAAATAGAAAAAATCAAATGTCTATCAATAATAGACTGGTTTTAAAGTGATGGTACATCAGTACAATGGAATACTATGTATTACAAAAAAAAATTTAAAAAGTTTATTGATATGGAATAATCTTTGAGATGCACTGTTAAAGTGAAAAAAGCCATGTGCAAAATAGTGTGTGAACTATGCAGTTGTTGAAATTATTTAAAATGGGGTGGGGAGGAATTCAAATGTATGGTATGTCACATATTCTTACATGTATTTGCTTGTAAATATATTATATAAACAAGAAACTGCTAAGTTTGTCTCCAGGGAGTAGAATTGTTGGCTGGGTGATAGGAGAGGCTAAGTGATAGGAATCAAGGATAATCGTGGTTACTATGTATTTGAACTTCAGTTGTGATAGAAAAAAATCATCAGTGAGATTAATTTTTATATGCCTTATGTATACCATATAAACCTTTATAAACCTGTGAAACATGTAACTCTATTACCTTTTGCAACATAAATACATAAAATTAAAGGAAAATAAAAAGCATTGCTTCGTAATCAGATACATGTAGGTTCTAATCCCAATTCTGTAACTTCTTGCTTTGTGATAGGGGCCAACGAAACGCCTTCTTATCAGCTGTTTCAGATTAATGGGTTTAATACTTATTTTTGCAGAATAATGGACATCAGTGATTGTGTGTGGAGATGGGGGTGGGTAGTGCCCAGCACAGTGCTTGATACCATGTAAGTGCTCAATAAATGGTGTTGTTCTTATTATCTTGAGGGATTTCAGTACTGTATAGTAGAGGGCATAAGCACATGAAAAGAAAGGCAGCCTAGCACTAGTGAAAAAAATTTACCTCCCAGAAAAATCATTTTCTGTCACAACTGAATTTCAAACACACAGTAATTACAGTCATCCTTGACTTTTTCAGCATTTTTGTAGGTTGCTAAGTGGATCTCAGCACTGGCAGCACATTAGAACCTCTGGGAGCTTTAAAAAATACTAATGCCTGGGCCTTGTACCAAGGGATTTCAATTTAATTGATCTTGGATGGGGTCCAGCATTGGTATTAAAAAAAAAAAAAGACCTTTTCAGGTAATTTTAATGGGCACTCAAGGCTGAGAATTACTGAAGAGCAATTTAGAATTCCTTAAACTTCTAGTAGGAGCCATTGCCTGGGGATTTTTTTTCTCACTGAACATAGAAGCTGCAAGAGTCTATGGAAACTCAGAAATGTGTCAGCCTTCCACATGCACTTCCTCACAGCTTCTCTCAGGTATTTGGTTACTGGAATGTTTTAGGTTTCACTTTAGAACCCGTTTTCTTTGATATGGCCCTTTGGACAGTTCTGCTTATAACAGTTTCCTTTAAACAAGTGGAAGAAAAATTCTGCTCTGTGGATTTTAATTTGTTTTTGATATTCATCTACAAGACTCTGGGCAAGGTGAAAGCTGGAGAAATGTTGCTTAGTGCTGCTTCATTTTAAACATGACACCCCACCCCCCAACCTTGGTTTCTGGTTTTCATAGTTTTTTCTGCCTTGGAAGGATTTCAGCAAAATCTTGTTTTAGTTAAAGCATTTTTTATTTAAAGGTGTTGGTAGATTTTTCCTCCTAACCATAGAAAGCCTGCCTTTTCTAACTTTAGGGTAGAAGTGTAATCTTTGATTTATTCTACTCCCTGTGCACGTGAGCTTTTCTTTTAAAAAAAATTAGTGTCCATTCGACGGTTTCTTTTTTTTTTTTTTGAGATGGAATTTTGCTCGTTGCCCAGGCTGGAGTGCAATGGCACAATCTTGGCTCACCGCAACCTCTGCCTCCTGGTTTCAAGCGATTCTCCTGCCTTAGCCTCCTTAGTAGCTGGGATTACAGGCGTGCGCCACCATGCCCGGCAAATTTTGTATTTTTAGTAGAGATGGGGTTTCTCCGTGTTGGTCAGGCTAGTCCTGAACTCCCGACCTCAGGTGATCTGCCTGCCTCAGCCTCCCAAAGTGCTGGGATTACAGGCGTGAGCCACCGCGCCCGGCATTCATCTAGTATTTTGTTTTATAGGATTATTTCTGTTCATGGTTACTCCTGTACACATTCCTCTGCCAACCACTTCAGATTCTTTTGGAATAAGACGATGTACGTAAAAACAAACTAAATGGAACTTTTGATTTTATAAGCTTTAAAATTTTTATTTTATATTAAATTTTACAATTTCCAACTTCCGGAATAAACTATTTATGAGACATGCTATTAAGAGACTATCAAGATCAAGGCTGTTACTATTGCTGGGCTGTGACTGGACACGGTGGCTCATGCCTGTAATCCCAAGACTTTGGGAGGCCGAGGGTGGATCACTTGAGCTCAGGAGTTTGAGACCAGCCTGGGCAACATGGCAAAACCCATCTCTACCAAAAATACAAAAAATTAGCTGGTCATGGTTGCACACACCTGTAGCCCCAGCTACTCAAGAGGGTGAGGTGAGAGGATCGCTTGAGCCCAGGATGTCAAGACTGCAGTGAGCCGTGGTTGTGCCACTGCACTCCAGC
Organism: Homo sapiens; assembly: GCF_000001405.40. Classification (NCBI taxonomy): domain Eukaryota; kingdom Metazoa; phylum Chordata; class Mammalia; order Primates; family Hominidae; genus Homo; species Homo sapiens. The sequence continues at coordinate 58,550,807 of NC_000014.9, forward strand.
CTGGGTGACAGAATGAGACCGTGTCTCAAAAAAAAAAAAAAAAAAATTGCTGAGCTATCATGCCTTAACACTAGGTAACGTGTTTAAAATGTTCCTTTCTGCTGGGTGCGGGTGGCTCACACCTGTAATCCCAGCACTTTGGGAGGCTGAGGCAGGCAGATCACCCAAGGTTAGGAGTTCAAGACCAGTCTGGCCAACATGGTGAAACCCCATCTCTACTAAAAATACAAAAATTAGCCAGGCATGGTGGCGTGTGCCTGTAATCCCAGCTACTTGGGAGGCTGAGGCAGGAGAATTGCTTCAACCCAGGAGGCAGAGGTGGCAACGAGCTGAGACTGCACCACTTAACTCCAGCCTGGGCAACAGAGTAAGACTCTGTCTCAAAAATAAATAAATAAATAAATAAAATGTTCCTCTGTTTTAAATCCTAAATTCGTTCTTTGTATACTTTAATAGAATCTTGAATAAATATTTTTATTCTTAGAAGATTATTTCAATATGTTTCTTATTGCTTACAGATTTCTGGTTCCTTGATAACTTTAAAATGCTAAACATATATCTTAAGATCTTTTATTGTTTTTCTATTAACTCAAAACATTTTAAAAATAAGTAAAGTAGCATTTTTAAGTTCATAGTGTATTACCACCCCCAATCAAAAAGTAATTCTGTAACTGGCAGGGCGCAGTGGTTCACACCTGTAATCCCAGCACTTTGGGAGGCCGAGGCAGGTGGGTCATCTGAAGTCAGGAGTTCGAGACCAGTCTGGCCAACATGGTGAAACCCCGTCTCTACCAAAAATACAAAAATTAGCCAGATGTGGTGGCGTGTGCCTGTAGTCCCAGCTACTTGGGAGGCTGACTGAGACAGGAGAATTGCTTGAACCCAGGAGGCGGAGGTTGCAGTGAGCTGAGATTGCGCCACTGCACTCCGGCCTGGGTGACAGAGTGAGACTGTCTCAAAAAAAAAAAATTATTATTATATAATTGAAATATACTTATCTTTTAAAAGATGTCCTGATGCTGTGGTATTTCCTTATATGTGAGTAACTTGAACAATAATGGAGAGTACAGTCCTTAATATTTCTGCGATGTTACTAAGAGAAAACTCACTGAAGCATTCTTTTCTATCATATATCCATATGTGCATCTGTTTAACAAACATGAAGTATGAAGGACATGGGGTGTACAGTGTGGCGTGGATCCTCAGGGGGAGGCTGGGCAGTCACCTCAGGATTTGTCATTCCTGCTTTTGGTCATATGCCTCTCCTGGAGGACAGAGATTAACCATAAGAAATTCTGTCTCCCCCTAATATGGAATCCTCATTTGATCATTAAACATCAGTTGCACAGTAGTTTTTGAAGACTCTATTAGAAATGCACTAGAGAAAAGCCAATTTTCTAATGAGAAATCTGATCATTATTGTTCAGGGAATTTCATGAAGGCAGTGTTTTTATTTGACCTAGGTAGGAGAATGAGGGGTAGATTTTAAGTGTCAGACTGTCAAATCTTTGAGAATCATCAGCCTGTGTCTGTATTCTTTTTAAAATAATTTTTTCTTCTTGTCCTGAAGTGTTTACCTGGAAACAATAGGAAATATTAGCCAGAGTACAGATGCCCCCTTATGAGGCCTGTAAATATTGTAAAGCTATTTGATGGTCCTCTAATTACCAAGACAGCAAGCAAATCAGAGCTCTTTTTCTGGGTCTTTATAGTATGAATGGTGACATTTATAATTTCAGCCATAGTGAGGAATAAGTTATTGATACATCTCTGGAATTCAGGGACCCCTAACCAAAGTTAAAACCCTCAAGCAGTTCAGTACGCTCCTACCATCTCCTGGGAGTTCACTAACGAGACTTCTGAAGAGACCCAAATGATGAGACTGAACAGGACTTAAAATCTTCAAAGGAGCTGGTAAGGAGTCTATGTACCAGGAATACATGCACCCCAGGAGTAGTTCTCAGTATACATAGAGGTCACAGGTAAAGAACAGGCCCACTGGCCCCATAATTAATATATATGTAAAGAGTTGAAAGTGTATGTCTTTTTCCCAGAATTATGAAGATAAACTATTTGAGTTGGCATCTTGTATCCTATTTTTCCTGAACATGGACATTTTTCTATTTTTTACAAGGTGCTACATTATAAGTAAATATGTAAATTGTAATATAAGAGGTATTTCTATCATCAGGATAGTTGTATAGGATTGCTTGTCAAGCTTGATAAGTAATTTTATTTCCTTTGGTCACATTCCCCAATAGTCGGACGGGTTATAAAAGTACCACGGACACTCGAGGTAATTTAAAATGTGATTGGGTTGACTTTTCTCTCCAGATAAAATATCGACTGTGTGTAGTTTTATGTAATTACAACAACAGCCTGAGTAGCTGAGTCTAGAGATATTTGTGGTATGCTCTAAAGTATATAGAAGATGTTCAGATCTTAAACTTGGTGGATTTGTTTGCTAGCATTAAGCAGAGGTATTCCTATGATTTGAGTGTTGCCTGGAGCTAGAAATGGATAACAGGTCCAGAAAGAGGCAGGTTAGCAGATGAAGCTATGGTCTCTCATTCTTAAAAACAAGGTAGTGGAAACGTATTTTGCTTCAAAAAAGGAAGGAGAAAAAAATGAAAAGTAGAGTCATAGAAAAGGAAAGCAATAGCTTTTAGTTACACAGCAATTTTACACGGGAGTCAGTTCATTTGATTGGGCATAACAAAAATATCTGGGTTTTTTTTTTTTTTCATTGTCTTGGGTGGAATTTGCACTTACAAAGCTGTCTGCTTGACCTGAAGATCTCAGGTAAGCTGTTTGTGCCTTGAAACCAGCTTCTGGAGGCTTGTTGGTTAGCCTCAACTTGCGGTCACTCATGGGAGTAGAAGTCCATTGGTTTTAGTTGAAAGTTCATTTTCATTATGACACATGTAACTGTGGGTCAATTGTAGCTGTTGTCAAGAGGACCTGAAGTGGCTCATTCCAATAACGTTCTAATGCATTTTTGTGTCTGTGTCAATTAGCATTTTCTGTAGGACAAACCACCCCAAACTAAGTAGCTTAAAACAATCATTTATTTACTCATGATTTTGGGGATGAGCAATTTGGGCTGGGCTCAACTAGGACAACTTTGCTTTGCTCCACATGATGTTGTCTGACCCTCACACATGAATTTACACTCAATTGATAGTTGATGGCCTCACATATCTGGTGGTTGCTGGCTGTTGGCAGGGAAATGGAGGTAACTGGGTCATGTGTCTCTCATTATCCAAGAGGCTAGCCCAAGTCCATTTATGTGATGTTGATCTGAGAGTGCCTATGAGCAGTAAGAGAGGGCGAGCTTCAGTATGCAAGCAGCGTTCAAGCCTCTGCTTGTGTCATATTGCTAATGCCTTGTTGCCCAAACTAAGTCATATGTCCAAGCCCAGACTCAAAGAGTAGATAATTAGACTGTATTTCTTGGTGGGCAGATTTGTATAGTCGCATACTAGGGAACATGCATATGGAATGGGAAGAATTTGTGGCCACTTTTGCAACTTAAAAAACATTGATTTCTCTTCTAGTGGAACTGGTCACTGAACTAGAATTCATATAAAGGTTTGAGTGATGCCTCCTTTGGAAAGGCGGCTTGTACCTACTCTGCACAAAACCATATGCTAATGAGCTTCTGACAGTATTTAGCTAAATCTGCATGTGACAAAAAATAGTTCTTGGTAGAGTTATTCCTAACCACATAGGGCATGCTATAAATGATGTCCTAGAGAGAAAATCTGCATGAGCTCTGAGGAGGTAGTCTTGTGGCCATTAACACTGGTGGCAAAACATTAGGCTAAGGCAGATTAGGGATTTTTGATACTTTAGACCTGGAGTCAGCACATTTTCTCAGTAAAAGGCCAGATAGTAAATCTTCTTGGCTTTGAAGGCCTCATGTGGTCTCTGTCACATAGTCCATATCCATCTTTGTTTTTTCTATAAACTTTTAAAATATGTAAGAAAAATTTTTTAGCTCATGGACCGTATGAAAAGACTTCAGGCCAGATTTGGCCCATGGGCTGTAGTGTGCCAGCCCCTGATTGGGACAGCTTTTGTTTCAGCACCTCCATTTGTTCTTTTTTTACCTTTCCTGAATGGAGAGTAGTTTTTGTGTTAGGAGAGAAATTCTGCAGAATCCTATAGGACTGTTATGGTGAAATGAGTTCCACAGTCACTGAATAGAAGTAGGAATTCCCTGTATTGGGAACACAAAGTCTAGCAATGTTTTCTTTCTGAAACATCTGTAGATTTCTTTTTCTTTCTTTCTTTTTTTTTTTTTTTTTTTTTGAGACAGTCTTGCTCTGTCGCCCAGGCTGGAGTGCAGTGGCACAATCTCGGCTCACTTCAACCTCCGCCTCCCAGTCTCAAGCAATTCTCCTGCCTCAGCCTCCCAAGTAACTGGGATTACAGGGCCCCACCACCACGACTGGCTAATTTTTGTATTTTCAGTAGAGACAGCGTTTCACCATGTTGGTCAGGCTGGTCTCGAACTCCTGACCTGAAGTGATCTACCTGCCTCAGCCTCCCAAAGTGCTGGGATTACAGGCGTGAGCCACCGCACCTGGCCCATCTGTAGCTTTTCATCAAGGAACAGGTTCTATCCATCCTGATAACAGACTACTACTAATATATATTTATAACTTAATGACCTGGATAGTTGCATAAAACCCATTTGTAAATTCTGAAAGGGCTTTGAGGAGTTTATTTTGTTTTACCTTTTCGGTTATAACTGGGTTATGTTAGTTATAGATGAGACATTATTCTACCACTTCCTGATCGAATTTTGATTTTTTTCATTATTTATTTACCATGGAGCTTAATTTGATTCTTTCATGATGCAAAAAATCATGGGTCAAGTTAGCATCCATTTGATGGATCATGCCACTCCCAGGCTGCTGTCAGAGACTGCCAGCACCCAGCTTTATGAAGAAAATGTCTCTGTAACTGCCAATATTGTTTCTCAGAAGGCTGGATTGATTGTTATGAGCCAATTATAGCTTGTCTAAATTGAGACAATTTTCCTTCCAAGTGGGGATAGATGTCAATTTGATGGAACTCTTTGTAGTTGGGGTAATAAAAGCTACTTGTTTAGCATTTGAGCTAGCAAAGGCATTGTCATTGGTTTTCAGTGTAGTAGTTTGTGAGTTTCTAACTTAACTGACACATATTTTTCATATTGAATAGCTTATAATGCATTTTCAATGTCTTTACCATTTTTAGTAGTTTTAGTGTCTTTACCATTTTCAATCAGAGTAACTTAAAAAGTAAAAATATCCACTTTGTTTCTTTAACATCCCACAGTTATGAGCAATTCCAAATGCATATCTACTGTCTGTTTAGTGTTTACAATTTCTTCTTTGCCAAAGTGCAAGACCAAGTCAGAGGCATTCATTCATCCACTTGGGCAGACTGAACATTAGCCCATGGAGCAGCTTTGATAGCTGCATGTTAGGTATCAACAGAGTATTCTGTACAGAAAATGCCTTTGTTATTTTAAGGTAAGTCATCTACAAATAGTATTAAGTCAGAATTGACTAAGATTTGATCTGGGCATTCTTGTGTGTTTAGTTTTTACTTTCTACTGCAAATATAATTTATATAGTGAAGTACTAATCTAGTGGAGAGCTCAATGAATTTCTACTTTTGTCTATACATACCTGTGTAATAGCTCCCAAGTAGAACTACAACACTTCCTAGCAACCCAGAAGGTTCCCTTGTGCCCCTTTCCTAGTCAATACACACCCCTCTTCCCCCAGAAGTAACCACCATTCTGACTTCTATCACCATCAGTTACTTTTGTTTATTTTTGAATTTCATGTAGGTAGAATTACAGAGTATGTACTCTTTTTTCTAGTTTCTTTTGTAAGTATAATATCTGTGATATTCATATATATTTTTGTAGTTTTTGTTTGTTTGTTTGTTTGTTTTTGAGACGGAGTTTGGCTCTTGTTGTCCAGGCTGGAGTGCAATGGCTCGATCTCGGCTCACTGCAACCTCCACCTCCTGGGTTCAGGCGATTCTCCTGCCTCAGCCTCCCTAGTAGCTGGGATTACAGGCATGTGCCACCACGCCCGGCTAATTTTGTATTTTTAGTAGAGACGGGGTTTCTCCCTGTTGGTCAGGCTGGTCTCAAACTCCTGACCTCAGGTGATCCGCCCACCTTGGCCTCCCAAAGTGCTGGGATTACAGGCATAAGCCACCACACTCAGCCAGTTCGTTGTTTTTTATGGCTGTGTGGCATTCCATTGTGTGACTATACCACAATTCATTAATTAATTCTACTGTTGATGGACATTTGGGGTGTTACCACTTTCTGTTATGAATAAAGCTGCTATAAATATTGCTGTGCATTTATTTTAGTAGACAGATGGACTGATTTGTCTTGGATGCATTTCTGGGTAATAGGGTAGGCATGTGTTTAGTAGGAGCTGGGCATTCTTAATCCCCCAGGTACCACAGTCATGGATTCCTCCTTATATAGAAGAGGGAGTCAATGGTGGGTTTAAAATCTTAATGATGTGCAATTGTGAGGTGGACAGTGGAAGGATTTCATCATCAGTGAGGCAGCTGACAGAGAAATGCTGAGTGCTGCCTAGAAGTAACAGGGACTGCACAGTATGTGGAATGCAAAAAGCTGGTGCAGCAGTAAGCGCTAGTCAGCCTGCTGCTGGAGCTCTGACCACTGAGCTGCTGCACCCCGCCGGTGTAGGCAGGGAGAGTACATTGTAGCCACCAGACCGAGAGATTTCAGAGAGCCAATAGACTACTGGTGTGAAGCTTCTCTCAGCCCAATTAATGCTAGGCAGGGAGAGTACATTGTAGCCACCAGACTGAGAGATTTGTTCAGAGAGCCAATACACTACTGGTGTGAAGCTTCTCTCAGCCAAATTAATGCTCCTATTAGGCAGCTTTGTCTTTCCTCTGTTTGGCATAGTTAGGGATATACAAAGTGTAGAGTTGCTGGGGGAGACCTTCAGAGAGAGGAAGACTTTTTCTGCCTTTTCATCCCATGTGAGGGGTCTGTAATCATGTCTTAGAAAGCTCTTGTAAGGGCAATCCTGAGAAATCTTTTTTTTTTTTTTTTTTTTTTTTTTTGAGACAGGGTTTGCTCTGTTGCCCAGGCTGGAGTGCAGTGGTGTGATCTTGGCTCACTAAAACCTCCACCTATCGGGTTCAAGCAATTCTCCCACCTCATCCGCCTGAGGAGCTGGGACTACAGGTGCGTGCCACGATGCCCAGCTAATTTTTTGTATTTTTAGTTGAGACAGGGTTTCACCATGTTGGCCAGGCTAGTCTCAAATTCCTGGCCTCAAGTGACCCGCCCGCCTTGGCCTCCCAAAGTGCTGAGATTACAGTGGCAAGCCACGGCACCAGGCCCTGAAAATCTTAATTGCCTTTGATTTTGGGAGCTTAGATAAAATGAAATAGTTTTCATTCTGGAGGATAACAGAGAGTATCTGCCTACAGACTGATCATACCCAAAATCATGTCATTTCAAATTTTGTAGATCTTTTGAAATGATGTAGTTAGAAATTTTCAGGTAGAGTTGTAACTTTTCAGTTGACATTTTATGTCCCTTTTCTGCCAATTTCATTAAGAAATAATTGAAGTCTTATAGCAGGAGAACACAGCAATAAATTGTTGTATAAGGGTGGATCTTCATGGAATACTTAGATCCTTAAGATCATTTACTTAGACATTGAGAAAAATATGAAGGTGATTTCACAGGTCCTCAAGTCTGATGATTTTTGCATATGAAACAAGCAAGCACTGAATCTCTTTAACTACTGGCTACTAAAATAAAGCTGCGTGTTTACACACTGCCATAAAACATTGACTCATGGAGGGAATGGAAGACAAGATAGTATTTGGGTAGGAAACACTGGGAATCTAAGAATCATAATTCTATTGATTGCTCTGAGGTTTTAAACAAATCTATAGTCTTTCCCGTTAGGTTTATTAATCAGAAATCTGAGCATTGCAAGGACCGGTACAAGTAGAAGTAGTCCTTGTTCTTAACAGCAACAACAACAACAATAGAATGGATTGGCCCCTGATATCTCTTCAGGTTTGAGTAAGTCTTAGGTAATTTAGACAGGAATTTATAAGGATCAATCTGAATCTTAGTAGGTCAGCATAAATAAGCACAGTTCTTAGCCTTTGGATGCGGTCCTTATTCTTAAGCTATAGTCCTAAGGTTTCAGTGGAATATTCAAGTTGTTTACCAAGCCCTTCTAGATTGGAAGGACATGAATCCTAAACTCTGTCCTTCCAGTATCAGGGAACTGTTGACATCTCTTTCAGGCTTCCAGGTGTTGCTTTCCACTGGATTCCTTGGATTTTCACCCAGCACATGTGCAGTTCACCTATTAGCTAAGAATTTGAGAGAGTCTGTATGCAGATATTGGGGATCCCCCCATCTGTAGCTCTCTTCTTTATGCGATTTTTCTGCTCAATTTTTAGCCTTTCTGGGAGCTCTGGATACTTGTTCTGACCTCCAAGCCCAGCAACACTGTCACTGCTGCATGAGTGTGTCATCCATGCACACAGGCAATGGGAAGTGCCCTGGATAAATGTGGATCTCACCAACTGTGTTCCTCCTTTCAAAGTGTAAGTATTCTCAGTTTCTGCTTGCTTTTGGTCATTCTCCAGTGCTTTCAAACAACTGGTTTTTATATTTTGTCCAGAGCTTATAATTGTTACTGGCAGGAGGGTTAGTCTGGCATAAGGAATTTCACCATTCCTGGCAGCTGGAATAGAAGCACATTTTCATTTTTAAACCTTATTCTCCTTCTTTCTCTTTCCTCTGTCCATCACCAATCTTTCCACCACTGGCCCTGGCCTGAGAAGCCTTGGGAACTCAGTAACAAGAGAGGAGCAGAATAGGATGTCAGGATGAAGAGGTAGCTCAAGAATTTAGAGAATAAAGATGGTTTCCCGCTGCCTGTAAACCTCTCATCAATGAGATCATGAAATACAAAAGGAGTGGTTCCAAATCTGGCTGTGGAGCATTTAAAAACTAAAATGGACAGGCCCCAGCCGGGCGCGGTGGCTCACGCCTGTAATTCCAGCACTTTGGGAGGCTGGGGCGGGCAGATCATGAAGTCAGGAGTTTGACACCAGCCTGACTAACATGGTGAAACCCCGTCTCTACTAAAAATACAAAAATTAGCTGAGCATGATGGCACGCGCCTGTAATACCAGCTACTCGGGAGGCTGAGGCAGGAGAATCGCTTGAACCTGGGAGGCGGAGGTTGCAGTGAGCTGAGATTGTGTCACTGCACTCTAGCCTGGGCAACACAGCAAGACTCCATCTCAAAAAAAAAAAAAAAAAAGATGCACAGGCCCCACTCCATACCCACCAAACCAACAGCTGGTGGGAGGGCCCAGGTGATTCTGATGGTTAGCTGGGATTGGGAACCATTACTAGAGGACAGGAAACTTCACATGTTTCTTGAGTGAACAAATGAATGAATGCATATGCACAGCTGAGTAATGGTGAGATCATTCACATGGTAAAATTGCCTCCTCTTTCACAGGCTGGTTCTCATGTATGCCGGATTGTTGAGGACTTGTCTGAGAGCTGTGGAAAGTATCAGCTGAAGTGCATTTTGACACTGATATATGATGTCTTACTTCACAGGAAATAGTTCAGGAACAGCCAGGAAGTCTGAAGTCCATTGAAAATGTGTTAAATGCGAGGTGTCCTGTGAGGTTTCTCAATCTCTCAGCAGTCTTGAAATTTGTTTCTCGTTGTTTCAGTTTATATGAGCCTGAAAAAGGCCTTTTATTGTCTTGCATCTGTCACTTAAAGATGTCCTTAACTCAGGAAACAAACCTCACTTATCTTTAGCAGTGTTTTACTTGGATCAAAAAGCAGCTGAATTCAAATGCTTTATGATACCTGAAAAATAACACCCAGAGGTACCGTTCTAAAGTGACTCTGAAATCCTCCCCTTTTAATAAGAATCTTTCTCCTTTGGGAGCTAATTTTTTGAGGCAATAATCTGGTTCTTGGCATTAAACTAAGATTCTTTTATCATTATATGTTGTAAACAAAGCTCTTGCTTGTAAGATGAATGTACGACAAGTTTCAGGGACTTTAAACTTCCCAATAAGAAAAGGGGCATATAGTTCCCAAAGAATTAACAGCCTCATTCTGTTGCTGAATTAAAGGCCTGTGGGTTAGGGCAGGGAGACTGTCCACAGAAGGGCTTATATAGGAGTGATGGAATGTGGTTCCCATTTTCCAAGTGCTAAAGTTGACAAGTTGTCCCCTAATAGATTTTTAGAAAGTACATCATTATATCATCACTTTCACTGCATGATTATTGCAGTCACATTAATCCACAGAGAAAGCGTGTGTGTGTGTTGAGATTTTTCTCTTCTGAAGCACAGTCAATAAACAGTTTTGGTTTTAGTTGGTTTTCCTTTTTCTTGCTATACATTTACATCTGGATTTCTCTTTTAAAATATAATTCCTCCAAAGCAGCGATGAAGATTTTAAAGAAAAAATGAACATCTAGTGCAAGACCATAGTCTTTTAATACACAGAAGGGTTTTTTTGATACTCATTAATGTTAATTGCATGCACTAATTTGTAGCCTTGTGAAATCACAAATTATATAAGTAGAGTTAGAATTGGCCCTTCTTTGCCACCTATTTTTCCAATAGGAAAACAAGATAAGAGAACATCTATTTGGAAACTTTATTAACATACTTTCTTTTTTCATTTTAGAGTTTTCTAAAGCTTTTGCCGAGTATTATTATTTTATTTAATTATCCACCTAGGATGAGAATTAATTAAGATATAGAGAAGTGAGGTGAGGCTGAAATGTGTCCTGGGTAACCAAAGAATTTTAAATGGATACTTTAAACTCAAATTGCATTGTTCCTTTTCACATCTATATGAACATAAAGTTTCATGAAAGGGCCCTTAAATTTCCTGTTTCATGGGAGTCTTCCTTCATTTCACTTTTTTTTCTTTTTCTCTTAGAATGCTAAATAGCCTCCTCCTCTGGAGACTAAATTAGATGCATCTTGAATTCATTTCGTACACAAGAAATCTTTTTCTTCCCCATAAGCCGTCAGTACCATTTATATTTTAAATGAAAGGCAACCCTTTTCATGAAGGAGGGACTCCAACTTTCCTTGGGAATTATCTAAACAAAGTCACGTGTCTCCTTTTCTCTGTTCCATCTTCACATGAGAAAGCATAAATCATGTAACCCAACAAATAAACACAATTGACATGTTATTTCTTTTTCTATAGAGACATCAGTTCTTTAATCTCCTATTTCTTGTAAGCAGGCCTGCTTTGGGGGACTGAAATCCTAATGTATACACAATGGTATTCTGTAAGTAAGAAAGAAACTCTAATGGAACTCTATGTTAGAGAAATTTAATGTAACATGACTATATGAATACCTCTTGCTGTTTTGCTTCTCTCATCCCATTTAGCTATAAAAACCAGAAAGCATTCCTGCTGAAAGGAAAGGAACAGCTAGCTAAGAGGAAAAATCTAACCGTAAAGTGCTGGCAATGCTCGGTGCCAAGAACCTGAGACTCTCTTTTTTTAAGCATGATGTTGTATTGTGAAGGTTTTATAAGAAGTTAACTTTAACCTATTAAAAAAAAGAGTGATTTGGAAATAAAGGAAAAGGAGCAATTTTGCCCCCTTATTCCTCTCTAGTATAAACAAGGTATGAGGCTAATGCTTTCTTGGCATAACATGAAACTCTGAACTAACAAAAGAGGTGTAATTAAAGCTCACCTGGCCTCAGAGGTCTTCTTTCCATAAAAGTTAAGCCATAATGGCTGGCACTCCGTGGCCAAGATTGGCCCGAGTTATTGGCTGTGACTTTCAATTGGTACAGAGTAGTTCAAAATAAAAGTCATTAAAACAAGTGGTGGAGGCCTCAGAGAGGAGCAGCTGGGGGAGCCCATTTATGTGTCTGTTTCAGGGATGAGATAGGGGTCGGCTTGTGTGAATGTTGGGTTTGTGAGCCTCTTAAGGCAACTCAGGTATCTCTTGGAGTCTGTTTGAGAAAGGCCAAGAAAGTGAACTTTTTTCCCAAAGAAAATTAATTTTGCTGTGATTTTTTTCTTGTTTCCTTTAGTCCAAGTGAATTCCCAACATTCAGCCCACAGGGTGCAGGCAGTGCAGCAAGGCATTCTGGGACTGAGGTTGGGTATGGCAGCTGCACAGATAATGGCTAGGAGGGCCCAGGTGCTTACTGTGGAATAAATGAATCTTTCCATCACCGGTAAATAAGATGAAGTCTTTCCCAGTCCAAGTCCCAGGCAATAGATGGTAGGTATGCCTCCATTCCAAAATGAGTTGCTGGAAAACTAACAGGGGTCTACAAATGGCATAATGATGACCAGAAGCCCGACACCCACCTCAAACACAGAAAAGGCTGCCGCTGGATAGTAGAGAGAATTTCTTGGAGGAGGGTTGGCTTGTGGTGGCCAGTTTGATAGAGCCCAGTGGAAGGAGCAGCAAGAAGACCACTTGGAGAGCTTGTGCCCCAAGAGTTTAAGGACCCACTAGACTGTTGTCTCAGGAATCTAAAGATGAGATGCTATGGCTATTCCCCTGAAGCAGCAGGGTGGAGAGAGTGACAGCATCTTTGCAGCTTAGGAATTTGCCACACATCCCACCGAGAGGGAGAGGAAGATGCAAGAGTAAGTGTGAGCTTTTTTCTTGGACCAGAAGTGGGTAATGTGAGAGGCAGCCCTGCTAGAGATATTTAAAATCTGCCCAATGGCCTGGAACAGTGGCTCATGCCTGTAATCTCAGCACTTTAGGAGGCCGAGGTGGGAGAATCTTTTGAGGCCAGGAGTTCGAGACCAGCTCAGGCAACATCGGGAGACCACCCCCCCCTCCAACCCCCACCCCATCTCTACAAAATGATTTAAAAATTAACTGGGTTTGGCAGTGTGTGCCTGTGGTCCCCGCTACTCTGGATGCTGAGGCAGGAGGATCGCCTGAGCCTGGGAGGTCGAGGCTGCAGTGAGCTGTGATCATGCCACTGCCCTCCAGCTTGGGTAACAGATCAAGATCTGGTCTAAATAAATAAAATCAGCCCAAGAGGACTGCCTAGAGGGGTGAAGTGAACCCGACCAGGGGTTGGACCACTAAATTCCCTGGGGCTGAAGAAAGAAATAAAACAGCCAGAGGGAAATGCATTACTCATGTTAAGACAATCATGGTATAATTTTTTGTTTTTTTGCCATGTCTATAGCAAGAATGAAGGCCATTCTCAGTAATGAATGTTGACATCACTCTGAAAGGGATGAACAGTTATTGTGAAGAGCTCCAGAGGAACCCTGCAGAGGGACTTCAATCACAATATGACTGTAGAACTCAGTCTTCTTGGAAAGAAAAAGAAGAGGCTCTGGGTTGACAAATGGTAGGAAAATAGGAACTGGCTGTCATTCACACTCTTTGTAGTCACGCACAGAACATGATCAAGGGTGTTACACTGGGTTTCCGTTACAAGGCAAGCTCTGTGTATGCTCAATTCCCCAACAACGTTGTTATCAGGAGAATGGGTCTCTTATTGACATCCAAAATTTCTTGGGTGAAAAATACATGAAAGGGGTTTGGATGAGGCCGGGTGTTGCTTATTCAGTATCTCAAGCCCAGAAAGGTGAGTTAATCCTTGAAGGAAATAACATTGAGCTTGTTTCAAATTCAGCTGCTTTGATTCGGCAAGCCACAGCCGTTAAAAACAAGGATTTCAGAACATTTTTGGATTGTATCTGTATTTCTGAAAAACAAAACAGTTCAACAGGCTGATGAATAAGACCCAAGAGTTGTCCACCTACAGAAATGAGATGCCAGATGATTCCTAAAACCTATTTGTGATATTTGAATGATGCAGTAAAAGACCTTTATTGGAAAAATAAAAGAGAATTATAGTCTGATGTTCCTACCATGATCTCTGAAGAACCCAAAGATGCGGCCTAAGAAAAGTGGTCACCTTTAACCATTCACCTAGTTTAGGGAGGATCAGCTTAAAGTACCTATCCAGCCTGAGGAAATCAACCCCAGATGAAATTGATGATAGTCAAGGAAGATCTTCCATGGCCTTTTTCTTTCACTTCTCTTACCTTACAACCTTCCGGGAGCCAGAGCCAGACTAGTGAGTCGGGGAGAGCAGAAGCAGGAGAAGACAGAGAAATGGAGAAGGATTTTCTCCACTGCAGGTCTTCCTGCTGCAGAGCCCTGATCTCTCCGCGAGGAGAAAGTTCTCTTAAATGCAGCTCAGATTCTCACTATTAGGTAAAAGTGGACATTTCTGTTTTTGTGATTTGTTTTTTGTGTGATTGTAAGTGATCAGAGGGCTTTTTGTTAACTAGGAACGAGTGGATTCCTGTGGGGTCTTCCTACGGTGCTTATGGTTTTGCCTATCATCTAAGAATTAATCGAATAATTAGTAATGTCATTATGATATTACTTACTACCTAAGAGGAGTGAATAAGGTATCAACTTTAGATTTCATCCAGGGGTGAAGGAAAAATTAGCCTCAGACAGTGGGCTTGGATGGGCAGTGTGTTGGACAGGAATAAAGTTGTTTTCTGATTGTAGCAGTCCTTGAGTCAGTTCTGCTCAGTCAATGTACCAGGAAGATTTAAGAAATTATTTTGTAAAAGACATTGGACGTCTCTTCCCACATCTGACATACCTGTTTGCTGCTCCTGAAGTGAATTTGGGTAAATAAATGATCAAATAAATGATTTCTGGAGCAGCTGAGAATGTAATTAGAGAATGTAGCACACACAAAAATGAAGGGAAACAATGCAGCCTATTTAAGATTCACAGACTATATGTTAAATGTTGCTTTGCCCAGGATGGAGTTATGTTTCTTAGCAATCATCCTACCAGTGGGTAGGAATCTAGAAGTAAAAATTAATATTACTATTTTTATGCAGTAGAAGAGACATTATATGTAGAGCTCTTGATGGCAGGCATACTGCTACTTTAATAAAGGCTCATTTCAAACATTTCCCAACACTTTATGAGATCGCTTGTAGTTTTGTTTTGTTTTTTTTTAATGATGTGTTAAGTTCTAAAACATCCCGTTAGTAACCTGTTTCTGAAGTAGTTTTCCTTAGAACATGACAAGGTAATCAGTTCAGAACAGCGACACTCTGCTGGCGAGTGGAGCTATCTCAGGTCAGGTGGACCATCTGTTCTTGAAGAATGTAAACTAGTAAAATAAATTGTAAGTAAAGATAAAGTTGTTCATGCAGGAGGGGGAAGGAGATTAACAAACCTCTGCAAAGCTCTTGAAAAGCATCATTTCTCTGAAGTTTAGGGAGTCCCCTTAAGGAAATGGTGATTAGCACAAAAGCTGCAGGGTGTCTGATAATTAACATTTTTATTTGTGTTTTTATTTAATTAATGCCTGCTCATCTACTCAGCTTCATGAGAGCAAGGACTCACTGTCTATTAGGTTTTAAATGCTGCCCAAGTCTACAATCCTTTGATTTCTTTTCTTTCTTTTCCCCTCATTATCAAAAGTATTTCCCTGAAAAGAATACTGCCTGTTGTCTCTCTGTTTCTCCCTGTCATCAACAACTTCTCCCATTTGGCCACGCAGACTCCCCACATTGCCAGCTTCTATCTCAGGACATAGGGAGTGAGGCTTGCTTAGGCATATACAGGCATGCTGCAGGATGAATGAGGTCAGGAAATACTGGTCCTTTTGAGCCTCGGAGGTACTGTGTCTTCTCAAGCCCAGGGAAAAGCCTAGCTTCTTTGAGAAAATCCAGAAGTGGTAACTGGACTTCAGTGAATAGCCCTTTAATTTTGGTTGATAAATGTTTACTGGTAAAAGCATACTTGAGATTAAAAACAAAGGTAAATATTCTTACTGTCTTAGTCTGTTTTCTGTTGCTTATAAGAGAATACATGAAACTGGATAATTTATAAGAAACAGAGGCCGGGCACGGTGGCTCACGCCTGTAATCCCAGCACTTTGGGAGGCCGAGGTGGGCGGACCACCTGAGGTCAGGAGTTCGAGACCAGCCTGACCAACATGACAAAACCCCATCTCTACTAAAAATACAAAATTAGCCAGGTGTGGTGGCTCATGCCTGTAATCCCAGCTGCTCAGGAGGCTGAGGCAGGAGAATCGCTTGAATCTGGGAGGCAGAGGTTGCACTGAGCCAAGATGGTATCATTGCACTCCAGCCTGGGCAACAAGAGTAAAACCCCATCTCAAAAAAAGAAACAGAATTTCTACAGTTTTGGAGGTTGGAAAATCCAAGATGGAGGGGACACATCTGGTGAGAGCCTTCTGGTTGGTGGTGACTCTCTACAGAGGCCCGAGGTGGCACATGGTATCACATTGCCAGGGGACTGAGTATGCGAAAGTGCTAGCTCAGGTTTCTCTTCCTCTGCTTATAAAGCCACCAGTTCCCCTCCTAAAATAACCCATTAATCCATTAACCCATTAATCTATAAATGGATTAATCCAATCACCTCTTGAGCACCCAGATCTCAATACTGCCACATTTGAGAATTGACTTTCAACGTGAGTTTTGGAGGGGACGTTCAAATATAGCACTTGCATTGTACAAGGGCTGATAGGTACATTTGAAAAAATCAAATGCAGAAATGAGCACCAGCATTTGGTCTTTATTCTGGAGGCTCTTCTCCTTTTTGTTAGCACTGACAACTCTGCCAGGCTTCCTTCTGTTCGAAAAAGAGTAAACAAGGCCAGGAGTGGTGGCTCACACCTGTAATTCCAGCACTTTGGGAGGCTGAGGTGGGAGGATCACTTGAGGCCAGGAGTTTGAGAACAGCCTGGGCAACACAGTGAGACCCTGCCTCTACAAAATAAAGTAAAATTAGCTGGGCATGGAGGTGCATGCCTATAGTCCCAGCTACTTAGGAGACTGAGGTGGGAGAATCACTTGAGCCCAGGAGGCAGAGGATGCAGTGAGCTATGATCGAACCACTGTGCTCTAGCTTGGGTGACAGAGCAAGACCCTGTTTCAAAAAACAAAAAAGAGTAAGCAGACTATTTTTTTCCTTTTAAGGAGGGAGCAGGCAATAAGGAGACAGAATTCCTAAAGAAGCAGAGCACCTAGTCCAAGATCCTGTTTCTTAATCCGGTTGTCTGTGGATTCCCATTTTACAGCTTCCTCTGTCCTCTATTTGTTTTCAGCAAATTTGTACTCATCAACTCTCTCTCCAACAAGTGATTTCAAGTTATTCTTGAAAAGTGAATGGCTTCTGGTTTTATGCATTGGTTCTTATGATTGGCAACTAATCTAGAAAGCCAGGACAGCTTTCCTCCTTGGAACGTATAACTAGGGCCTTTCTTCCTTCAGAGAGACACTTGATTAAGAAAACTTTTTAACAAAAAAGTTCTCTAACACGCACTTTAAAAATTTCAAGTAACTTGTGTGTACAGATGCACGCGCGCGCGCACACGCGCGCGCACACACACACACACACACACACACTAGTTTTACTAATGGAAAGGCAGCTTTAAAGCAAAGGCAATGAAATCTTTTCATTCCTTCCGGACTGTGGTCCAAGGTGAATATATTAGTAGAGCTTCATATTTACCTAATGGTTTCCAGAAGCCAATGCGATAGCTTTGATTAATGCTGCCTCATAATGCCAATGATGTGTACCCCAGTAAATCATCAGAACACTTCCCCGTGGTAATATATCAAAGACATTCATTACAGGCTACTGTGGCTCAGGTGATATATTACTCAGGGGAAAAACATACCCAACTACCCAAAGGCCATATTGTGTGCACTTGGGTAGAATTAAGCCAGGCTACTTTTCCATGGAATCTGTTTGCAACTTTGAGAGTGGTCAGAGAACTTTTGTTTTTTTTTTTTTCCAAACACCAGTGAAATACTTCTCAAATTTGCATGATTCTTTTGTTCCAAAGGACCAAAACTCTCCGTAAGTGCAAATGCATGTGAAAAATGTTGAACACAGGTTAAAAGCATGGATTTTGGAGTGACACCTGGGTTTGAATGCCAGCTCTCTGGCTTGATGGGTTATGTGGTCTTAAGCAAGTCAGTCATTTAGAGTTCTGGTGAAGTGGGAAGTATTTGTGTATGTGATATCTACAATTGTCTGTAAAGGATGACCTGGGATTGAACATATAAAGTAGACTACTTAGTCCTTGTTCCCTAATGAGCCAATAAATGGTAGCTAGTTACAAATGTTCCAGCAGGGAACTCCTGACCAACATTTCTACACCCAACTTGGAATCTTCCCAAAATAATTACGTTGAGCTGCTTTGAGTAACTAGGTTTATATAGGAGTCATGGTTGATGATCCAGATAATGTCCTCCTAATTGGAAATCATAAAGCAAAGTTGCAGGGCAGTGCTAAGTAGCTGGCCCAGTAGGCCCTGTCCTACTTGAGCCAGCTCCTTGCCTGTCAGTAATGACCAGCTTAGTGATGTGATTTGAGCATAGAATACCCTGTGGAGCCATGTGGATGGCATTGCAGAGAGAGAAGAAAAACTGATCATTCTGGTTCTTGCCCCATGATTTTGACCCTCAGTGCTGGAGGTGAAAGAAAAACATGAAACTGGAGAGATAGCCCTTTCCACCAAGCTTAGCTGAAATAATCTGGTTTCAAGCATCCCAGATCATCTCTGCCAAATGTTGGTCCCAGCTGAGCCTCTACTGGTCTGATCTCTCAATCAGCAAAACCCATGGATACCTTTTAAAAATTGTCCCACTTGGATTGTTTTAGAAATCTACCTGTGCCTCATGTGAACAACTTGTGGGGAAAAATTATATTTCTTACACATATAATATAACAATAGCACAAACAAGGAATTTTTCTATAATTTCACCAGCCTGACACACACAGTTTTATTGTCCTATAATCCTCCCCAAGATTTATGCTGTGCATGGTTTTATATAATTACATTATTACATAGGTATAATATTTAGATTGATTTTATTAGATAAGCAATGCATGAATATATATGTCCTGTAAAAATTCAAAACAATAGAAGTCTATAGAGCTAAAAGTGAAAGTCTTCATTACCTCATCCAAATCAGTTTTAGTTTTGTTATCATTTTGTTTTTTTCAAAAGTGAAATCAACTGTAAGTGTTGTCTGTGACTTCCTTTTATTCTCTTAACATGTCTTAGAACTTTCCTTGTCAGTACCTGGACCAAATGTTATAGTGTGCTTTTTTTCATTTAATTTTTTTTTCTTTGAGACAGAGTCTGGCTCTGTTGCCCAGGCTGGAGTGCAGTGGCGCGATCTCCGCTCACTGCAAGCTCCGCCTCCCGGCTTCACGCCATTCTCCTGCCTCAGCCTTACGAGTAGCTGGGACTACAGGCGCCCGCCGCCACACCCAGCTAATTTTTTGTATTTTTAGTAGAGATGGGGTTTCACCATGTTAGCCAGGATGGTCTCGATCTCCTGACCTCGTGATCCGCCTGCCTAGGCCTCCCAAAGTGCTGGGATTACAGATGTGAGCCACTGCACCCGGCCTTCATTTAATATTTTTATAAGTATTTCTTCATGTTGCCAAATATTTTTATAATTTTTTTGAATGATGGGCGTGAGTGGGATTGAGACTTGGTGGCTTATTTATCGGATATAAAATAAGCTATCTCCAAATGGCATGATCCCAAATGAGCAGTGCTTATTTGGTACTGAGTTTATTGGAGAATCATAGAATGGTTCACCAAAAAGGGTTTCAGCCTATTCCCATTTTACAGATGAGGCAACCGAAGCTCCTAAATGGAGCACAGGAAGCAGAATGTCTTGCAGATCTGAGGTTGAGGACCACATGTAAGAAGGAGCTTGGGTACCCGATGACTTCCTTGAGGAGTGTGCCAGCCCTGGGTTGCCCAAACCTGGACTTCTTATTACATGACAAAAAAACCCAGCTTTTGGTTTGGTCACTGTAGTGGGGTTTCTATTACATGTAGCCACATACACTCCCTACTGACACAGCTATGTTCATTCATTCATTTATTCACTCACCAAACAGTTATTTAGTTTTAGTCATGTGCCTGCAATGTACAGGCTATGTTCATAACACTAATAGCTAGCATTTATGGAATACTTAGTACATACAATGCTTATGCCGAGAACTTTACATGTCTGTTCATTTTGTATTCACCACAACCCTCCAAAGTAGATATTATTATCCTAATTTTACAAATGAAGAAACTGAAACTCAGATGAAATAACCTACTCAACAGCACCCAAGTAATAAGCTCCAAAGCCTCTCTGACACTTAACTGCAAGAAATTTCACTTTATTTATCCTTTGGGACATAGGAACCCATACAATTTTTTCTTTGGGTTTTTTTTTTTTTTTAGAAAGATCAAATTCCATCTTTATAATCACACTGTGAATTAGATGTAGTTATTCCCATTTTCTTTTTCTTTCTTTCTTTTCTTTTTTAGACAGGATCTCGCTCTGTTGCTTAGGCTAGAGTGCAGTGGTGTAATCATAGCTCACTGCAGCCTCGACCCCCACCTTGGACTCATGCAATCCTCCCGCCTCACTCTCCCAAGTAGCTGGGACCACAGGTATGTGCCACCATACCTAGATAATGTTTTAAACTTTTCTGTAGAGACAGGGGTCTCCCTATGTTGCCCAGGCTGGTTGGAACTCCTGGCCTCAGGCGATCCTTCCACCTCAGCCTCCCAAAGTGCTAGGAATTACAAGCGTGAGCCACTACAACTGGCCACTGGGCCAATTTTAAATGTCTCTGGCAGGGCTCTCTCCCACATTGCCCACTTCTCGTCCAAGAGAAAACGCTCACTTATCCTTGCACCTTTCCCTCCCCCTTGGTGGGATGTGTGGCACTTCCCATCTTTAAATGAGATTAAGAGAGATCAACTGACTTTAATACAATTAATTCAATGTGACAAGCATGTATTGGGCACTGTGTTCTGGATACTTAGGTGCTGAGGCTACAAAGCCAAATGAGGCAAGGCCTGGCTATAGTGTATGCTGCAGGGAAGGCAAGGCTTTTCTGGAATTACAGAGGTGGCAGAAGTTGTGTTTTCTCCGGCTGGCATCAATTCCTGACTTTCTGTCAGCAGAATATTCCAGACAGGCTGGTTTCTATAAAATTCCTAGGGAGAATCCCAGGGTTTAGGTTCTGGGGGAAGGGAAGAGAGGAAATTGGCAAAAGATACTGCTTGAAAAGGCTGTTTTTCCGTCTTTCCAAATCAGGTACAAAATAATGAACTGACACAGAACGCTTTCTATTTGTTAACTGTTCAGTTTTCCCTAGCACAGGGAGGAGAGTGAGAGAACGGCAACCTTTGCCACATGATTGGAGGCAGATTTGTTTACCAGATCAAAGCCTGTGGGTAATGGAAACCTCGGGGTAGAGGGGGTGGTGCCATGCAGCGGGGCCTACAGAGCCTACTTAGCTGAATGTCTTACTCTGTATATTCTGGAGCTTGAACTGCACTACTTTGAAACGCCAGCTCTCTTTAGATTAGTCACAGGGGGATACCCAGGTTGCTGGAATTGCTCAGGGATTCCAAGATGTTTACAGAGTGAAGCTACTGGGTCTGGATCACGTTCCTTTCAGATACTGTAGACATATCCTGTGACTTAAGGGAAAAGTGACAACGTCTTTGTTCCTCTAACCTGTGGGTAGCTAATTTTGAAATGATTAACATTTCCTGGTGTTAAGCTTTCTGAAAGACTCTCTATGTATCTAATGATTTCTAAGGAAATATAGAATCTACACTATAATGATTTTACTGGAAGCCAAAGGAAATACATTAATTGTAAGTGTAGAGCAAGAGGGCAGGAAAGAAGCACCGCAAATCAACATCCTCATCACTTCCAGTGAGGGAGGCTGGGTGAGAAGGGGGCCAGGAAGACCTTTACTTTAAGTGTATTGTTCAAATTGTTCTTCATAATGAATCTGTACTAATGTGTTACTTCTACAACATCAATATTTGTTGAATGCTTCTAGAAAGAAAAAAATCTTTTCCATAATATGTATTAAAAGTGTTTCTTGAGTTCAATTATTTCCAATTATGGAAATCTCGTTACTCTTTTTAAAAGAACAACTGAACATAATGTCATGTCTTGAAAATAAATGTTTCAAATGACAAGATAGTTTGGGATTGGAATTCCCTTCTCCAGAGGTTGTTTGCACTGGGAATGGACCCATAATACTTCACAAACAGTGCTGGAATGATTTGTGACTGCTAAGTGCCCAGAGACCAAGCAGCCCCTGGTGTGTGCCTGGTACTGTTATTAATATATCTGTCATCTTTGCCTGCTCTACAAATGTTAACTGGTTCATCCTCAAGTGGTATGAAGAAGTTCTTTGCTGCAGTTTTTGCTGAGGAATATATAGAGGTTAAGGGGGCTTTTTCTTTTCTTTTTTTTTTGTTTGTTTGTTTGTTTGTTTTTTGAGACAGAGTCTCGCTCTGTCACCCAGGCTGGAGTACAGTGGCATGATCTCAGCTCACTGCAAACTCTGCCTCCCGGGTTCAAGCGATTCTCCTGCCTCAGCCTCCCAAAATGCTGGGATTACAGGCATGAGCCACTGTGCCTGGCCAAGGGGGTTTTTTCACTGTGATTTTTGTGTGGGTTGATTTAGCAGTTGGTGAAATAGTGAGGGAATGGAAGGCAAGAAATTCTGTTCCATCACCAGCATGATGTCCTTTATGCTTTGTGTTCAAGGACTCCACTTCTCGGCCATGTGTGGGGCGTGGACACCTTCGGTGAGGCTGGGAGTCCCTGTGTGGGGGCGTTGAGAGTAGGGAGTCCTGGCTACTGAGTCCACGGGGGGTAAAGGCTGTCACAAAACCCTTTCCCCTTCTACCTGAGAATTTTACCTTCGAATAATTTCTTTCTCTGTTTCCCCCAGAAACCTGACAAAGGTAGTATGTCAACTGTGTTATTAGGTATAGTAACTGATGTCAAAAATGACTCCTTACTGGTAAATTGCACCTGTACTGGGAGAACTAAATGCCTAAGAGGAAGCCATAGCTTTGGGCTTGGCCGAGAGCAGTGACTCTTGACACAGGGTATGTCCCTTGAGGTGATGCTGACAGCTGTTGTGGAGTTGTTACAAGACATATTGGCTCCTGTGGGGCATGAGGCTCCGGGGCTAGGGAGGATTCTACATGTGCTTGATGTGGTCTCATTTTCTTGTACTAGAACCCTGGGAAGCCAAAGAGGCCATCTCTTGCTGTATGGATTGCTGTATAGATTACTTCCGAGGAAAACAAACGCTGATGCTTCACTGCTAGCAAATAGAATATCCTGGCTTATATCCTGATACCAAGTGTGATTGACTGCAGTCTTGTACGTCTGAATATGTAGCTGAGTCTAAGAAGCCCCTCGATGGGTTTCGCAAATCCACTCTGCAGCCATTTCCTAAGAAATGTCTCTTCCAGAGGCTTGTTGGGAGCCAGACATGGACCCATTTTCCTTCTTGTAGAACCCACAAATCTCTCCCCTTCCTTGTCTATAGGGAATCTCTTCCTCTGAATGTCTTATTGAAGTCTTTTTGATAATCCCATTTTCCCTCATGCTCTTAACACGATCTCTATGGTGAGTATAAGTCCTTCAATAAGACTAGAGGAGCCATTGCCTTCAAGTATCTTTGCCTTCTGCCCTGCAAAAACTGCTGAGACAAGGAAATACTAAAGTTACCTGTTGGGAAAGGTGGGCAGTGGGGAATAGAAAATAAAACTCAAGTTAATACATAGGAAACCATGCCGTCACACTTGTTAATATTAATAATAAAAATCCCTTACCTTTATCCAGGGCTTGGTTCTTTGCAAAGTGTTTTCACAACCAGCCTCTCATTTCAGCCTGACAGTGCCTTGTAAGGGAATCAGGCAGTGATGTGGTAAGCACTCAAAAGGGAGAGGGAATCCCTGGTTTGTGCCAGTTTCATACTACCAATGATTTAACAACTCTGAATTTCTAGATATTTAGCAATTGGCTCAGGGGAGCTGGTGTGAGCAGACTCTAGCACCCCCTTGGAGTCAGGACAGGTATAATCATCCTGATTTGAAGGCAAGGAAAGTGAAGCTCAGAAATGTTGTCGAAGGCCACAGAGTTAGTAAGAGGCAAATCTAGGAACCTGAACTTATACCTGCTATTGCATGCTTTTTCTTGCTGAAGTAAGTCTATCCTTCATGCCATGTGGAATAGTAAAAAACTAAATCCGCAAACCACCAAGAAGAAATGCCTAAAACTCCCTTCTAATGTCTGTATTATCATCAGTCTTCCTTTTCTTCTCTTTCCCTTTTAAGAAAAGATTCTGTCAATGGGCAGTATCCTGTCCCCTCTTCACCCATCTGGGTCCTTACTCCACAAATCAATTTCTTCCTCTTGCATCCTAGAATCACCCCTCTCTAACCTGTGACTAGCGCTTCCTCCCTAACCTATGACTCCCCTTGCAATTTCTCTAAACTGACCACCTGTCTCTGACTTGCTCACCATCTACTTCTGGCCACCAGGCTTCTTGACAAAGTCAAACCGCATGCTGCTTCTATTTCAGCACTTTCCACTCTTGCCTCAGGCCACTGTCATTTGATTCACACTCTTCTAAGGCCCCAGATCTACCCTCTCAAAAGCCAACTGTGTCCTCCTCAAGGCCAAATCCAGGCCTTATCTCAGTCTTCCTCTAGCTTATTCTTTTTTTCGCACTTGACACCACTGATGACATCCTTCTTGAAAGGCATTTCTTACTTTGTTCCCTGCTCGGTGGTGGGTGCTAGATTCATGGGTTCTCATCATGTCTTCCTGAGTGATCCTCATCTTAGGGAAGAGGCTCTCATGAGCATCCAGACAGAGCCTGGGCTAATGTTTTATTACTCAGTCATTGACTCTGTCACCCTCTCTCTTCCATTTCCCTCTGCTGCTTACATCAAACACGACACTTGGCAAAGCTGACCTGACCGCCTTTAAAACAGTTATTATGTTCATTTTAATTTTATCTGCCCCCTGACTCTGTGAAGAAGCTGCCACCTTGCAGCACTCACCAGATAGCACACGAAAGGGGCACACCAGGAGACAGCCTCTGTTGGTAGAAGTCCACAACATGTAGAGATGACTGACCTGACACCTTGGCTCACATCTCTTGAGTCTCCTGGCCCCTGACTTTACTATTCTTATATATTTGTGTTTACTCCTTTGGATTTTACAGCTTGGCATGCTGCAAAGAGCACAGACTTTGTGGTGAGAAGGATCTGGACTTGAATTGTGGTTCTGTTGCTTCCTAGCATTGTGGCTTTGGGCATGCCATGTAAACCTTCTGAGTCTGTGTTGTCATCTGAAAAATATATTATATCCTGTTTGCAAGTAGACTATGGGCTGTGAGTGAGATATTGTATGAAAAGCGTCCAGCATGGCTAGCACTTGACAAATGGCAGCTGTTGTCATTATTTTTGGTCTTCTGTCCTTCTTTCCAGTTTGTCTTTGGTACCTCCCCACAATAACTAGTTCTCAGTCCTGGCCATTGACATTTCAAATATTGACATTTGGGTAACACTGCTCCTGGCTGGATCCAAGATGCTCCTATCTGGAGCACCTGTCCTAAAAATGACATTCTTGTTCAGACCCTAGCATTTTGCTCTTTGGTCTTTATTCTGTTCTCAAAATGAACACATACTGAAAAGCATTTTTCACACTGGTTCAGCCTCATAGCTTTGCCAGTCCCCCAGATCCTCCTGCGACTAGTTTAGGACCTAGTGAGGCCACCTTTTTGGTTTAGAATTTTTAAGTAACTTAATGTCAGTCTGGAATGCTTTCCTTTTAAGTGATATTTATATGTGTGAATGTATGTATTCATTCAAGTTGGTTCACTTTTTTCTTGACTGTTTATTGGCCTTTTGAGATCTGTGAGAAACTGTCACTTCTTATTTTGGAAAGAATTGCCTATCTCTTTTGAGTTCCAAACAAGTAAGTTTCTGGAAGTCATTTATGTTTAACTCAAAGAATATTTTGTATTATTTATTTATTTATTCATTATTTTATTTTATTATTATTTTTTGAGAAGCATCTCACTGTTGCCCAGGCTGGAGTATAGTGACACGATCTCGGCTCACTGCAACCTCCGCCCCCCCGGGTTCAAGCAATTCTCCTGCCTCAGCCTCCCTAGTAGCTGGGATTACAGGCACGTGCTACCACACCCTGCTAATTTTTGTATTTTTGAGTAGAGACGAGATTTCGCCATGTTGGCCAGACTGGTCTCAAACTCCTGACCTTAAGGTCACCTTAAGTGACCTTAAGTCACGCCTTGGTCTTCCAAAGTGCTGGGATTACAGGCATGAGCCACCGCGCCTGGCCTATTGTTTTATTTAAAAATAAATTTCTCTACCAAGCAGTAATAACCTATGTTAACATTTGGTGAACATCATCTTATTCATGCTTATATATAGACAGACAGGAATAATTTCATAATTATGAGAGTACGCTATTTTAAAAAATAAAAGTTTAAATTATGATTTTGTTTGAATTTAATAACAAGGGAAAATATCTTAAACTCTAGGTAAATGCTGAACTCTAGGTAAAGGTTTCTTTGCCACAGAACTCTTAGGTTCTGTAAGATTTCACTAAAATTAGGAAAATAGTTTATAAAAAACAGTAAGAAATCAGAGTATTTTTTAAAACTGCTTGTTTAAAATTTAGATATTAGATATGAAATCCCTACTGTGAATGATGAAGTTGAGTGCTATTCATATGTTCTGTCATCTCTTTCTTCAGTTCTGAATTTTATGTTGTTTGTATTTTCGCTTTTTCAGGGCATATAATATTTGCTTTCTGTTTACCAGAAGTTAGTCTAGCTCTATGTTTAGCCTTAGTTCTATATTTAAATGGATTCAGTGCTTACCATCATATCTTTTCCATGGCTTTTCTATTTCTGTGGTTTTTGTTCTGATTGAGTTTTTAGTTGTCTTGTTTTCATCATGGGGTAGTTGCTTTTTCAAGGACACATGAGTGCTGCATATTCTGTCTTTCTTGTTGAAAAATGTCTATTCATGGAAGACAACCTGGCAGGATCAACTTTTTAAAAAATGTAAACATTAAAACTACGAAACATTTCTAACATAAAGTAAAAGATAGTTCTATATCCACCATGGAGATAATAAATGGAAGATAGCATCTTCCTGTATTTGTTTGAGATCTTGAACTTTTTTTTTAAAGAAATAAAATAAAGCTTTATATTCTATGCTTTCCCCGTCTCTTAATCCCCTTAACATTATCCTGAAGTTGATATTTATCATTTTTGTGAATGTTTTTCTACTTTACTTTTAATACTTACATGTATGCCTTATTATAATATATATTTTAGTTTTAGATTGTGTAAAAATGTATTTGTTATAATATTCTGTTTTATACTTTTTGAACTTGCTTTACTCATTTAGCATGTTTTAAAGATTTATCTGTGATGGTTAATATAGATCTAATTGGTCTTATAAATCATGGGATAATAGTTATTTTTTGCCTACTGGCTGGAAAGTTGTTTTAAGTTTCTCACTATTTCAAATACTGCTGCCTTGAAAAAATAAATAAATAAATAAATAAATAAATGTCTCAATGCTGATTACTGAAAACGTAGTTTCACAGTAGCCTCTCTTTGGGGAACAAATCCAATGTAGAGTTTCTGTCCTTACTGTGATACTATCTGAAGTTCTGTTTGTTCATTTGTTTATACAGCTGACACTTGAACAACACAGTTTTGATCTGCACAGGTTCAGTTATATGTGGATGTTTTTCAATCAAACACACATCAATAATGCAGTATCCATGGGATGCGAAACCCACTTATGCAGAGGACCGACTTTTTATATCTGTGAGTTCCAAATGGTGGACTGCAGGACTTGAGTATGTGTGGGTGTGGGTATCCCTGGGGGTCTTGGAACGAGTCTCCTGCATTACCAAGGGACAACAATACTTATACTCTACTCAGAACTATAAAAGTTGTGACAGTGCCTCAAGTCTGATCATTATCATGTATTTCTGAAAGGACTGAAGAGTTTTTAAATCTTTTTTATTATCATTTCCAGAATAATATATACTCAAATTCAAACAATACAGAATCTGTTTGAGACAGGGTCTCACTCTGTCACCCAGGCTGGAGTGCAGTGGCATGATCTCGGCTCACTGCAACCTCCGCCTCCTGGGCTCAAGCGATTCTCCTGCCTCAGCCTCCCGAGTAGCTGGGATTACAGGCACAACCACTACTGCCTGGCTAATTTTTGTGAGATGGGGTTTCACCATGTTGGTGAGGCTGGTGTTGAACTCCTCACCTCAAACGATCCACCTGCCTCAGCCTCCCAAAGTGCTAGGATTATAGGCATGAGCCACCACGCCTGGCCCAGAATCTTTAAGATATAACACTTAACAGTAATATAGCCCACAGATGATCTTTTTGTGCATATACTAACAATTGTATGTGTGCAAAATATATATGTTTGTGTATGTGTGTGTATTCACATACTTAGGGTTCTGTGAAGATTTTCTCATTAAGAGTGGACTGTCATTTTTGTGTCCATAAATAAAATTTTAATCAACTGAATAATAATGCCAGTGAACAGAGGTGAAATTTTAAGTTCATTCATTCATTTTCATTCCTTCCAACCACAGAACTTTTGGTTCTAGTATATTTCTCAGAAAGAAAGGGCTTATTTAATTAGAAGGATTTGTGTGCTAAAGTGAAAACAGCATGACATCGTGGAGAAAGCACTGCACTAGATGCAAAGGATCTTGAGTTCTAGAGTCTTTTTCTTGGACAAATGACCAGTGTCACCGGGCCTCAGCAACTTCTTTAAGGTGGGGATATTAATATCTGCCTGCCTAAATCAAACATTCTTATGAGAGTTACATACAATAAAATATATGCATGCACTTCGAAAACTATCAGTTCTAGAAATGTGTCATTTAAATATGTCAATGAGTTTGATTGAGGAATAAGTTGGCAGCTTGCACTAATGTAGAGGTCCCTGATTATACTATATGTAGGAGATTTAATGGCCATTAAGTTCTTTGTTATACTTCCCATTGAGAGATTATGGATGATGTATAATTCCTTTCACCTTGACTTTTTTTTTTTTTTAATACTTTAAGTTCTGGGATACTTGCAGGTTTGTTACCTAGGTATATACGTGCCATGGTGGTTTGCTGCACCCATCAACCCACCATCTACATTAGGTATTTCTCTTAATGCCATATCTCCCATAGACCCCCACCCACTGACAGGCCCCATTGTGTGATGTTCCCTTCCCTGTGTCCAAGTGTTCTCATTGTTCAACTCCCACTTATGAGTGAGAACATGAGGTGTTTGGTTTTCTGTTCTTGTGTTAGTTTGCTGAGAATGATGATTTCCAGCTTCATCCATGTCCCTGCAAAGGACATGAACTCATCCTTTTTTATGGCTGCATAGTATTCCATAGTTCTATATGTGCCACAGTTTCTTTATCCAGTCTATCATTGATGGGCATTTGAGTTGGT
Organism: Homo sapiens; assembly: GCF_000001405.40. NCBI lineage: Eukaryota > Metazoa > Chordata > Mammalia > Primates > Hominidae > Homo > Homo sapiens. The sequence goes on from NC_000014.9 coordinate 58,580,309, forward strand.
TCTAAGTATTTGCCATTGTGAATAGTGCTGCAATAAACATGCATGTGCATTGTCTTTATAGTAGAATGATTTATAATCCTTTGGATATATACCCAGTAATGGGATTGCTGGGTCAAATGGTATTTCTGGCTCTAGATCCTTGCGGAATTGCCACACTTTCTTCCACAATGGTTGAACTAATTTACACTCCCACCAACAATGTAAAAGCGTTCATATTTCTCCACATCCTCTCCAGCATCTGTTGTTTCCTGACTTTGTAATGATTGCCATTCTAACTGGCGTGAGATGGTATCTCATTTGGTTTTGATTTGCATTTCTCTAATGACCAGTGATAATGAGCCTTTCTTCATATATTTGGTGGCTGCATAAATGTCTTCTTTTGAGAAGTGTCTGATCATATCCTTCACCCACTTTTTGATGGGGTTGTTTGATTTGTTTCTTGTAAATTTGTTTAAGTTATTTGTAGATTTTGGATATTAGCCCTTTGTCAGATGGATAGATTGCAAAAATTTTCTCCCATTCTGTAGGTTGCCTGTTCATCTGATGATAGTTTCTTTTGCTGTGCAGAAGCTCTTTAGTTTAATTAGATCCCATTTGTCTATTTTGACTTTTGTTGCCATTGCTTTTGGTGTTTTAGTCATGAAGTCTTTGCCCATGCCTATGTCCTGAATGGTATTGCCTAGGTTTTCTTCTAGGGTTTTTATGGTTTTAGGTCTTATGTTTACATCTTCAATCCATGTTGAGTTAATTTTTGTATAAGGTATGAGGAAGGGGTCCAGTTTCAGTTTTCTGCATATGGCTAGCCAGTTTTCCCAACACCATTTATTAAATAGGTAATCCTTTCGCCATTTCTTGTTTTTGTCAGGTTTGTTGAAGATCAGATGGTTGTAGATGTGTGGTGTTATTTATGAGGCCTCTGTTCTGTTCCATTGGTCTATATATCTGTTTTGGTACCAGTACCATGCTGTTTTGGTTACTGTATCCCTGTAGTATACGTTGAAGTCAGGCAGCGTGATGCCTCCAGCTTTGTTCTTTTTGCTTAGGATTGTCTTGGCTATGTGGGCTCTTTTTTCGTTCCATATGAAATTTAAAGTAGTTTTTTTCTAATTCTGTGAAGAAAGTCAATGACAGCTTGATGGGGATAACATTGAATCTATAAATTACTTTGGGCAGTATGGCCATTTTCATGATATTGATTCTTCCTCTCCATGAGCATGGAATGTTTTGCTATTTGTTTGTGTTCTCTCTTATTTCCTTGAGCGGTGGTTCATAGTTCTCCCTGAAGGGGTCCCTCACATCCCTTGTAAGTTGTATTCCTAGGTATTTTATTCTCTTTATAGCAATTGTGAATGGGAGTTCACTCATGATTTGGCTCTCTGTTTGTCTATTATTTGGTGTATAGGAATGCTTGTGATTTTTGCATATTGATTTTGTATCCTGAGACTTTGCTGAAGTTGCTTATCAGCTTAAGGAGATTTTGGGCTGAGACAATGGCGTTTTCTAAATATACAATCATGTAATCTGCAAACAGAGACAATTTGACTTTCTCTCTTCCTATTTGAATACGCTTTATTTCTTTCTCTTGCCTGATTGCCTTGGCCAGAACTTCCAATAGTATGTTGAATAGGAGTGGTGAGAGAGGGCATCCTTGTCTTGTGCCAGTTTTCAAAGGGAATGCTTCCAGCTTTTGCCCATTCAGTATGATATTGGCTGTGGGTTTGTCATAAATAGCTCTTATTATTTTCAGGTACATTCCATCAATACCTAGTTTACTGAGAGTTTTTAGCATGAAGGGGTGTTGAATTTTGTCAAAGGCCTTTTCTACATCTATTGAGATAATAATGTGTTTTTTTGTCATTGGTTCCATTTATGTGATGGATTATGTTTATCAATTTGTGTATGTTGAACCAGCCTTGCATGCCAGGGATGAAGCTGACTTGATCCTGGTGGATAAGCTTTTTGATGTGCTGCTGGATTCTGTTTGCCAGTATTTATTGAGGATTTTCGCATCAATGTTCATCACGGATATTGGACTGAAATTTTCTTTTTTTGTTGTGTCTCTGCCAGTTTTTGGTATCAGGATGATGCTGGCCTCATAAACTGGGTTAGGAAGGATTCCCTCTTTTTCTATTATTTGGAATAGTTTCAGAAGGAATGGTACCAGCTCCTCTTGGTATCTCTGGTACCTCTGGTACCTTTATACCTCTGGTAGAATTCGGCTGTGAATCCATCTGTTCCTGGGCTTTTTTTGGTTGGTAGGCTATTAATTACAGCCTCAATTTCAGAACTTGTTATTGGTCTATTCGGGGATTCAACTTCTTCTTGGTTTAGTCTTGGGAGGGTGTATGTGTCCAGGAATTTATCCATTTCTTCTAGATTTTCTAGTTTATTTATGTAGAGGTGTTTATAGTATTCTCTGATAGTAGTTTGTATTCCTGTGGGATCAGTGGTGATATCCCCTTTATCATTTTTTATTGTGTTGATTTGATTCTTCTCTCTTTTATTCTTTATTAGTCTGGCTTGCAATCTATCTATTTTGTTGATCTTTTCAAAAAACCGCTCCTGGATTCATTAATTTTTGAAGGGTTTTTCATGTCTCCGTCTCTTTCAGTTCTGCTCTGCTCTTAGTTATTTATTTTCTTCTGCTAGCTTTTGAATTTGTTTGCTCTTGCTTCTCTAGTTCTTTTCATAGTGATGTTAGGGTATCAGTTTAGATCTTTCCTGCTTTCTCCTGTGGGCATTTAATGCTATAAATTTCCCTCTAAACACTGCTTTAGCTGTGTCCCAGAGATTCTGGTACATTGTGTCTTTGTTCTCATTGGTTTCAAAGAACTTATTTATTTCTGCCTTGATTTCGTTATTTACCCAGTAGTCATTCGGGAGCAGGTTGTACAGTTTCCTTGCAGTTGTGAGGTTTTCAGTGAGTTTCTTAATCCTGAGTTCTAATTTGATTGCACTGTGTTCTGAGAGACTGTTCATTATGATTTCTGTTATTTTGCATTAGCTGAGGAATGTTTTACTTCCAATTATGTGGTTGATTTTAGAATAAGTGTGGCATGGTGCTGAGAACAATGTGTATTCTGTTGATTTGGGGTGGAGAGTTCTGTAGATGTCTATTTGGTCCGCTAATAGGTCTATTAGGAAAAGCGTAATATCTGGGCTAAAATACACTATTCCTCAAGGCACAATCCCTCAGGGCTTCCCTTGGCTAAGGGAGGGAGTTCCCAGACCTCTTGGACTTCCCAGGTGAGGCAATGCCTCATCCTGCTTGGGCTTGCCCTCTGTAGGATGCACCCACTGTCTAACCAGTCCCAATGAGATGAGATGAGTACCTCAGTTGGAAATGCAGAAATCACCTGCCTTCTGTGTTGATCTCGCTGGGAGCTGCAGACCAGAGCTGTTCCTATTCGGCCATCTTGCCAGCAGCACTCACCTTGACTTTTAATCAATAGAATGAAACAGTGGTGATGTCTGGGACTCTCAAAGCTAGATCATAAAAAGCCTATAGCGTCTGCCTTGGTCTCTTGAAAACTTGCTCAAGGTGAATTCAAACACTGTGTGAAAAGACCAAGTACTCTTAGATCACCATGCAGTGAGGAAGTCTATGCTAGCTGCAATTCAGAAGCTGTGAAGAAAGACATGCCTCTCCAGGCTTAGCTCCTCCAGCCCACTCAGGTTGGATTCCAGACCTGTAAATGAAGAAGCAACCTTGGATGGTCCATTTTTAGCACCTATGACATTGTGAAGAGCCATCTTTGATATTGTATCATATTTCAGACAAAGAACTTGTACCCAATATGTGCAAGGAATTCTTACAGCTCAATATTAATAAGACAAAATCCATTTTAAAATGACAAAAGCATTGAACAGACAGTTCAGAAAAGATATATTAATGGGAAATAAATACATGAAAAAATGCTCAGCATCATTAGCCATCAGAGAAATGCAAATTAAAACCACAAAGACATACCACTTTATACTTATTTCATGAGTTAAAATTATAAAGGCTGATCATACCAATGCTGGCAAAAACATAGAGCTCCCATACCCTACTGGTGGAAATGTAAAATGATACGAGACTCTGGCAGTTTACTTAAAAATTAAATATACACCTACTAGAGGAACCAGCCACTTCACTCCTAGGTATTTATTCAAAAGAAATGAAAACATATGTTCATATGAAAACTTGCACATAAATATTCATAGCAGCTTGACTTGTAATATCCCAAAGTTGAAACAACTCCAATGTCCAACAGCAGATGAATGGATAAACAACTGTGATATATTCATACAATGGAATGCTGCTCAGCAACAGAAAGGAATGAACTATGGATACACACAACAACATGGTTGAATCTCAGAATAATTATGCTGAGTGAAAGAAGCCAGACAAAAAGAGTACATGCTGTATAACTGTATTTATATATAATTCTAGAGAATGAAAAATAATCTATGGTGATAGAAAAATGGGTCAGTGGTTACCTAGGGACAGGGTAGAGGAAGGGTGGATTGCCAAAGGGCACAGCAAAACTTTTGGAGGTAATTAAAATTTTTATCTTTATTGTAGTGATGGTTTCATGGTGTATATATGTGGCAGACAAAACCTATAATGACACAATGATCTCTGCCTCCTGGTGTTCACCCCTTTGGGTAATCCCCTCTCTTTGTATGTGGGAACTGTGATTGGCTTCTAACCAATACAATATAGCAAAAGTGATCAACTGTTACTGTTGTAATGATATTACAGTATTTAAAACTCCATCTTAGTGGACTGCATTTAAAGACTTTCCTTGTGTGCCTGATGAAGTGATCGTGTTGGAAAACCCAGAGAATAAGGAGGATGGCCTCTAAGAACAGTGGGTGGCCTCTAAAACCTAAGAGTGACCTCCAGCCAACAGCTAGCAAGAAGTCAGGGCCTCCAAGGCCAGGCGCGGTGGCTCACGCCTGTAATCCCAGCACTTTGGGAGGCCAAGCAGGGTGGATCACGAGGTCAGGAGATCGAGGCCATCCTGGCTAACACGGTGAAACCCCATCTCTACTAAAAATATAAAAATTAGCCAAGCGTGTTGGCAGGCACTTGTAGTCCCAGCTACTCAGGAGGCTGAGAGGCAGGAGAATGGCATGAACCCAGGAGGCGGAGCCTGCAGTGAGCCGAGATCATGCCACTGCACTCCAGCCTGGGCGACAGAGCGAGACTCCATCTCAAAAAAAAAAAAAAAAAAAAAGAAGTCAGGGCCTTCAATCATACATCCACAAGGAAATGCTTTCTGCCAACTTGAATGAATTTGGACGCATATTCTTCTTCACTCAGCCACCAGATGAGAGTGCAGCCCAGCAAACATCCTGACTGCTGCCTCGTGAGATTCTGAATAGAAGCCCCAGTCAGGCCATGCCTGGATTCCTGACCACAAAACTGTGAGGTGAGATAATAAATGTTATTTTACGCCATAATGTTTGTGGTAAATTGTTATAAGGCAATGGAAAATCAATATAACACGTATATCAAAACAGATCAAATTGCATACTTCAAATATGTACAGATTATTGTACTTCAACTATGTATTAATAAAGTTGTAAGAAAAACGTAGGTCAAGGGAAGTGAAATCTGGGCAGAGGTCTAAGGACATGGCACCCAGGGCAGTAGGTTAGAAAGACTTGAAAAGAATAAGAAATAAAAAGGCCAGGGAAACAGGAAGGAAGGAAGTCAGAAAAAGAATAGAATTTGGTAGAGGTGCAAAGGGGTGGATGAAACATATTTTCTGAAACTTTTTTTCGGGTGTCTTTTTTACAGGTTTTTAACAGTGAATTGACAGTACACTTGTTTATTTTCTGTGGGTTTTTTTTGTTTGTTTTTTTGTTTTTGAGACAGGGTCTCGCTCTGTCACGCAGCCTGGAGTGCAGTGGCATGATCTCAGCTCACTGCAACATCTGCCTCCTGGGTTCAAGCAACTCTCATGCTTCAGCCTCCCAAGTAGCTGGGACTACAGGCACGTCCACCACACCTGACTAACTTTTTTGTATTTTTTTTGTGGAGATGGGATTTCTCCATGTTGCCCAGGGTGGTCTCAAACTCCTGAGCTCAAGCAATCTGCCCACCTTGGTCTCCCAAAGTGCCGGGATTACAGGCGTGAACGACCCTGCCTGGTCAACAGTATGCTTGTTAAGACCGTGATAGAAAGACGTTGAAGACATGAATGCTAAATGTGCTTTTGGATGGCCAGTGGTGAGACTGTGAACTATTTGAAGAAGATTGTTGAAGAGGGGCTTCTTTTTATGTGCCCATTCCCTCAGCAACCACATGTGTGGCTCTGCCTGCAGGCTCCCTTCACCACATATTGGAATGTAACTATACCTCCCTTATGAAGAGTCTGTGATGTATGCATAGTGGACAGGAGCAGGAATCCAAGCCCAGAGGTTCAGAACAGGTCAGCATGGAGACAAGGGGGAACAGAACATCAGGATGTTGGAAGGAGCCTGACAAGGCTGAACAACGCCTGGAGATTTAGCTGTGGTCACAGGTGGGTAAGGTTCTTGAGAATAGGAAGGCGGTGTATGTGGCAAAATGATGAGTACTGTGTGTGTAATCATTTTAAATCTGAGCAGATCTGAATGAAATCTAGAAGCCATGCTGAAGATGTTATAGCCTGGACACCTCCCACCCTCCAAACTCCCCTGCCATAGTCAAATCTAAACATGTTCCAGAAGTGTATATGTTTGGGTATGGTCATGGAGGGGAGCAGAATAGAGACAGAGTAAGGGTAGGAAGACTGCAGGTAAGATAAACTGGAAATATTTTTAAAAGGTAGAAGAGAATTTGATGGGGAGCAACCTAGAATTGGGCATGACTCTTCCAAAAAGTTTTTTTTTTTTCTCATTTCAGTGCCTTCGTGCAAATCAGCAATATAGGAATGCATAATTGTCATTCTTTTGGTCGTCTAGCATGTAAAACTCCTTACTGTTTGACAAATCATCCCATTGTATTGAGTCTTGCTTGCCGGTATGGAAGCTGAAAAAAGGTCATATTTTCCTCTTCCAGTCCCCTAGAGGCTAGGGTGCAGACACATGGTCAAGGCTTAGCAATCAGATATGCTTTCTCAAGTCTTTGAATCCTGAGCTGGTGATGTAAACATCTAAGACTGTTTAGGATTTGTTCATGGTGGTGGCATTTGGAGACTGAGGCTGCAGGGCAGCAGGATGTCTTCACTATCTGCTCCAGAGATGATATGTCTTTGGCTGTGGTTCCTGATATCTATCCTTGACTTCTGGCTATTTTCCCAGCCTGATTCTCCAGCCCTCCAGATTATTCTTTGAGTCACCTGGTAGTTTTCCAACAAGTTCTTATTCTGGAGTCACTTTCTGCAGTTTGTAACAAAGAGCCCTCACTCATTTAACAAAAAGCCTTCTGGAATATTAGCAAGAGAAGGTCACATGTGTGACTTCCTTCCCGACTAGGAATTTGTCTTTTTATAAGACCTTTCTTAATGTTCTTTTTGTGTTATCTAACCAAAGAACTGGAATGAAGAAGCATTCATAGGTGTCAGCTGATGTACAGGAATTTTCTCTATTTAATACTGTTGATTTTTTGCTCTTTGGAAAAGAAAAACAGAAGTTATTCTGACCTCTTTGTTATTCAAGTAGAAGGTATATTTTTGGCTAATAATGTGTTTTAAAACATCTTATTTTGGTCAAAACTATCTGGCTTGATTTAAGTGCCTTACTTATTAATTTCTGTTCATGTTTCCAGAATAAGATACACCAGCTGAAGATCAGTAATGGGCCCCTCAAACTCTGACTGAATCATATAAAGAAGTCAGTAAGGCCAGGTGCAGTGGCTCACACCTGTAATCCAAGCACTTTGGGAGGCTGAGGTGGGCAGATCACTTGAGGTCAGGAATTCAAGACCAGTCTGGCCAACACGGTGAAACCCTGTCTCTACTAGAAATACAATTAGCTGGGTGTGGTGGTGCACGCTGGTAATCCCAGCTACCTGGGAGGCTGAGACAGGAGAATGCTTGAACCTGGGAGGCGGAGGTTGCAGTGACCCAAGATCACGCCATTGCACTCCATCCTAGATGACAAGAGCAAAACCCCATCTCAAAAAAAAAAAAAAAAAAAAAAAAAAATTCAATGAGAGATAAGCCTCCTGATTCCAGAGAAAAAGAAATGATTAAAAAGTCAGGTTTAGCCCGGCCAGCCGCCCCGTCGGGGAGGGAGGTCGGGGGGTCAGCCCCCCGCCCGGCCAGCTGCCCCGTCTGGGAGGTGAGGGGCGCCTCTGCCCGGCCGCCCCTACTGGGAAGTGAGGAGCCCCTCAGCCCGGCCACCACCCCGTCTGGGAGGTGTGCCCAACAGCTCATTGAGAACGGGCCAGGGTGACAATGGCGGCTTTGTGGAATAGAAAGGCGGGAAAGGTGGGGAAAAGATTGAGAAATCGGATGGTTGCCGTGTCTGTGTAGAAAGAAGTAGACATGGGAGACTTTTCATTTTGTTCTGCACTAAGAAAAATTTTTCTGCCTTGGGATCCTGTTGATCTGTGACCTTACCCCCAACCCTGTGCTCTCTGAAACATGTGCTGTGTCCACTCAGGGTTAAATGGATTAAGGGCGGTGCAAGATGTGCTTTGTTAAACAGATGCTTGAAGGCAGCATGCTCGTTAAGAGTCATCACCACTCCCCAATCTCAAGTAATCAGGGACACAAACACTGCGGAAGGCCGCAGGGTCCTCTGCCTAGGAAAACCAGAGACCTTTGTTCACTTGTTTATCTGCTGACCTTCCCTCCACTATTGTCCCATGACCCTGCCAAATCCCCCTCTGTGAGAAACACCCAAGAATTATCAATAAAAAAATAAATTTAAAAAAAAAAAAAAACCTTAAAAAAAAAAAAGTCAGGTTTAGTCTTGCCAGCGGTCTATCAATTTTGTTGATCTTTTCAAAAAACCAGCTCCTGGATTCATTGATTTTTTGAAGGGTTTTTTGTGTCTCTATCTCCTTCAGTTCTGCTGTGATCTTAGTTATTTCTTGCCTTCTGCTAGCTTTTGAATGTGTTTGCTCTTGCTTCTCTAGTTCTTTTAATTGTAATGTTAGGGTATCAATTTTAGATCTTTCCTGCTTTCTCTTATGGGCTATAAATTTAGTGCTATAAATTTCCCTCTACACACTGCTTTAAATGTGTCCCAGAGATTCTGGTATGTTGTGTCTTTGTTCTCACTGGTTTCAAAGAACATCTTTATTTCTGCCTTCATTTCATTATGTACCCAGTAGTCATTCAGGAGCAGGTTGTTCAGTTTCCATGTAGTTGAGCGGTTTTGAGTGGGTTTCTTAATCCTGAGTCCTAGTTTGATTGCACTGTGGTCTGAGAGACAGTTTGTTATAATTTCTGTTCTTTTACATTTGCTGAGGAGTGCTTTACTTCCAACTATGTGGTCAATTTTGGAATAAGTGTGATGTGGTGCTGAGAAGAATGTATATTCTGTTGATTTGAGGTGGAGAGTTCTGTAGATATCTATTAGGTCTGCTTGGTGCAGAGCTGAGTTCAATTCCTAGATATCCTTGTTAACTTTCTGTCTCATTGATCTGTCTAATGTTGACAGTGGGGTGTTAAAGTATCCCATTATTATTGTGTGGGAGTCTAAGTCTCTTTGTAGGTCTCTAAGGACTTCCTTTATGAATCTGGGTGCTCCTGTATTGGGTTCATATATATTTAGGATAGTTAGCTCTTCTTGTTGAATTGATCCCTTTACTATTATGTAATGGCCTTTTTTGTCTCTTTTGATCTTTGTTGGTTTAAAATCTGTTTTATCAGAGACTAGGATTGCACCCCCTGCTTTTTTTTGTTTTCCATTTGCTTGGTAGATCTTCCTCCATCCCTTTATTTTGAGCCTATGTGTGCCTCTGCACGTGAGATGGGTCTCCTGAATACAGCACACTGATGGGTCTTGACTTTTTATCCAATTTGCTAGTCTGTGTCTTTTAATTAGAGCAATTAGCACATTTACATTTAAGGTTAATATTGTTATGTGTGAATTTGACCCTGTCATTATGATGTTAGCTGGTTATTTTGCTTGTTAGTTGATGCGGTTTCTTCCTAGCATCGATGATCTTTACAATTTGGCATGTTTTTGCAGTGGCTGGTACCAGTTGTTCCTTTCCATGTTTAGTACTTCCTTCAGGAGCTCTTTTATGGCAGGCCTGGTGGTGACAAAATCTCTCAGCATTTGCTCATCTGTAAAGGATTTTATTTCTCCTTCACTTATGAAGCTTAGTTTGGCTGCATAGGAAATTCTGGATTGAAAATTCTTTAAGAATGTTGAATATTGGCCCTCACTCTCTTCTGGCTTGTAGAGTTTCTGCTGAGAGATCCACTGTTAGTCTGCTGGGCTTCCCTTTGTAGGTAACCCGACATTTCTAATAAAGAAGAAAAGAGAGAAGAATCAAATAGACGCAATAAAAAAATGATAAAGGGGTTATCACCACTGATCCCACAGAAATACAAACTACCATCAGAGAATACTATGAACACCTCTACACAAATAAACTAGAAAATCCAGAAGAAACGGATAAATTCCTGGACACATACACCCTCCCAAGACTAAACCAGGAAGAAGTTGAATCTCTGAATAGACCAATAACAGGCTCTGAAGTTGAGGCAATAATTAATAGCCTACTAATCAAAAAAAGTCCAGAACCAGACGGATTCACAGCCAAATTCTACCAGAGGTACAAGGAGGACCTGGTACCATTCCTTCTGAAACTACTCCAATCAACAGAAAAAGAGGGAATCCTCCGTAACTCATTTTATGAGGCCAGCATCATCCTGATACAAAAGCCTGGCAGAGACACAACAAAAAAAGAGAATTTTAGACATATCCCTGATGAACATCGATGCAAAAATCCTCAATAAAATACTGGCAAACCAAATCCAGTAGCACATCAAAAGCTTATCCACCATGATCAAGTGGGCTTCATCCCTGGGATGCAAGGCTGGTTGAACATGTGCAAATCAATAAACGTAATCCATCACATAAACAGAACCAAAGACAAAAACCACATGATTATCTCAATAGATGCAGAAAAGGCCTTCGACAAAATTCAGCAGCGCTTCATGCTAAAAACTCTCAATAAATTAGGTATTGATGGGACATATCTCGAAATAATAAGAGCTATTTATGACAAACCCACAGCCAATATCATACTGAATGGCCAAAAACTGGAAGCATTCCCTTTGAAAACCGGCACAAGACAAGGATGCCCTCTCTCACCACTCCTATTCAACATACTATTGGAAGTTCTGGCCAGGGCAATCAGGCAGGAGAAAGAAATAAAGGGTATTCAAATAGGAAAAGAGGAAGTCAAATTGTCCCTGTTTGCAGATGACATGATTGTATATCTAGAAAACCCCATCATCTCAGCCCAAAATATCCTTAAGCTGATAAGCAACTTCAGCAAAGTCTCAGGATACAAAATCAATGTACAAAAGTCACAAGCATTCTTATACACCAATAACAGACAAACAGAGAGCCAAATCATGAGTGAACTCCCATTCACAGTTGCTTCAAAAAGAATAAAATACCTAGGAATCCAACTTACAAGGGATGTGAAGGACCTCTTCAAGGAGAACTACAAACCACTGTTCAACGAAATAGAAGAGGACACAAACAAATGGAAGAACATTCCATGCTCATGGGTAGGAAGAATCAATATTGTGAAAATGGCCATACTGCCCAAGGTAATTTACAGATTCAATGCCATCCCCATCAAGCTACCAATGACTTTTTTCACAGAATTGGAAAAAACTACTTTAAAGTTCATATGAAACCAAAGAAGAGCCTGTGTTGCCAAGACAATCCTAAGCCAAAAGAACAAAGCTGGAGGCATCATGCTACCTGACTTCAAACTATACTGTAAGGCCACAGTAACCAAAACAGCATGGTACTGGTACCAAAACAGAGATATAGACCAATGGAATAGAACAGAGCCCTCAGAAATAATACCACACGTCTACAACCATCTGATCTTTGACAAACCTGACAAAAACAAGAAATGGAGGAAGGATTCCCTATTTAATAAATGGTGCTGGGAAAACTGGCTAGCCATATATAGAAAGCTGAAACTGGATCCCTTCCTTACACCTTATACAAAAATTAATTCAAGGTGGATTAAAGACTTAAATATTAGACCTAAAACCATAAAAACCCTAGAAGAAATCCTAGGCAATTACCATTCAGGACATAGGCATGGGCAAGGACTTCATGTCTAAAACACCAAAAGCAATGGCAACAAAAGCCAAAATTGACAAATGGGATCTAATTAAACTAAAGAGCTTCTGCACATCAAAAGAAACTACCAGCAGAGTGAACAGGCAACCTACAGAATGGGAGAAAATTTTTGCAATCTACCCATCTGACAAAGGGCTAATATCCAGAATCTACAAAGAACTTAAACAAATTTACAAGAAACAAATCAAACAACCCCATCAAAAAGTGGGCGAAGGATATGATCAGGCACTTCTGAAAAGAAGACATTTATGCAGCCAACAGACACATGAAAAAATGCTCATCATCACTGGCCATCAGAGAAATGCAAATCAAAACCACAGTGAGATACCATCTCACACCAGTTAGAATGGCGATCATTAAAAAGTCAGGAAACAACAGGTGCTGGAGAGGATGTGGAGAAATAGGAACACTTTTACACTGTTGGTGGGACTGTAAATTAGTTCAACCATTGTGAAAGACAGTGTGGTGATTCCTCAAGGATCTAGAACTAGAAATACCATTTGACCCAGCCGTCCCATTACTGGGTATATACCCAAAGGATTATAAATCATGCTGCTATAAAGACACATACACATTTATGTTTATTGTGGCACTATTCACAGAACCAACCCAAATGTCCATCAATGACAGACTGGATTAAGAAAATGTGGCACATATACACCACGGAATACTATGCAGCTGAAAAAGGATGAGTTCATGTCCTTTGTAGGGACATGGATGAAGCTGGAAACCATCATTCTCAGCAAACTATTGCAAGGACAAAAACCAAACACCACATGTTCTTACTCATATGTGGGAATTGAACAATGAGAACACTTGGACACAGGAAGGGGAACGTCACACACCAGGGCCTGTTGTGGGGTGGGAGGAGGGGGGAGGGATAGCATTAGGAGATATACCTAGTGTTAAATGACGAGTTAATGGGTGCAGCACACCAACATGGCACATGTATACATATGTAACAAACCTGCATGTTGTGCACATGTACCCTAGAACTTAACGTATAATAATACAAAATAATAATAATAATAACAACAACAACAACAAAGTCAGTTTTAATAGGACAGAAGGGGATGCCACGGCAGGAGTGAAGAGAAGACAGGGAGAGTTATAAAACAGTGGTTTCCAGCCCCTGGGCCACAAAACCATATAGTCTGTGGCCTGTTAAAAACTGGGCCACCCAGCAGGAGGTGAGCAGCAGATGAGTGAGCATTACTGCCTGAGCTCTGCCTCCTGTCGGATCCATGCAGCATTAGATTCTCATAGGACTGCAGACCCTATTATGAACTGCACATGTGAGGGATCTAGGTTACATGCTCCTTATGAGAATCTAACCAATGCCTGGTGATCTGAGGTGGAACAGTTTCATCCCAAAACCATTCCCCCAACCCCAGCTGTGGAAAAATTGTCTACCATAAAACTGGTCCCTGGTGCCAAAAAGGTTGGGGACAGGATGGCTGCTGTAAAAGACACGCACTCTGGATACAGCTGCACTGCCCCTGTCCCCATCATATGCACGAGACCCACCTCTACTAGAAACAGATGAGTCGCAGGTGGCCAGTTCAGTTCCTTGTGGTCCAGGAGTCAAAACTGATATGCTGTCATCATATCCACCCAGACCACAAAGTCTCTACCCTTGGTCCAGAGGTGTGGGAATGAGCACCAGCTACAGCTTCCTCTGTTTACAACATCCAAACAAATTTACCTCCTTAACTTTGCTCAAAAGAAAGTTACTGTGGCCGGGCATGGTGGCTTATGCCTGTAATCCACTTTGGGAGGCCAAGACAGGCAGATCACCTGAGGTCAGGAGTTCGAGGCCCACCTGGCCAATGTGGTGACACCCCATCTCTACTAAAAATACAAAAATTATCCAGGTGTGGTGGTGAGTGACTGTAATCCCAGCTACTTGGGACGTGGAGGCACGAGAATCGCTTGAACTCAGGAGGTGGAGGTTGCAGTGAACTGAGATCATGCCACTGCACTCCAACCTGGGCAATAGAGAGAAACTCAGTCTCAAAAAATAAAAAGTTATTGTGTAATATTTACTATATACTAAAAGACATGTGGAACATATATGTAAGTGAGGAAGGGCGGTGACAAAATAGACAGACACCTGCAATCCCATGACCCAAACTAAGAGCTAGAAAATTACCAGTAGCAAGGCGGGGCGCAGTGGCTCATGCCACTTTGGGAGTTTGCCCACAGTGCCTCCCAGCACTTTGGGAGGCGGAGGTGGGCAGATCACCTGAGGTAGGGAGTTCAACACCAGCCTGACCAACATGGAGAAACCCCATATCTACTAAAAATACAAAATTAGCCGAGCGTGGTGGCGCATGCCTGTAATCCCAGCTACTCGGGAGGCTGAGGCAGGGGAATTGCTTCAACCTGGGAGGCGGAGGTTGAGCCAAGATCGAGCCATTGCACTCCAGCCCGGACAACAAAAACGAAACTCCATCTCAAAAAAAAAAAAAAAAAAAAAACAATTACCAGTAGTAGGACATTTAACCTTTTTCTTTCTTTTTTCAAAATTTCTAGTGTGGAGAATTAGTTCAGTCAAAGTATATCTATAGACTTGGATTGATTGAAATAGACAGTAAATAGACTATAAACAAGTATCCCTCATAGATGGCTGTCTAGTCTTTAATTAAACACTTCAAGTGACAGGATATTCACTACCTCATAATGCAGGTGATGCCATTATTAGACCGCCCCTATCTTTAGAAGGGTCTTCCCTATATCGAACTGAAATCTGCACCCTGAAACTTCCATCCATTATTCTTAGCTTTACGTTTGAGAGACACTGTGGCTCAGATGCAGGCTCTGCAGCGGAGTAGATCTGAGTTGAAGTCTCAGCTCATTTACTTACTGTGATCTTGGACAAATTACTTAACTAACTTATTTTTACCTCAGTTTCATCTTCTGTAAAATGGGAAGAATAATAATACATAGGGCAAGCGAGACCAGACCACACGTGCTGGTCTGGGTTTGAGGATTGGTGGGAATGAAAACTTGGATTTGGCTTGAGTTACTTTGGCTTTCTTTGGGGGTGTGGTGGCCTGAGCCTGTAGTTCCAGCTATTTAGGAGGCTGAGACAGAAGAATCACTGGAGGTCAGGAGTTCCAGACCAGCTTGGGCAATATAGTGAGAACACATCTCTAAAAAGAAAAAAAAGAAAGAAAATTACTTTAGCTCTTGTGTATTGTCTGAATCAGGAACATGGTCAGTTGTAATTTACAGAAACTGAAAAATACAATGACTTATACAAGATAGAGGTTTAGGGGTTTTTTGTTTGTTTGTTTTGGTTTAGTTTTTAGAGAAGCAGTCTCATTTTTGTTGTCCAGGCTGCTCTTGAACTCCTGGGCTCCAGCGACCCTCCTGCTTCAACCTCTGGAGTAGCTGGGACTACAGGTGCATGCACACCACTGTGAAGCTCTAGGATTTTTTTTTCCCTAGGGAAAGGGAAGTAGGCTGTCCAGAGATGGTATTTTTCTGCTCCACCAGTTTTAGGCCCTGGTTTCTGTGGCCCAGGATGGCTACTGGGCCACCACTTCCGCGTTCTTGACAGGAAACTGAAGAAGGAGAAAGGACAGAAAGAGTGTGTGCTAGATCCTGTCTTCCGTTCAAGTGGCTTTCTTACAAATCTTGTAACCCAAGGTCCTCAGTTTTTTGGGTACGTACTGTGAAAAGGTACCTGCTTGTAACTGTTGCATCTTGAGTTCTTGTTGTTTCAAGAAGTTCCAGGAAGAAGCTCAGCCCCAAAAAAACAAAAACTGGTTGGATCTAGAGATGCCTGAGTTGGAGATGAACTTTAGTGAAGTCTCCTCATTACCGTACCAAAAACCCTGCCCAGGGAGGAGCTTATCACCATTTTCTATATGAATGATGTGTGTAGAAGCATGATCAGTTACTGTGTTGTCTTTACTCTACCTCTACATACAAAAACTCAGCTAACCAGTCCAATAAAAGCCCTATTTTCACCAGTGTTTGGGAAGGCGCTGCTTTGTGGGACTATCCCCGGTATCCTCCTTACTTGTTCTAAGTAATAAAATTCCCTTGTTTAATTCTCCTTGGTTAGGTCATTGGACTGTCACCTGTGAAGCTATTGAATCCATCTGTTATGTGAATAACAATCCCATGTAACAATGTACACTCACGTGTCACTGGACAGAGCTGAGCCACATGGCCATTCTTGGCTATAAGGCAGGCTGGGAAATACAGTCTTTTAGCTAGAACATTACCACCCCAGATAAGGTTAGGATTCTGATGCCAAGAAAGAAGAAAGGAGTGGATATTGAGCAGGCAAACTGCAGTCCCCACCACATGATTGAATCAGCAAATAAGCAGTACAAAGTTTATAGACATCTTTGCTATGTTGTATCTGTCTATCTATCTACCTATCTATCTTCTATATGGATATACAACATAGCAAAGATGTCTCTCCCTCTTTATATATATATATATATATACACACATATATGTATCTACATACGTACATCTTTGCTATGTATTTATCTCTTTCTCTATACATATACACACACATATGGAGAGAGATCTATATATCTATATATCTATATCTATGTCTATATCGAGAGAGAGAGAGAGATTTTAAGGAATTGGCTCATGTTATTGGCTAACAAGTCCAAAATCTGCAGCACAGGCTGGCAGGCTGGAGACCCAGGGACGAACTGATGTTTGCAGCTCAAATCTGAAGTTAGTCAGGAGACAGAATCCTTCTCCCTCGGGGGACCTCAGTCTTTTCTCTTAAAGCATTCAACAGATTGGATGAGGCCCACATTATGGAGGGTAATCTGCTTAACTCAGTCTGCAGATTTACATGCTAATCATATTTAAAAATGGCTTCACAGGCCGGGTGTGGTGGCTCACACCTGTAATCCCAGCACTTTGGGAGGCCAAGGCGGGCGGATCATGAGGTCAGGAGATCGAGACCATCTAACATGGTGAAACCCCAACTCTACTAAAAATACAAAATTAGCCGGGCAAGGTGGTGGGTGCCTGTACTCCCAGCTACTCGGGAGGCTGAGGCAGGAGAATGGCGTGAACCTGGGAGGCGGAGCTTGCAGTGAGCTGAGATCGTGCCACTGCACTCAAGCCTGGGCGACAAAGCGAGATTCTGTCTCAAAAAAATAAATAAAGAAAGAATAAAAATAAAATAAAATAAAAAATAAAAATGGCTTCACAACAACATCTAGACTGGTGTTTGACTGGGTGCCACAGCCTAGCCAAGCTGACGTAAAATTAACCATCACACATGGTTGCAGATGCAAGCAGATCTGGCTGCCTGGTGGCTGTTTGTTTCTAATGGATTCAGTGGAGATGAGTTCAGTGGGTTCACCAGCTTATACAGAGAAGGGACTCACCAGGTCAGAAAAGCCCAGAGCCCTGGGTTGTTGCCTTTTGCATCTTCTAAGGCTGGAGGTACAGAGGGAGAGTGTGGGGATGCATGGCACTTAGGGGCCACATTGTTTCCTGGAAAGTAGTTCTTGTGTCAGGGTCACAAAACCTAGTTAGTTCATGTTTTATTTCTTATGGCCCCTAAGGCCTGCACATGGGCACACTGTAGAGTTGTGTTGTGGACTGAGTCAGCTCTGTCCCGTAGAACTGCCTCAGCACAGTGCTTGGAACAGGCTGGGTCCCCAACAAATGCTAGTCGAAAAGCTGTAGTTCCTTAGAAATATTTGACTATAGTTCCACGTGCTTTCATAAGTATTTCTTCTTCTAAACATACCTGATTTCAGGCTTAGGTCTTTGTAACCTTGACTACACATTGTAATTTTGGAGGTGGGAGGCGAGGGTGGGAGGAGAAATGGGAATGGGTGAGAGGACTTTCTCATTTTAGCAGATGTTAGTGGGCACTGTAGCTAAATACATCTCTAACACATGGGGAATGTTATGTTTAAGTTGAATAACACAAGGAGTTTGTTTATATGCAGTTAGATAGCTCTCTCTCTGTAGAGGAAAGAAATCTTTTTTTCACCAGGAACACTTATTTTGTGGGTGTGCAGCTTCCTCCCACTTCTCCTTGGTTTGATGTGGTGACAACTCATTTCACAGACAGCACAACTGCAGACAGACCAGATCAGAGGAAAGGAGAGGAAGGGGTAGACTGAATATGTGGTATTTGGTGATATTGTGTAGCTAAATGGCAACTCTACTCTACTTTTCCTGAAATCCTTCAGGTATAAAGTTCAGGGAGAGTTGATACCTGATTAATACGTATAAAGAGGTTAATATAATGTACTTGCAATTACAAATGGTGAGTTATTCTCCTACTTGCTTTCTTATGCCAAGTAAGTAAGTCTTACCTTAATGACAGGAATAGTGAAATGGAGCAGGGTAGGCGGAATACATTTCAGAAGTTACATTACTTAACAATAACAAAATATATATGTACATATTCAATTTGAAACTTCCCTTTGGTTTTCATAGCCCATCTGCAGAAGGCCACCCAATTAGTTAAGAAGAAAAGGGGTTGGAGATCATGGCTGGTTATTTTATGTGCACTGAAATGGAGGAAATGGCCACAGTTGCTTAGCCAGGGGTGTACAAACCCTGCCCCCCAGCACCGCCATTAGACTAAAAAAGGCATCTTATAGCATCAAACAACTTAAAGAGATGTAATAAGGAAACTGCTTCCTTTGCACATCTGTGAAGAACATCTGGCTCTACGGTGAGCCCTGGCAACTTTAACAGTTAGTTGGTGGCCCACAGATTAAAAGGGAGGCAAACCCTCCAGTCATCAGGCTCGTCTGCAGAGTTTCTTGGTGGCATAACCACGAAGCCTAAGGGTAAAAAGCATCTGGTGCCTTTTTCTGCTGCGCACTTCGC
The DNA here is from genome assembly GCF_000001405.40 of Homo sapiens. Lineage (NCBI taxonomy): Eukaryota > Metazoa > Chordata > Mammalia > Primates > Hominidae > Homo > Homo sapiens. The sequence continues at coordinate 58,599,428 of NC_000014.9, forward strand.
CCGTGCTGAGCTTATTCCCTGACCACAGACTTAAAAGACAGGGGCTTACGGAGACTCAGGCGCTGGCCTCAGAAAGCAGTACATCTGAACTCTGCCCTAGAGGCTCTTCATCCTAGCACTGTGGGGCTGTTTGGGGGTCAATCCCTCAATTATTACTTCATCTCTTTTGTGGTATAGGATTATTGAAGACACGTGCCTTGTTGTATTTTCCAAAGATGGCCACAACAATATCTCTCATCCCACATGCTCATCTGCAATATGACCTCTCCTCTCCCATCGAGATGCAGTCTTATTTCTCTCCCCTTGAATCTAAGCTGGCCTCAGTGACTCACCTGCAGCCAATAAAATGTTGTGGAGGTGATGTGGAGTGACTTCCAAGGTTAGGCCAGAAAAAGCCATGCAGCTTTCTCCTGGCTCTCTTGGAAGGTTTGCTTTTCAGACATTCCCTCCTGAGATGCTCTGTTATAGGACCAGCTGCCATGCTGTGGGAAACCTACATCACGTGGAGGGCCAAATGCAGGTGCTCCTGTCAACAGTCTCAGCAGAATCTGGCCTTTCAGTCATTTTAGCCTTGACACCAGATATATAAGGGAAGAAGCCTCCAGATAGTTCCAGCCCCAACTGAGTTTTTAGCAGGGGTCCAGACATTGTGGAACGGAGACAGTTCATCCCTGCTGTAACATCCAAATTCCTGACCCACAGAATCTTTGAGCACAATAAGATGGCTGTTTTATGTAAGTTTGAGGTGGTTTGTTACACAGCAATAGATAATTGGAGCATGCACATAAGAGATACTTTTGGAGGAATCTGAAAGCAGGCTATTAATCAGAATGCCCCACTTCCCCTCCCCTATACCAGGACACTTTTCTGCGTGTCCAGCACTGTATTGCACAATGTCTAACTTGTAAGAGAGGTATAGTTACCCCCAGCCTCTCCTTTGTAAGCAATGGAAAAAGATGCCCATTCCCCTGAGACAATGCAGCCCTACCCCACAACACATAGCCTGGCAGGCCAAGTGCAGGTTCCCATCCCATTGCCTCCCCAGCCTGGCTGGATATCTTGTGCAGTGCAGGAACTATACAATTGTATACAGCAACCTTGAAGAAGTGTAAAGTAAGCTCTCTGTCCTCAAGGAATTTACATTCTTATTGATGATATAAAATATGTGTAGTTTAAGATGGAAAAGTTTTAAATGCTAAATCATGAAATAATACTGATTCTACAAAGAATTTTGCAAAAATAACAAAAAATATGGAGCTATAGAAAAAGCACTGGACTTTTAAGTAGGAGATCTGGGTAGAAGAGCCAAGCTCAAGCCATGTCCTGCATGATGCTAGCATGGCCTTACTTGGTGCCTGGGAATAGGCACTTGAGTTCTTTGGGCTTCAGTTTCCTTTACCTGGGGAATGAAGTTGGTCTAATTGGTGCTTCTCAAACGTTTCTGTTGTGATATCCTTATGGCATAACAGAATGGTGTCTGAGGGTTTAATCTGGATTGCCTGGCAAGAACTGGACTTAAAAAAACTGCACAAACCCTTGATTTGTTCAGATGACTCACTTCTCATTGCCTTTAGTTTTCAAGAAAAAAAAATGACCTTAGTGGAAAAGTCTTCCTCAACCACTGTATTTCAAAAAGCACAGCTCCTTCACCATTACCATTCTCTATCTGTGGTACGTTAAAGATGGCCACAGATTCTTTAATACTCTTCCTGTTGAGAGGGAGGTCTATGTCCACTTAAATCTAGGCAGGTTCAGTGGTTTGAGCAATGGAATATAGCAGCAGTGGTGCTGGACTAGTTTTCAGGTTGAGGTCTTAAGAGATTGGCAGCTCCCACTTCCTGACTCTTGGAACAGTTTCTCCAGGAGCCCTGAATTTGATGTCTTGAGACCACCATGCTGAAGTGACCAAGTGTAGGTGCTCCAGTCAACAGTTCCGGCTGAGCCCTACCTTCTGATGATTCCCACCAAGGCATCAGACATGTGAGCAAACCCACTTTGGACTCTCAAGATAGGTCCATCTGCCAGTTGATGCCACTGAGTAGAAGGACCACCCAACTGAAGCCTGCTGGAATATCTGGCCCATAAAATTGTGAGATATCATAGAACAGTTCTTATTTCGAATAACTAGGTCTTGAGGTTGTTTGTTACACAGCACTAGATAACTGGAACGTGAACGCTCAACCTGCTTTGCTTTCTTTACCAGGAGTGCTGTCTTGGATCTAGCTCACACTGGATCACAGGAAGTTAAATTTTCAAGAATTGTATGAGCCAGTTATTAAATAAAGCCACCATCAGGAATTGAATGATTTAACTTCCAATTAAATTAATTATATTAAAAATGAAGTTAATAAATTCTCAAAACTCATCACTTCCTAGTCTTTTACTACATATTTCTCTTATGCTCTTGAGATTATTAATGTCTATGATATCTGTGTGGTGGAAACACTCTACAGTCAGGCCCTACTGCACTCTCCCAACTCCCTATCCAATGACATTGCATTGGTAGCTTGAAATTAATCGTGGTAGAACTATTTACACCACAGAAATTTTCCAATGCCTCTCAGAAAACTGGTTGTTAGACATTTATACCAGCACACCACTACCATTGTTTACTGCATTTATAACCATCTGATACAATTGTTACTTATTAATTATTTGCTTATTCCACACCCCCGACCCCTGCCAATGGAATACAAGCTTCTGGAGAGGAGGAGCTCTGTCTTTTTATTCATCACTATCTCCCCAGAACTTAGAAGAGTGCCAGGCACAGAGGTGTTCAGTAAATACTAATTGAATGAAGGCATCCTCCTCCTGTTGTTTGCTACATCCCACTTCTTGGAGACTGCTGGCTTCCTTCTCAGCAGCTGTGTGACTCTACCCCGCTGGCCATAGACACCTGATTCAAGCGGGACCAGTGAGCATCCCTGAACTGCACATATGGAATTGGGTGAGACAATGCTTTTGCAGAGAGGGAGAGGGGGACACAGTGAGAGCACAAGCCAGCAATTGGAGTGACTGGTACTTTAAAATGTGAATTTGGAAGCTATGGACAACCATTTTCAATTCACCATGAGGAATGAGTAGTAAAAATAAGAAGCCCTTCTTGCAAGAAGAATGAAGCCACTTCTCAGAGAGACACCATGATGAGACAGAGGAAGGGAGAAGACTCCCTGGTCTTTGCCCCTCCTGGGTCTCATGGATTTTTGCCCTTTAGTTCTGTGAGACTCCACTGTCTTTACAATACATTTTCCTCCCCTATATTCACTAACTTGAGTTGATTTTTGCAACCCCGTGTCTTAACAAACATAACCTCCATGCTTGTTTTAATATAGTCTCTCAAATTATTTATAATCATCAAAAAAAAATACCTAGCAAAAATATTTCCTAGGGATCCTTTGGGCAAGTTTAGGAGGCTGAGTCTTATTCAGTCTATGAAGTCAAAAACATGTACATTAGGATTGGCACCAGTAATTTCTCTTGTCTTTCTCAAAGTCATAGTCTGTTGAGAATTAGGTTAAAATGCAACTGTGGGTTCGAATAGCAACAATTTTCTTTTTCAAAGTTTGCAATTCTTTTTTTTTTTTTTTTTTTTTTGAGACAGGCTGGAGTGCCATGGTGCGAACTTGGCTCACTGCAACCTTCGTCTCCGAGGTTCAAGCGATTCTTCTGCCTCAGTCTCCTGAGTAGCTGGGACTACAGGCGTGCATCACCATGCCTGGCTAATTTTTGTATTTTTTGTGGAGACAGGGTTTCACCATATTGCCCAGGGTGGTCTCGAACTCCTGGCCTCAAGCAATCTGCCTACCTCGGCCTCCCAAAGTGCTGGGATTACAGGTGTGAACCACCACGCCCAGCCTACAAGTTTGCAATTCTTATTAGGGCAATGACTGTGGAAAGGACACTGAGAATTGACATGGTATGCAGTTCTGCATTGGAGGAAATTTTACTTAACTAGATCTTCTTTTAATATGGTCAGTTTGGGGGAGGGTAAGTCTGATTCCTGATGGTCTCACTTGTCAAAGAAATACTGGTCAAAGGACTTTTTCGTGAACAACTATGATTTAGGATGTTAGCCAGGTGCAGTGGCTCACGCAGGTAATCCCAGCACTTTGGGAGGCTGAGGCGGGTGGATCATCTGAGGTCAGGAGTTCGAGACTAGCCTGGCCAACATCGTGAAATCCCGTCTCTACTAAAATTACAAAAATTAGCTGGGTGTAGTGGCGTGCGCCTGTAATCCCAACTACTTGGGAGACTGAGGCAGGAGAATCGCTTGAACCCAGGAGGCGGAGGTTACAGTGAGCCGAGATCGGGCCATTGCACTGCAGCCTGGGCCATAGAGTGAGACTCCATCTCAAAAAAAAAAAAAATTAGGATGTTATTCTTAATTTTGCCACTTAACTCTGAAATTTTTATCACAAGTAAATGAACTAAAAGTCTCAAACAACACATACTCCCCACGATCAATACTTCATGGGTCCTTAGGTTTCATTTCCCTCACAGTAGCTGTCTCGTGTGCAGGGAAGGCATTTATAGCCTGTCCTCAGATTGGACGATGGAGAGCAGTCAGCCTCACTGTTTGCCAAGTAAGCCAGGGTTGGGAGGCACTCGTGATCAGGTTGAACAATGATTTTCATTCCCCCATCCTGGTGTTTCCTCTTTGTTTTGGTGTCTTTTATTTTATTCCCACATGAAGAAACAAAACAATTCAGTTTTAAATTTGTATTCTGCACTTTTTCTTGATTATGTCGGTCTGTATTTTTAAGAAAAAAGGGGTTTCGAAGTTACCTCTCATTTGATCACCATTCTGACCGAACCAATTCGTAACCCAACCATTGTCTTGTTGCTGTTGGATATTTGTTAGATTATTAAAAATTATATTTCACTACTTCACTGATATTAAGGAAAACAAGAAGTGAACACTGAGTGGCTGGGAAGTGCTGGGACAGTGCCCCTCCATCCCAGAACTTTGGCTTATTTGAATTAAAACAGATCTTTCTTACCCACATCAATGACATATTCCGGGAATCACCACCACCACCACAGAAAGAGGCTGGAGGCTCTCCGTACCCTGTTCATTCCTTAAGGGCCCTGCTTCCCTTATTACGTTAGTCTATGGCCCTAAATATGCAAATGAGAGTTGAAGGTTTTTAAAAGGTAGAAAGGAAACGATTTACTAATTTATTTTCTGCTTATATTTCTTGTGGAGAGAGTAAGGATAGAACCAACAAGGGGCGGAGTAGCTGAGAAAGGGGCCACCTAAGAGTGAAACATACTTTATACCAGAGGAGCAGGGAGCCTAATGCAGCACATTATCATTTGTTATTTGGGTTTAATAATTTTGACATCTTTTCACTCATACACAAAAAGTCAGAACTGGTTTTATTTACTGTTGATTTCATCCTCCTGTGGATGAAATAACTGAAGCCTAAAGGAATGGACTAGTGCTACTGACCTGTTTGTTTAAATTATTTTTGTGTTAATAGTACACTTTGAGTATCTTTTTCCACATTACAAACTTTCTGAATTATAAATGTTTTCCTTACATTATTTAACAATGTACACTTTAAAAAATATAAAAGTTCAAACTTCAGGGGTTTCTCAGCAGTCATTAATTGTACATTTTGCACTAACTCTGGGTGTTGCGTTTCTTGTAAGATCGCGCTTTGTGCTTCAGTTTGTTACCTTTGTAGACTTATTTAATGAAATCATTCAAATAAACCAAACTTGCTTTTGTTGAAAAATAAAAATAAAAAAATAAATAAAACAGATCTTTCTGCATCAGAGGGAAGGAAGGGTTTTGACATGAACTGTTGAATGGCACCTTCCAGGTCATTCTGAAACTTACCTTGAAGGAAGCTTTGCATGCTGATTGTATTTGCTCTTAATTGTGCTATTCTTAGCCAAGCCTTCTCCCTTTTATGTTGCCAAAAACTATGTTGCTTTTCCTTCAAAATCTACATAATTGTTAAAAAAAATTTAAATACTTTCAAGCCTTTAGTCAAGTGCAGAGAGCAACATAACCAATACCTACGACTTACCACCCAGGTTTAACAAATATTTACCTTTGGCCATAATGACTTGAAGTCCTTCTTAACGAAACCCAATATTACAGATGGAAATAAAGCCTCTTTTGTAGCCTCTCCTTTCCTATTCCTCTCCCTTCCTCATGACTGGTTTTAAGATGTCACCACAAGAGTGACGGCTTCATGTCATTATTCCTCAGGGCTTTCTCACATCTGAGGCACTATGATTTAGGGCCATTTACATCTCCACGATCATAAAAGCCACTTTTGAAATGAGCATCCAGGTACATAGCCTATGCTTTGCAGAGTGACAACTGCAACTTCCTACAGATGGACTAATTGTCGTGGGACTGTGCTCTTCTTTTTGTCTCCAGTGTCTGGTGGGGGTCCTCAGGCACCTCATGTCTGTCAGAGCCTTCATGGTTTCCTTGGTTCTGAATTTCTCATGTATTCCATAATTTCATCCATGTTCCATTTACACTTCAAACTTCCCCCGACTCGTGTTCCCCACTGCAAATTATTACACTTCTAGTAAGGTAAATGAAGAGTGACACAAAAGTTACGAAGCCAAGAATTTTCAATATGCCTGTGCTACAGGAAACTCCAGAGGCCCTTTGGTGATCTGGGTGAGGGAGAAACAGTCAAATGCCCCATCTCCTTACTCCCTGAGAAGTGTGATTCTCCACATAGATAGACCCTCTGCCGTGTCTCAGCTACAGATATGGGCCGACACCATTCAGCCCTCATGCTCAGTTTCAAGAAGGCGAATCTCATTTAAGATTAATGAAGATAGCCAGGTGCAGTGGCTCACATCTGTAATCACAGTACTTTGGGACGCCGAAGCAGGTGGATCACCTGAGGTCAGGAGTTTGAGACCAGCTTGGCCAACATGGTGAAACCCTGTCTCTACTAAAAATACAAAAAATAGCTGAGTGTGGTGGTGCACGCCCGTAATCCCGGCTACTCGGGGGGCTGAGGCAGGAGAATCGCTTGAAACCAGGAGGCGGAGGTTGCAGTGAGCCAAGATCGCACCACTGCACTCCAGCCTGGGTGACAAAGCAAGAGCGCAAGACTCTGTCTCAAAAAAAAAAAAAAAGATGAATGAAGACTTTAGAGGAAAATTGCAAACCACCTGCCACAGGGAAGAACTTATCTCTGAGGTGCAGTTTACCAACTCTGATTCCCAAGCAACACAATGTGAAAGCGTGGAGGAAACAGAAGAGCTCATTCAAGTGATATGTGTCCCAGGCATCCAAAATTGGCAAAAGGAACTCCATTTCTGTAGGACGGAAAGCTGGACTCAACTTTCACTATGTCACTAACATCAGGAGAAACAAAAAGTGAACTCAGTGTTGAGCGGCTGCTGGGAAGTTCAGGGCAGGGCCCCTTCATCTCGGAACTTCTGTTTGTTTAAATTGGGCCTTTGTGCCCAAGGACAACTTTCCCTTCACCACATAGCAGGTGGCCTCCCAGAAATGCTTCCAGGAACCCACTTCCTTGTCTGGGTTATTCTGGCCCATGCACGTATGCAAGGTGCCAGTACTGGTGTGGGGGCCAGTCAAGAAGATCACAAATATAATAGCTAGCTAGAGTGCTTAACATGTGCCTGGCACTGCCCAAAGTCATTTATCTACTTTAGTTCTTATCATTCCCATAACAACCCTATTAGCAGGTACTGTTAGCATCCACAAGGTCACACAGGAGTACAGTGGAACTAAGGCAGTGTAACCCCGGAGCCTGGGACTGGGGGTCATGCTGCTGCGTCCCCTTCCACACAGCTCTAGGACAATTACCATAAAACCACCTCGGCAGCCAGACGCTGCTAATAGCTAACTGTCTAGCAAAGGCTGCATTGTCTTTGCAGCCTTAAACACAGCCCTTTTAATTGGAATTGCTTCCTAATTCAGCTTCATATATCTTCTCTCCCCTCACACAAAAGAATCCATTGTGCGGATCTCAGGAACACAATGGATGCTCCTTTGATATACTTTGCATGTAAATGTGAGGAACAAGACTCATTTGATTTCATTATATCCTTTATTGATGTGCCTGCAGCATTTTATTGTAGGTTTTTGTGACTAGAATTCCTAACAAAGGAGGGAGTGGGCTTCTAAGCTGGCAGCTCAGCAGAGAGAGGATTTACCACATCGGGCTCTAAAGGGACACTCAACTCATTGCTGTTGTAGTTTCCAGGCTTTTTAAAGGGCTAGGTGTTTTTAGGAGCTGGTGCTGTTCTATGCCAGTAAAAATGTTGTCAAGGCATGAGATGAATGCAAGATATTATCTTTGCTGCTATGCATTGGGTGGGGAATTTATTACAATTGCCTGAAAAGAGAGTCTGGCTGACATCGTATTACTGGGGGAATGTGCTTGTGTGCCCAAAACTGACAGAAATCCTGTGTGTCTGCTCAGTAGAGGACACACAGAGCTGGTACCTAATCCTTCCTACTGCAGTGACAGGCTCCTGGGACTATAGAACAGGGTTAATTATTCCCAACATTCTTCATTATAATTCTAAATGAGATAATGATTAGAAATGGTACACAGTCATTGAACTAAAAATGCCCAAGGCATTTGCTGCTGGAGAAACTCGCACTTTCCCTATGACATGCTTATTTCCTTAAATCCTTTTTTTTTTTCCTCCGGGGTTGAGTCAATCTTTTTAATACAGTCATGCATTCCTTAATGATGGGGATGCATTCTGAGAAATGTGTTGTTAGGAAATTTCGTCTTTATGCAAACATCAGAGAGTGTACTTACACAGACCTAAATGGTATAGCCTACTAAATACCTAGGCTATATGGTATAGCCTTTGCTCCTAGGCTACAAACCTGTACAGTGTGTTACTGTATTGAATACTGTAGGCAACTGTAACACAATGGTAAGTATTTGTGTGTCTAAACATAGAAAAAGGTACAGTAAAAATATGGTACTATCTTATGGGAACATTGTTGTATATGCACAATCTGTCATCGAGGCAAGCATCATAATGCGGTACATGCCTAACTGGAGCCTCTAGAACTCCCTTGTGCTAGATGGTAATAGCTAGCAATGATTAAAAACATGCTAAGTATAGGCGTACTTTATCAAAGTCTTGCATTTAATCTTCACACTAACCCTACCAAACTGGGATTTTATTATTCCAATTTTACAGATAAGAGGTGGGCACAGAGTGGTTAAGAGCTTTCCCTGGTGAACACAGGTAGTATGCCAAGGTTCCAGGACTTCAACCCATTAAAGTCTGATTGCAAAATGTAGGATACTGTCTCATAAGACCGTGAGCTCTCTTTCCTTAACATCCTGGCTCGAAGGTAGGCCTGTATCCTATTCAGGAGCCTCCAGTGTCTATAGCCCTCCTGGTGGACATAGCTTTCTAGAGGCCCGTCAGCCTCCCTTTTTCGGTGTCCCAGATCAATCTGTGTTCATGCTGCTATCTTCCAGCAAGGCTCATCTGGGACTATCCCACATCAGCTGAGGTTTCTATGGACAACTGCACTTCATGAAAATGAATCCAAAGTAGTTTTTGGTTACCTGTTCTCCAGTTTAAGAAATCCTGATATTAAAAAATCCGTATCGGTACAACAGAAGCTTTAGGTTGCCTAATTATACACACTCCAAAAAGCTAATTTGCGTTACTTTGATTTACTGCAGAGTTTCTTCAAATGTTGAGCTCTCTGATGCATTTAAAGTGATGTTCAATTGATGACAAAATTTATTCACAGCTTTTAGGAGCTAAAGCATAACATAAACAGCCTGCTTTAAGTAAACTTTTAAATATATTCATATATTTCCTATAACCTAGGATCTCCAATGCTAAAAATTACTAGAGATTTTTCAAGGCTTCTACACATCAGTGGAGCCCAATTCTTTCCCCTACCCTTTCATTCCATTTCAAAATGGAGTATCAGAATGATAGAAAAATCAGTAATCAGGTAATGCTTTTCAGTGACCCCAGGGCTAACACACTGCTTTCTTTAACTATTTGAAAGATCTTCACATTTTCTAGCTGGTTGGAGAGTTGGGTGAGAGCAGTACAGAGGGTGTAAATACTATTATCTTTCAAAGACATTGCAAAGGAGCCAGCATTGCTGACTAATGCATGTAGACACTTTGGAAGATAATCAGTAACCTTAAGATTAAGTTTTTTCTCTTTGTTTTGCAAAAAGATGTCTGAATTACATAGCAAACCAGCTACGATTAGGGATGTGCTTCAGATAATAATCGAATGAGTGATAGTTTTTATTTCAGATCTGAAAAGGAATCTGTTACTGCTTTTCTCACTTCTGTCTCCCCATCAAGTGGCAGTGCCATGCTGTGGCTCTTAGCAGCTGTGCATTTCCAGTTAGCTTTAATTATCATCAGGCTCATCATGTTTTTGGTAGGTTGGTAGGTTCCCTATTTGGCCTTCACCCCTCATTTTCAAGCCCTTTTATTGAGTCTTCTATTGCTTGTAGCAAATTACCAGGAACACAGTGCCTTAAGATAGCATATACGTATGATCTCACAGTTCCATGGGTCAGAAATCTGGACACTGCTTAGCTGGCTTCTCTGCTCAGAGTCTCACAAGGCTGAAATCACAGTGTCAGCTGGGGCCAGAGTATCACCTGAGACTCAAGATCCTCTTCAATTTCATGTAGTGGTTGGCAGGATTCATTTTTTTGCAGCTATAGAATTCATGGCAGTTTTCTACTGCAAATCCAGCATCTCTGAATTTTAGACTCCTTTTAAAGGGCTTGTCAGATTGGGTCAGGCCCATCCAAAATAATCTCTCTTAGATTAATTTAAACTCAACTGGCTAAGGACCTTAATTACATTGGGAAAACCCCTTCATTGCAATATAATGTAACATAATCATGAGAGTGATGCGCCATCACCTTTGCTGTATTCTACTAGCTAGAAGGGATATCTGCACTACTATGTTTATTGTAGCACTATTCACAATAGCCAAGATATGGAATCAACCTAAGTGTCCACCATGGTTGAATGGATAAAGTGTGGTATATATACACAATGAAATATTAGCCATAAAAAAGAATGAAATCCTGTCATTTGCAGCAACATGGATGAAACTGGAGGCCATTATGTTAAGTGAAGTAATCCAGGCACAGAAAGACAAATATCACCTGTTCTCACTCACGTGGGAGCTAAAAAGTGGATCTCATGGAGGTAGAGAGTAGAATGGACAGGCATGGTGGCTGATATCTACAATCCCAGCACTTTGGGAGGCCGAGGCAGGCAGAGTGTTTGAGTCCAGGATTTTGAGACCAGCTTGGGCAATACAGTAAGACCTCATCTCTACAAATAATTTTTTTTTTTTTTTTTTTGAGATGCAGTCTCACTCTGTTGCCAGGCTGGAATGCAGTGGCGTGATCTCAACTCCCTGCAATCTCCACCTCCCAGGTTCAAGCGATTCTCCTGCCCCAGCCTCCCGAGTATCTGGGACCATAGGCGCATGCCACCACACCCGGCTAATTTTTGTGTTTTTAGTAGAGATGGGGTTTCACCATGTTGGCCAGGATGGTCTCGATCTTTTGACCTTGCGATCTGCCGCCTCGGCCTCCCAAAGTGCTGGGATTACAGGTGTGAGCCACTGCACCCGGGCATCTCTACAAATAATTTTAAAAAATTATCCAAGTATGGTAGTGCATGCTTGCAAGTCTGAGCTACTCGGGATAAAAATCAGTTATATTGATTATCTGGTCTTTCAAAATGATATAATCAGAATAATTATTCTGGCTATATTAATGTGCCTTAATCAGTTTTATAGTATTCTGTCTAATATTATGCCACTGATATTTTTCTTTTTCTTATTCTTTCTTTATACAGACAGGGTCTTACTGTGTTGCCCAAGCTAGTCTTGAACTTCTGGTGTATTAGTCCATTTCACACTGCTGATAAAGACATACCCAAGACTGGGCAATTTATAAAGGAAAGAGGTTTAATTTCCTCACATTTCCACATGGCTGGAGAGGCCCCACAGTCATGGCAGAACACAAAGGAAGAGCAAAGAAGCATCTTACATGGCAGCCAGCAAAGAGAGAATAAGAACCAAGCAAAAGGGGTTTCCCCTTATAAAACGATCAGATCTTATGAGACTTATTCACTACCAAGAGAACAGTATGGGGGGAGCCGCCCCCATGATTCGGTTATCTCCCACCAGGCCCCTTCCACAACACATGGAAATTATGGGAGCTGTAATTCAAGATTAGATTTGGATGGGGACACAGCCGAACCGTATCACCTGGGCTCAAGCAATTGGCCCACCTCAGCCTCCCAAAGAGCTGAGATTATAGGTGTGAGCCACGTACCTGGCCTTACTGGTATTTTTCTGATAAATTTTTTCAATATGGTCTTATTAAATTAAAATTTTTTTTGAGACAGGGTGCCCAAGCTGGAGTGCAGTGACATGATCTTGATGCACTGAAGCCTTGACCTCCCAGGCTCAGTGATCCTCCCACTTCAGCCTCCTGAGTAGCTGGGACTACAGATGCATGACACCATGCCAGGCTAACTTTTTGCATTTTTTGTAGAGACAAGGTTTTGCTGTGTTGCCCAGGCTATAAATTAACTTTTTACATATAATTGCTCAACTCATTTTAAAGATTGCATTTTAGGGTTATAATACATTTTGAAATTGTTATCACCTTTAGTTGATTCTTGTCTGAGAAAATAACTCTGTACAGGTGCTGAGGCACTTGGTAAACTCAGAACGAATTCTGCTAAAAATATACACATTTTCAATTTAATTTTTTATTTGAATTTTCACAAATGAAATATTTAATTTTCAAATTGAATACTTCATCACAAATATTTTCACAAGTGCTATATTTTTGTCTCTATTTAAAGTAAATATTTCAAGTTGGGTACGGGGGGGTCACGCCTGTAAGCACTTTGGGAGGCCAAGGTGGGTGGATCACTTGAGGTCAGGAGTTCAAGACCAGCTTGGCCAACATGGCAAAACCCCGTCTCTACTAAAAATACAAAAATGAGCTGGGCGTGGTGGCACACGCCTGTAATCCTAGCTACGTGGGAGGCTGAGGCAGGAGAATCACTTGAACCTGGGAGGTGGAGGTTGCAGTGAGCTGAGATCGTCTCACTGCACTCCAGCATGGGCAACAGAGTGAGACTTCATCTAAAAAAGTGAAAAGTAAAATAAATATTTCAGCAAATAATTTTATAAATAAAAATTCATTGAAAAAAGTTGTCTCTATTTACCAATCTTTTCTTGAATGTTATACCAAATGTAGGTGCCCCCAAACTGAAGACCTTCTGAATAATTTTCCCATTCTGGTACAGAATATGAATTTATCCAGTTAAAACAGGAATGTTATCAAAAGATATTTCCCACGAGATGATATATTCTGAAGCATAATCATGGATCGTTTGAGCTCTCTTTTCTAGTTTATTCACTTTCCTCTTGCTTTTGTCAGAATACATTTTGATATTTTTCATTTGCAAGCTTTGTTTTCAATAATTGCAATTTATTAAAGCATCAACAGCCTGAAATATTTCACATTTTATTTAATAAGCACTTTGACTTAATATTTCCAACTAATTTTGAATAAAATGCAGGCCAAATTCAGAAGAATTTTTTATATAAATGTTCAATGTCATTGATAGGCACTTAGGTTAATATATAAAATAGTTCTTCAAAGGCTCAAGTATTTCTAAAATTCTACAAATAACAGAAAAAAAGACAAAGCACATAGTGCCATGCTGGCATAATTAAGAGTGTTCAACATCAGCTTTGTAGTTCATAACACTGTATTTAATCATATTTGTTCACTTTATCAACCACAACTTCTTCATTGATTGGTAGAATATCACAACTTGTTTGAATATGACTGTAAATTATAACTACACCAATTCTTAGTACATTTCTGCTCCACAACTGGAGAACACTGTTTTTATCATGACTTTCTGCTCTACCAAAACCTGTATTATTATCACCACAGAAGTAAATTTATTTTCAAATTCCTACTTTTACATAGAATTTTCAAACTCATTCACAATGATATCGGTGTGACAAAATTAACATCTAAAAGCTCTATTTCGATTCCAAGAATTAGATTTTTAAAAATTGACCCAATATTGCAATTAAAAGATTTTCTATTTAAAATAAATAGGCTGGGTGTGGTGGTTCATGCCTATAATCCCAGCACTTTGGGAGGCCAAGAGGGTGGATCACTTGAGGTCAGGAGTTCGAGACCACCCTGGCCAACATGACGAAACCCTGTCTCCACTAAAAATAGAAAAATTAGCTGGGTGTGATGACATGTGGCCGTAATCCCAGCTACTTAGGAGGCTGAGGCACGAGAATCACTTGAACCCGGGAGGCAGAGGTTGCAGTGAGCTGAGATAGTGTCACTGCACTTCATCCTAGGTGACAGAGGGAGACTGTGTCTCAACAACAAAAATAAATAAAGTGAATGATGATGCTGACATAAAACTGGTGATAATTAACTGTGATTCTGTTAATGGAAACAATACATAACATTTCTTGTTTTACTTTTTCTATGTACACAGGGAAACTTAAAATGGAAAAATATATTAAAACATGTCTAGAAGAACATTCATTTGATTGAAACAAAAAGTCAAGCTTCAGAGTGATATGTAAATGGACCTCCTGAAGCTTTAGTGGTTAACTTTTCTGCCAGCACATCCTTAAAAATAACTATTAACCATTGATACCTTTGCTTCCTTGGCAGACTTAGCCTTTTGATTCTCATGTAGGCAATGGTATCATTATGACCCCCATGGAGAATGACAAATGTCAACAAACTTTTTGTCCAAGAAACATGTTCACTATTAACTTTCTTAAATTGGATGTTTAGTACTTAATTTTTCATTAAATTTCACCTCTATTGATTTCTATTTCCTTCTATAGCTCTCATGGCTGTCAAAGGATTTAATGCATATAAACACATTATCAATAAAATAAATAACTGTAGATTTACAGTAAATGGCAAAACCACTATGTAAGGACTTAATCTTGGCTGGGCATGGTGGCTCATGCCTGTAATCCCAGCACTTTGGGAGGCCGAGGCAGGTGGATCACTTGAGGTCAGGAGTTCTAGACCAGCCTGGCCAACATGGTGAAACCCTGTCTCTACTAAAAATACAAAAATTAGCCAGGCATGGTGGCCTGTGCCTGTAATCCCAGCTACTTGGGAGGCTGAGGCAGGAGAATCGCTTGAATCTGGGAGGCAGAGGTTGCCATGAGCTGCGATTGTGCCACTGCACTCCAGCCTGGGCTACAAGAGCGAGACTCCATCTCAAAAGAAAAAAAAAAAAAGAACTTAATCTCTAGACTTTCTCACATATGTTATACACTGCGGTGTCCATACATCCTATGTTTCTCATTGACCCCAGTATCTCCCAGGCTGTGGCACTGGCCATGGCACAAATAGTTGGCACACCAAGTGGCCAGTAGGGCAGCAGCTTCAAATACTTGCCCTGCCACCACCTGAAATCAGGAGTCAGTAGCCATGACAAGGGCTTGCTTGTGTCATGGTGCTCTTTGTTTTATCAGTGGGTGCCCAGCACATATCCTTAAGAGAGAAGTGTTGGTTTTGTGTCACATGGAAAGGTTCAGGAGAAGAGAGACAGAGTGTCACCAGTTGTCTGTCACATTTAACATGGATTAACATGAGAACTGTGTTCACCTCACATGCATATCACACACTATGAGGTGTGACATGGCAGACACTGAAAATACAGAGTGAAAATACAGGAGAATCACTTGAACCCTGGAGGCAGAGGTTGCAGTGAGCTGAGATTGCACCATTGCATTCCAGCCTGGGTGATGGAGTGAGACTCTGTCTTAAAAAAAAAGAAAAGTTAAACAAGATAAATAGCTCTTTACCCCTTTTATGTTGTATCTTGCATTATGATCTCTGCTTTCCTGGAGAGAAAAAGTAATGATTAAATGATTTCAAATTTCAAAAATCTTTTTTTCTATCTGTACGTCCTATTTGTTCTTCAAAGAGCATGTATTATTAACATAATAATAATGAAGAAATAAAGTAAAGGTTGGACTACTAATGTCCAGGTTGATGGAGGGAGGAAAGAATCAATAGCAGAGACAGTGGCCACCAGAAGGAGATCAAGGGCTGCATTTTTCAGTGCCGTGCACAATGCCTGACTCCTAGTAGGTGCTCAAGGACTGCTTAAAGAATGAAAGAATGAATGCTCAAAAGATGCTAGACAGAGTTCACAGCACATGGAAAGAAAGAGAGAGGCTAGAAAGTGACAGGAGAGCTTCCACTTCAGCTAGGGCACATCACAAATCTGACAAAAAAGGACTGATAACCTCCAAATGTGGGAGAAACCTAGGTCAGAAGTGTTACACTAGGCTTAAATGCCAAGATCTCTGCATTCTCCGAGTACGCTTCAGGCCGCTAACATACCTACGTCTATGGAATTGGAAAGCCTGATTATGGCAGGTGAGAAGGTTGCTTTCTACTATTAAGTGATGACAAGGTCTACAATACGCTGAAGCCCCACTAAGCACAGGTACCATAACTAAAAGGAAAGGCCAAGTTCCTAATGTAAACAAAAACAAAAACAAAAAAAAGGAAATTCTATATCCCCCAGAGCTGAGCTGTGCAAGTTTCAAAAGTGATTTGAGGGTGTTTTAGAGTAAACTATTACTCCTATGTGTCAGGTACAGCTTATTGCAAGGGGAGAATGGAGACTGGCTTCTTTGCTAGGCTTCACTAACATGCAATTGTCCAATGAGGCACTATTGTTTGCCCTACTACCAATAATAATTTGTACCACTCCTCAGTCTTTTCTTGAATGCCTGGATAAAAGTCTATCATGTGTACTAAGTATGGTGTGTGCTTCTCCATTATTCATGGGTGTCAACTGCACAGGCACATTTCAATAGTAATTGTTATTATGTAAATAATCGAATCTGAAATTACTAATACATGTAATTTCACCTGAACTAACTGTAATGAATCTTGAGTGTGTAGTTGCATTGACGAGCTTCTTTCCTAGGTGAGGGGCAGCGCTCATGGGCATCCTCACTCTGTGCCCACATGGAATCCACAGGTTTGATAGGTTTTCAGAGAGGCAAGGAAGGCTTTCTTTAAAAGAGCTCTTAAATCTTCAGGTCGATACCCCTTTCCTTCATGGAATTTTGAGTGACCATTATATGAAAACATTTAATCAGTTGTAATGGAGAAGCAGCATACTGTGATTTGAGAAAAGAATTTCAGATTTTCGAATAATTTTTGATGGCTCTTTGAGAAATGTTTATGATTATTTTCTGGCACCATGACTCTGTGAGCCTACCTATTTTTACCAAATTAGCCATTTAGTTTCTTTTTTACTTTCTTTCTTTTTTTTTTTTTTTTTATTTTCTTTTTTGAGACAGAGTCTCACTCTATCACCCAGGCTGGAATGCAAGTGGCACAATCTCAGCTCACTGCAACCTCTGCCTCCAGGGTTCAAGTGAGTCTCCTGCCTCAGATTCCCGAGTAGCTGAGACTACTGGGTGCCCGCCACTACTCCTGGCTAATTTTTTTTTTTTTTTTTTTTTGGTAGAAATGGGGTTTCACCATGTTGGCCAGTCTGGTCTCAAACTCATGACCTCAAGTGATCCGCCTGCCTTGGCCTTCCAAAGTGCTGGGATTACAGGCACTGAGCCACTGCACCCGGCCTAGCCATCTAGTTTCACTTCCAGCCTGTGATCAGGTATCTTTTATGGTCAGTCACCTAGCTGAGTCATGTACTTGCATCTTCTGCTTCCAACCCTAGAATTAATTAATTGATTGATTGATTGATTGAGACAGAGTCTTGCTCTGTCGCCCAGGCTGGACTAAAGTGGCACAAGCTCAGCTCACTGCAACCTCTGCTTCTCAGGTTCAAGTGATTCTCCTGCCTTAGCCTCCAGAGTAGCTGGGATTACAGGTGCCCGCCACCACACCTGGCTAATTTTTATATTTTTAGTAGAGATGGGGTTTCACCATGTTGGCCAGGCTGGTCTCGAACTCCTGACCTCAGGTGATCCGCCTGCCTGAGCCTTCCAAAATGCTGGGACTACAGGCGTGAGCCGCTGAGCCCAGCCCAACCCTAGAATTTAATAGTGAGGGGAAACTGAGGCCGCAGATATGGAAGAGACAAGCTTGTCCCAGAACGTTTCTCATCCTTCTCATGCAGAGCCTTTTCTCCCAGGTCATGTTCTTTATTGAAGCATCACTTCTACAGGCTGCAAGACACAGAAGATCAGGGACCAATTGATAGGAGCAGGAGCAAAGGAAGTAATATTATTTTGTGGCTTCCAAAACCACAAGGAATGAGAGTTGCAAAATGTGTTCATTCAATCCATTCAACAATTATTTATTGAGTACTTTCTATGTGCCAGAGACTGTTTTAGGTGCTTGGGATACAGAAATGAACAAAACAGAAAAAAAAAAAAAATCCTTGCCCTTGTGGAGGACAGGTTCTAATGATAGTAAAAGTTTCACAACAACCTCGTGAGGGAGGCAAGATCATTAGCCACATTTTTCAGATAAATAAACTAAGGAACAGGGACTAAAAATGAAGTAACTTGCACAAAGTTATGCAGCAAGTAAATGACAAAGCCAGGATCTAGCCCTGGCTGGCTATTTGGCCTTCAATCCCTCCTCTTATCTACTACACGTGATTGTCTGATTTTTCATATATATTTTAATTTTGTTATTTTATTTTTTATATTTATTTATTTAGAGACAGAGTCCTGCTCTGTTGCTCAGGCTTGAGTGCACTGATGTGATCTCAGCTCACTGCAACCTCCACCTTTTGGGTTCAAGCAATTCTCGTGCCCCAACCTCCTGAGTAGCTGAGACTACAGGCATATACCACCACACCCAGCAAATTTTTGTATTTGTAGAGATGGGGTTTCACCATGTTGCCCATGCTGGTCTCGAACTCCTGACCTCAAGTGATCCATCCGCCTTGGCCTCCCAAAGTGCTGGGATTATAGGCGTGAGCCACGGCACCCGGCCTGATTGCCTGATTCATGAGTGATGTTAGAGTCATAGGTTTTTTTTGTTTGTTTTTGTTTTCTGCTGTCTCTCTTTTTAAACAGAAGAACTCTCCTTTTTAAAAATAAACTTTTATGTGGAACACCGAAAAATAAAAATAATAAAAGCGGACCTGTTCTGGATGAAGAGTATGGGTACAGGGCAGAAGAACGAGAATTCAGACTGTAGCTGCTGGAGGTGGCAGAAGTTGAATCAACAGATGCTTGCTCCCAAACACCCTCTGGCTTCTTCTCCTCAGTTCCCACTGCATTGTGCCTTGCAATCTGTGCAAAGGCTCTAGAAAGAGCTGGGGTAGAAGCCTGGAAAACTAGAGAACAAAGTGGCTAGGTCAGCACTAGGGAGGAGGGCTGAGTCCTAGGAGAATGGCCCAGGACTCGTTCAAGCTGTAGCCCCAAAGTGTGTGTTTTGGGACAATCTCCTACCCTTTGATAACTGACGCTGTGGCAATCTTCTGTGGCTAATCGGGGAGGGTCTTATGGAGGGAGGAGGGGGAGGTTGAAGGCATATTGAAAACGTGGAGATGCGGCTGGGTGTGGTGGCTCACGCCTGTAATCCCAGCACTTTGGGAGGCTGAGGCAGGCGGATCACCTGAGGTCAGGAGTTCGAGATCAGCCTGGCCAATGTGGTGAAACCCCATCTCTACTAATAATACAAAAATTAGCTGGGTGTGGTGGCACCCACCTGTAGTCCCAGCTACTCGGGAGGCTGAGGAATGAGCATCTCTTGAACCCTGGAGGTGGAGGAGGTTGCAGTGAGCTGAGATCGCGCCATTGCACTCCAGCCTGGGTGACAGAGGGAGACTCTGTCTTAAAACAACAACAATAACAACAAACAAAAACAAAAACAAACAAACAAAAGGCTGGGCGCAGTGACTGACACCTGTAATCCCAGCACTTTGGGAGGCCGAGGCGGGTGGATCACGAGGTCAGGAGTTCAAGACCAGCCTGGCCAGTGTGGTGAAACCCCATCTCTACTAAAAATAAAAAAATTAGCCGAGCGTGGTGGCGCGCACTTGTAATCCCAGCTACTCGGGATGATGAGGCAGGAGAATAGCTTGAGCCCGGGAGGCGGAGGTTGCAGTGAGCTGAGATTGCGCCACAGTACTCCAGCCTGGGACAGAGTGAGACTCTGTCTCAAAAAAAAAAGAAAAAAGAAATAAAGAAAGAAAACATGGAGATGCTTGCTTTGCGTCTCCCCATACTTCTTCCTCCTGCCTCCTGCCTTGACCACACTATTTGGAGCCACAGACAATACCAGAAAGAAACCTCACAGCTCTCAGGCTGATGGTATGTATCCGTTTGAGCATCCATTGAAGTTAAGGTCCCACAGATTTCTAATGACTACTAAGGCAGCAGTGGGGAAATTGCTTTCTAATGCAGCCATTATTTCATTGTCTCCTAAAAGACCAGAGTAAATTATACACCTCCTCCTCTCCCCCAAAAACCTGTCCAAAGTGGCCAGATCCAAAGACTAGGCCTCCAGAGCAGTGCCTGGGGTGTTTTGTTTCAGAGTCCTGGAGTGGAGCGGTTTCTGAAGTCATTTCACTTCATCTTGCAACCCCTCTAATTCCTAGCCCTCACCAGTCAGCTAAGTTTTTTAGAGATCACTTGCTCAAGGCCAGTCTAGGGGTCGATTTTACTCAGCTACTCCCCCAGGTCTCTTTTCACTGTCCTCTGCTTTGCATTGTTAATTTCCTCTCTGAAGGTGCATTTTAACTTTGTTAGCAGGTCTGACACTGGCTGCTTGCAAGGAGCAGCAGTTCCTGAGTGCCAGCTGGGTGCCAAGCCCTGTGCTAGGCATGAGACAGAAAGGGAAATGACCCTCTTTCTAACCTCAGAGTGCTCACTGTTGTCTAGTAGGGAGACAGTCCCGACAAACACATTGTTACACCAAGGTGTGATATCATCCTGTAATTGGCAAAGGATGGCTGTAGGGTGCTAGTAGAGCAGAAGGATGCCTGAGTCTGCTCTGGAGAAGCAGGAGAAGGCTTTCTGGGTGAGGCAACGTCGAGGTAGGACTTGGAAGGAAAGAAATTGCTTCTAGGGATATATAGATGGGGTTGGAAGAAAACCCTTATCAAGCGTTTTATGGGCATTATGTGATATTTAAGGCACTGGGCTGTGTTACCAAGAGAGAGGCCCTGGTTTCCTATTTCTACTTTTCTACCTACAGGGCAATCAAAAATCTGTAGTTTGGAATTTGATCTTTGCTTCCTTCAAATTCTCTCCCCTAACCCCCCACCACCAAACTCCTTGACAATAAGTGCTTTTTAAAATTTCACTTTCCCCTTTTTGCTACCCCACCTCACCCACAGGGACAAATATAGTGCCTTGGGAGCTGAACTGAATAATGAAAGGGTAAAATGGGAAATAAAAGTTAGAAAGTAGCTGGGCCAGACTGTGGAGAGTCTTCAATGTCAGACTACGAAATCTGGGCTTCAGTCAGTAGCAGAAGTGACCATCTTTTGTGGACTAGAATTTAAGAGACAGGTCAGAGCTAGAGATATGGTTTGGGCCATCATCAGCTTGCTGATGAAGAATTAGTTGAAAGTAGCTAAATGGTAGACTTCTCAGAGAAGGGAGAACTAGAAAAGAAATGGGAGCTGTAGGTAGTCATGAGGATACCACAATGAGAGAATAGAACCAGAAAAGCTTATCTTTAGAAAACCTATCTAAAGCTTCAACTTCCACATCTGTATGTGGATATTAACAGCAGCACCTAGCTTAGCTGTTGTGAAGATTCACTGAAATAATGCAAGAAAAGTGCTTAGCACAGTAACTGGTGCAGAGCACTTAATAAATATTACTCTTCGTTATTATTATTAGAAAGAGTGATCCTCTCTTTTTGCACTGGGATAAGGTCAACTAACGTAGAAATACTAATTGTTAATATATGCATCGATGATTTGTTGCCCGGTAACTATGATTTCTGAAGTGCCAAACTCATTTCAGTGTTTGCCTTTTAATTAAAATGGGTATTTTGGCATTTTAAAATTCATTTTTGAAGGAACCCCCTACTGAGCTGCAGCATCTCAGGCACAGCAGGGGTATACTACCATTTTTAAAAAGCTAGCTAACAATTAATGTCATAATTTTATATTTATCCTGCTAATTACGAATCAGACAAACCCCAGTTTGTCCAAGATTGTACAAACAAACAAAGAAGCCTCAGCACAGAGAGGCAGGTTACTTGCAAATTTGCATATTAATTACTGTTTACTGCCTTCGCCCCTGCGGCTGATTAAGAGCATAACTATCAAAGAGCACAACTTATACAGGGGCTCCGATTGTCTGGTAGAAGGAGACAACCTGTAATGCAGCCTGCTACTCTCTGAGCTGGCAAAGAGAAGGCCGCTGTGCTGACTAATGATTACCTGAGCAGAAGAAACAGTCTATGCCCACAGCTCAGAAGATCACTACATAAATAACCATGAAGATTTCTGCGACACATTTGAATAAAGTACAACAGACAACAAAGACAGTCCTAGAGAGTCTCACTCAAAGAAGACCACCTTTGCTTTAGGGTACTTTGGAGGGAGCAATATTATTCTTGATATGTGCAAGACAATAACAACAACATATATATATATTTTTTTATACTTTGAAAAGTTATGTATGTATTCAAATTAAACTGGTCACAGTGCCTTAGATCGGAAGAGTTTCCTAAGGGTCATGAACCTGCTTTCTTTCTTGAGACCTGGCACCAATTCCCTGGGAGGACAGGGTATTCTAAAAGGAACTACCTATAACCCAGTCCTCAGTTTCCTCCTAGAGCTGTTGGACTGATTGGGATGCTGGGGAAGTCTAGGGTGTACTGAAGAATTTTAACTTGTCTGTAATTGGAGACCAAGAAAATCACATTAATTGATTTAAGGACACTAACCCTAAAATAGACTCTTTGTACTCACAATGTGGAGAAGCAAAAGCAGCCTCCTCCTGAGATGAAGTTCCGTCCAACAAAATCCTTGATGGAGGCAGGAAGAAAATCAACGGAAAAAATTTAATCCTGACATAAGCATAATACATTATGCATGATAATCTTCAGAATTTGAAAGCCACTTAAAGGCAATCATCTGAAAAAGCAGTGGCTGGCTTACAAGGTGACTTTTCAGCTTCCTGTGGTTGTGTGAAAAATATTTAGGAAGTACAGGAGTGTAAAAACAGCAAGTCCTCTCTGATTTTAATCTCTGAAATAACAAAATGAATACTTTCACATACTGTCTCAATAACCACTCCTTGGGAAATTTCATGGTAATATAATAATGATGATAGATAACAATGATCAAGTGCTTACCTTGTGCCAGGCACTTGATATACACGATCTCATTTAATCCTCTCAGTGAGGAAGGTGATATTTTTTACGCCCATGAAAAACAGTAGAGGAGCTCAGAGAGACTAAGAAGCCTGCTCAAGACCACAGAGGGGGACATGGCCTTTAGCCCCTTAAGGGTTCACCGAAAAATCACTGACATGAGGCAGATAGATTAATTGGAGAAAAGACATACAAATTTTTTTAATGTGTTTACATGGGAGCCTTCAGGATGAAGATCTAGCCAGGTGCTGTGGCTCAGGCCTGCAATTCTAGCACTTTGGGAGGCTGAGGTGGGAGGATCATTTGAGGCCAAGGAGTTCGAGACCAGCCTGGGCAACATGGTAAGACCTTGTCTTTACTAAAAAGAAGAAAAATTAGCCTGGCATGGTGGTGTGCACCTGTGACCCCAGCTACATGTGGGACTGAAGAGGGGGGGAATCATTTGAACTCAGGAGTTTGAGGCTGTAGTGAGCTATGACCGCCACAGCACTCCAGCCTGTGCAACAGAGCAAGACTCTGTCTTAAAAACAGACAAACAAAAACAAACAGAAAGACTGAAGACCCCAAGATACAGAAGAAATTGTCCATTTTTGTGCTTAGGTTTAACAAAGTATGGATAGCTGTGTAGAAATATCTAATATGATCGGACAAGCTGGGCATGATGGCACACATCTGTAAATCCCAACACTTTGGGAGGCTGAGGCAGGTGGATCACTTGAGGTCAGGAGTTTGAGACCAGCCTGGGCAACATGGAGAAACCCCATCTCTAGAAATACAAAAAAATTTAGCTGGGAATGGTGGTGCATGCCTGTAGTCCCACCTACTTGGGAGGTGCATGGGGGAGGATCACCTGAGCCCAGGAGGTCGAGGCTGCAGTGAGCTGAAATTACACTACTGCACTCCAGCCTGGGTCACAGAGTGAGACCTTGTCTCAAAAAATAAATAAACAAATAAATACAAAAATAAAGTGTATGATCTAATGCTAATAAAATGCATAGGGAAACCCAGCAAGGCTTCTCTGTCGAGATTCATCTTGGCCCCTCTGAGCAAGTATTCCTTCCTTCTGGGTGTGGGTAGGGCCCTCCCTGGAATGGCGGTCTTATGACCTACAATCCAACAAAGTAGGTCAGATAATTTCTTTATGGCCAGTTTTTACATAAAATCTTTTTAGGTTTTATGACTAGTTTTGGGGAAAAGCTGTTTTGGTTTGTATGACCCACCTTAGGGAAAAAAGATTCTGGTTTCTATGGCTGGCCTAGGGGGAGAATGGGACTAAGAGACAGGAGAACGGGAGAAGGTGGTCAGAAAAAACCTTTTGCTTCCGAAGCTGCTGCTGAGGCCTTCATTTTGGGGCATTGTTTTCTGAACCCCAGTATTACAAAGGTAGAAAGTGGCAGAGCTGGAATTTGAACCCAAGCTCTCTGACTGTGTAGGCCACTTTGCTGTGTTATTTCTCATTTTAGGCATTAAGATACAGGTTTAGTTTCCTAATGCCTCATAGTGTGTTGTAAAGTTAGGATTCTATTCCAGCTTTCTGCACTCCCAAAGTGATTCTTTTTATATCCTCCCTAACGCTGCCTCTCTTAATTATAACTGAGCATTCAGTTTAAAAATATCATGGTATCTTAGGGCAGAGGTCAGTGAACTGACCTCTACTTATTTTTTTTTTATTTTTATTTTTTTGAGATGGAGTCTCACTCTGTTGCCCAGGCTGGAGGGCAGTGGTGCGATCTCGGCTCACTGAAACCTCTGCCTCCCGTGATGAAGTGATTCCCCTGCCTCAGACTCCTGAGTAGCTGAGATTGTAGGCGCACGCCACCATGCCTGGCTAATTTTTGTATTTTTAGTAGAGACAGGGTATCACCATGTTGGTCAGGCTGGTCTCGAACTCCTGACCTCGTGATCTGCCCGCCTCAGCCTCCCAAAGTGCTAGGATTACAGGTATAAGCCACCGCGCCCAGCCCCTTCTACCTATTTTTATAAATAAACTTTTATTGGAACATACCCATGTTCTCTTGTTACTTGTCTGTAGCTACTTTTGTGCTACAATGACAGAGTTGAGTAGTTGTGACCAAGACTGTAGGGTACACAAGCCTAAAATATTTACTATTTGGCTATTTACAGAAAAAGTTTGTTGACTCTTGACTGAGAGGAAACATTTCCTTCATTTTTCCTAGCTAACCTGTGGTCCAGTTCTTCAAGAGCAACATCTTTGAGCAAGAGAATTGGTGTAGTGATGACTAGCCTGGCTAGCAGCTTATTTTAAATCTGAGAGATTGTCTGGGGCCAGGAAAAGTAGCCAGGCGAGCACAAGGAGAGAGGGCTGTGGGTGGCTTCTTCAGTGCTGTCTCTCTATCTCTTCCCGGACTCCCAAGAAATTACTGTTCCCTGCTGCATCACCGGGACCTTGAACACTGCCTGCAATATCATGGGCACTCAGTAGGTAACTGTTGAATTAATAATCAAATATCTTTGATTTTTGATTATTCATCTATGAATTCTGCCTCCAGTCAGTCTTTCCTCAAATGGCACCTCTAATCCATTCACCAGATTATGCTTCGTAAATCACCCTTTTCATCCGTTGTTCCCTTGATCTAGACCTCTTCCAACAGTTTGTCCTTCATGTCTCCCAGGACGGAGTTCAAATAATGCTTTTGCCTGGCAGTTATGGTCTTGTCTCTGGCCCCTTTTCTTCACCCTACACACAGGATCTCATTTGCCTAAGCAACACTTTCTATTTTTTCAAGACTTAACTCCTGACCATTTGACCACTCAGGGAGGTAGGGTTTGCTAGGTGGGCCGGATCACAGACAGCTTTGGAAGAGAACAGCTGTGATCAAAACAATGCTTATGATATGCAAAAGAACCTGTAGGAGGGAGAGACTAGGAGCTAGGAGGCCAATTAAGAGTCTATTTGAGGTGATAATTGTGTAGACAAGGGCAATGAGAATAGAGAGGAAGGGACAAGTTGGAGATATTTGAAAGGAAGTGTCTTCAGGAATTTGATAAATTAGTGACCTGGGGGATTAAAAAAGAGGTAAAAGGAACAGGAAGAACAAGAATTTTAGTGTAAGGGCTTAACAGATTGTGTTATCATTGATAAAAATAGGTGCTTTGGGAAGAGAAGCGGGATGGGGTTGAGAGAAAGTGAAGGGTATTTGGAAATAATATTGGGATTATCCTGTGACACTTTAGGGGCCTATATAGAATAGGACATGTGGCATTCGTGTCAATTTTGAGGTCAGGGCTAGAGATCTTGCTCTAATGAGATTGGCTTTTTAATTCATTTACTCAATAAACACTTATTTGAGCAAGCGCAGTGTGCGAGGCACTGTTATAGGCCCTTGAGGTATATTAGTGAACAAAACAAGATCCCTGCCTTTGGGGAGTTTGCATTCTAGCAGATGAGACAGGCAATTAACAGCGAATATAATAAATAAATAAATTGACATAGTGTAATAAGGCACTATGGAAAAAAGACAAGTTGAGGTAAGGTGGCTGGAGCCTATGGAAGCTGGGTGAGGCCTTTGCAGACAACACCCAGAGCTTTTTTCTACAATCACTGGTTTGTTATTCATCTTCTGACCAAGGTGACAGAAGAAATTATGGAGCCCTGGCTACTGTGTGATATTTTAATAAAGATTCCTCTGTATGCCACATCTGGAGGCAATTTGAAAAAAAGGGAAACTTCTTGTGGTTCCCATTTCCTGAATGAGTAGCACAGTGCTCAGATGAAATTCAGATGACAGAAATTCAGATGAGTCGAGGCTGATAATTTGCAGCAATTTAAATGTCACTGCCTTTCCTAGAAGGAAGAGCTTTGTTTATAAACAGCTGGGTCAATAGGAAATGTAGTAGCCTCATTACTCACATTCTTCTAACAGGATTCCAGTCTGAATGCAGAGTACAAGGGATACATAAAAGACTGAAACATCATCACATAGCTTTGGACTTTTGTTCTTTCTGATGACCTGGGGGAAAGGTAAAAGAGCTAATTTTAGAGGCCGGGTGCAGTGACTCAACGCCTGTAATTCCAGCACTTTGGGAGGCCGAGGTGGGTGGATCACTTGAGGTCAGGAGTTCAAGACCAGCCTGACCAACATGTTGAAACCCCGTCTCTACTAAAAATACAAAATATTAGCTGGGCATGGTGGCAGTCACCTGTAATCCCGGCTACTCGGGAGGCTGAGGCAGGAGAATCACTTGAACCCAGGAGGCGGAGGTTGCAGTGAGCCGAGATCGCGCCATTGTACTCAAGCCTGGGCAACAAGACCAAAACTCTGTCTCAAAAAAAAAAAAAAAAAAAACTAACTTTATGTTCTTTTGGAAGATAAATTGGACAGGATGACGACTTTTGGTAAAGACCAAAACCTTGGGCAATTACCTGGTGATATACAGGAACAAAGACTGTATGTATCTGTATTCTTCCCTGCTTGAGTTATTAACAAATAAAGTCCTTGCGTGGGTCACATGCTAAACTGCTCTCAGTTTTCTGTGTTTCTTCAACAGGAGCTGGTGTGCCAAGGATCCTCTTTCATTTCTATTGCCTTCCATAGCCAAGATGCTTATTGGGGGTCTTCAAAGGAGTGGGGATATTCCAAAGGGAAGGAGGGTGGAACGGGTTGGGTGACGTCGTTTGGATGTCAGAAGACACAACTGGTATAGATACAAGAGTAGTATGTGCTGTAATTCTAAATTGGGCTCAGCTCTATTAAAAACAGAAACTGAGGCTGGGTGCAGTGGCTCACGCCTGTAATCTGAGCACTTTGGGAGGCTGAGGCGGGCAGATCACGAGGTCAGGAGATCGAGACCATTCCAGCCAACATGGTGAAACCCCATCTCTACTAAAATACAAAAAATTAGCCAGGCATGGTGGCATGTGCCCGTAATCCCAGCTACTGGGGAGCCCAAGGCAGGAGAATCGCTTGAACCCAGGAGGTGGAGGTTGCAGTGAGCCGAGGTTGAGCCACTGCACTCCAGCCTGGGTGACAGAGTGAGACTACTTCTCAAAAAAAAAAAAAAAAAAAATTCCAAAAACAGACACTGAATTCCTTCATGTAGAAATGAGCTAAAAAGGAAAGGAAAAGGTGTGCATGGAAGCTCGGGGCTCTTTTTCTGTGTTGGTTTTTCTAAGCCAGTGAAATCCCCCAGGTGCACGGTGCAGCGTGATGCATACAGGGACACCCCCCCGTGGTGCAGCAGAACCAAGTTTTCCTCCCTCTGTTCTGACCGAAGCAGCTGCTGGCAGTTGGCAAGGTATGATCCAGCCTTCCTGGGAAGAGCCCAGTATCATTCAGAATATATTTGGGTCTGCTGGGTACATGTTCAGCAGGACAGAAGGGCTTGGAGTTTGAACACTTTTTAACGTAAATATTTCTGTGCTCAGGCAGGTGGGCTTGCACAGTTAGAAAAGCCCTCACCCTAGTGGACATGGTATTTGTTTCATATTTTAATGCTAGTGATTTCTACCCCTTCCTCCAATTCAACAAACATTTATTAAACCTCTTGGAGGTGCTTAGGACTCTGTGAGGTGCTTGGAATCATAACAAAGAGGTAAACTTGAATTAACGACAAACCAAAGTGAACCAATTGTTCAAGAATCTTCTTAGGAATTAATTCCATTACTGGGAGCAATAAGAAAGTCACTTCCCATCCTCACACACACGCAACACACACACGTGTTCAGGTAGAAAAGCCCTCTAGGTAAAAATAGGCAGGGCTTTTTGCACAGTGCCCGCAGGCCTTGCCTGGGCGACCCATGATGAAATGCTGATTAAGCTGCTTTGTGCTCCACAATGGACTGATGGGTCGTTCTCTGTTTCTCCTCAACTTCAAACAGGCTGAGCGGTCTGAGTTTGTTTTAACTCCACTGAGCCCAAATGCCTTTTGTCTTTATCAGA
Source organism: Homo sapiens (assembly GCF_000001405.40). Taxonomy (NCBI): domain Eukaryota; kingdom Metazoa; phylum Chordata; class Mammalia; order Primates; family Hominidae; genus Homo; species Homo sapiens. The sequence goes on from NC_000014.9 coordinate 58,628,696, forward strand.
CTTTATTCTTATCTTTTCAGAAATGGAACTGTTTCTCTTTTTCCTGCTTCCTCACATTTTCCTATGAGGCACAAACTCACAAGAGACATGTCTGAAAGTGGAGCAGACAGGAAAAGCACCCATTTTGGTTTGTTTCTAAACGTCTATTTCTAGAATTTTCCAAGGTCAGTCCTTCTGGTGTGTCACAGACAGGGGATTCGATCTCAATCTACTTTGAAGGTGATTACATTAAATAAGCTTTTGTTGAGTATCTGCTTTGTATTGGGCTTCATTCTGAGAGAGTTAGAGATGATACAGAATTTATCCCTGCCCTTGAGGAGTTTAATTGAACAAGAGAGGCCACATTAATTAAGCTAAGAATTCACTTCTGAGTTTTCAAAGTCACATTCTTGGCTTCAGTGTTTCTATGCATAATGGCCGTAATTTTAATTTATGTAACATAGTGTTAAATTAACTTTAGCCTAAAGCCGCCTCCTTGCATTTTTAAATAAATAGAAATGGGGTCTCACTATGTTGCCTAGGCTGCAGTGCAGTGGCTACTCACAGGCACAATCTCGCTTCTGAACAGCACCAGAGTTTTAACCTCCTTACATATTTTAAGTTCAGCCTAAAAGTTTCTCCATATATAGTGAATCTTAACCTAACTGGATGTCCAAGCAGACTTGTAAACCACAGCAGATCAGTTTTAGTCAATCACAGGCAGCCAACTGTTTAAATCCTGTTCAAAAAGGCAAAAGCAAAGCTGTAACCAATCCCCCTGTTTCTGTACCTCACTTCTCTTTTCTGTATGGCACTTTCCTTTTTCTGCCCATAAATGTTATCTGACCATGTGGTAGCCCCAGGAGTTCCTCTAAACCTATTCTTGTTAGGGCAGTGTTGATCAAGTGGGGAGGGGTGCTGCCTGATTCAAGATTGTTCTTTGCTCAATAAAACTCTGTTAGACTGGGCTCAGTCGCTCATGCCTGTAATCCTAGCACTGTGGGAGGCCCAAGTGGGTGGATCACCTGAGGTCAGGAGTTTGAGACCAGCCTGGCCAACATGGTGAAACCCAGTCTCCACTAAAAATACAAAAACTAGCCGGGCGTGGTGGCGCATGCTTGTAGTCCCAGCTATCCAGAGGCTGAGCAAGACTCCACCCCCGTTCCCCCCCAAAAAACTCTGTTAAATTTAATTTGTCCAAAGTTTTTCTTTTAACAATAGTAAATTTAGTTGTTCATGAAAAATGGCTCTGACACACCCAAATAAAGGAAACCGAATCTAGACATTAGGGATGCTTTAACTAATTGGCAAGCTAGCTAATTTGGCTTAATGAGTTCTTTGCCTAGTACTTTGTTTCACACTTTTTTTTTTTTTTTTTTTTGAGACAGAGTTTCCCCCTGTCGCCTAGGCTGGAGTGCAGTGGTGCAATCTCAGTGGCTCACTAAAACATCCACCTCCCGGGTTCAAGTGATTCTTCTGCCTCAGCCTCTCAAGTAGCTGGGATTACAGGCGTGGGCCATCACACACAGCTAATTTTTGTATTTTTAGTAGAGATGAGGTTTCACCATGTTCGCCAGGCTGGTCTCGAACTCCCGGCCTCAAGCAATCTGCCCACCTCGGCCTCCCAAAGTGCTGGGATTACAGGCGTGAGTCACCGCGCCCGGCCCAGACTCTATGACTTTAGACATAAAGCATTCACCCAGTCCTGCCACTCACCTTGGAGAGTAAAGCTGCATTAGCAGTGGATCCAGCTCTCAAGAGGAGCTCACTGTCTACAGAACAATGAAAAGCAGAGGGGGCAGTAACTGGAGTCTTGTCCTGAGTGGCTGACAGAATCACTTCACTGCCTGATATTTAGAGTATCTTTGTCTTCCCACACCATGATATATTGCAAAGATTTTGGGAAATCTTCTTGTGCTCTTTGGATGAAAGGTGTGTTATATTAGGTCCATAAAAAGGTTTTGGATAAATTATAGAAAAAAATTGATAATGATGATAATAATGCCATCTAGCATTCATTGAGTGCTTATTATATGTCTGGCACTAAACTAATGATGAAAATACATCTCTAATCTGTAACTATCTTATATCTGGTAGTCCCAAAATTGTCAAAATATTCATTTCTAAATGGGGCCTGTTTATAATCTGCAATTGTTAATTTGGGTGATGGGTTCATGGTGATTAATTATACCATTTTCCCTACTTTGGTGCTTTGAAATTTTCCCTAATAAGAGGCTAGGCAAAAAAGGAAGAGGCTAAGCTTCATAAACCATATTCCAGGATGTACTGTGTACGAAACCCTTCACAATAGCTGTCTGTGAATTAAGAGCAAGCCCATTTTACAAATAAGGCAGCTGAGGTTCAGGTTAAATTACTTGTTGAAAGAGTTGAACCCTGGCCAAAATTTATATTCTTCCCCATATACCCTGCTCCTGTTCTACTGGGCCATATGGTTTCAAAGAACAGACCTCTGTGTTTTATCTTGGCAGCACTGCAGTACCCAGATTTCTGTCCTTGAGTGGGTGGATCTACTTATAGCTCAAAATAAAGGTTTTTTTTTTTTTTTTAATGTAATGTATATGCCTTATGAAAACTGTCAAGGCAATTATGGTGGCTAATGATAATTTTTATCTCATAAGAATGTCCTTGTCCTTGATTGTATATTCTATGTGTGAGTGTGTTTGTGCACATGTGTGTATAACATTTGGAACTTTGGGGTCCACCTCCCTCTTAGGTTGGTGGTGATTTAGGCATTATTTTACTGATGAGAAAAACAAGGCTCAGAGAGGTCAAAGTTGGCAAAACCAGTGTATGGTGAACATAATGGAGTGGCAGAATGTGGTGCATCAGGAGTTAATCCAAACTGGCGGGATTCCGAAATCTCTGTCTTTCCACCACCTCAGTAAGTGCCACATTAGAATCGGATTCTTTCTTCTAAGAAAACAGCTTCTATTAAAGCCAAGAGTGGGTAAACCAAATTCCTCTATAGGACCAAACTGAACAGAAGCGAATTGTCCCATCTGTTGTCAAAACCACCCTCCCGGACTTCAAAGCATCTCGGCTCAGGAGGGAGAAGTCCCTGGGCGGGGGCGGCCAGAGGGAGATGGAAGTAGAGCCCCTAGGCTTCCTATCGGTCCCTTCAGGTCTCTGAGCCGCACGCAGCCACTGACTGTCATCCCAGCCGACTTCTCTTTGAATCTGAGGCTCTTCACGACCCCCATCCTTTCCCTTAGCCCAAACATACACTCTGGGCCCGACTTCTGTTTGAAGTGGATGTGCTACTCTTCACACTGCACCCTGCGGAGGTGCCACGGGATTAGAGGAGGCGGCGCCCCGTGGGGCAAGGCGACCCGAGCCGGGCCAGCAGTGTGCATTTTCAGCCTCTCCCGGGGTGATAATGGCATTCTGGGCTTTTCCACAGGGATCCCTAAGCCCCTGAGGGGTCTTAATTAAAGAGGCTGTGCGGGTCTTGGAGGCCAACACGGGCCAGGAAATCAGTATGGGAACTTGTTTAGAGTTCTTGCCTGGCCTCAGAGAGGCTGGGTTCACAGGAGCAAAGGAGATGGAAAAGTTGGACCAAATGTCTATATCCTAAATCAAAAGCCTCCACTTTCATGTTAATAATCTAGGGCTCTCCCACAAAATGTCACTTCATTGATCATTTCTGTATGCTATGTAGAAACGATCAGAAAACCATACTGGAAATTGCTCATAGTACCATGGGTTGGAGTGATGCTTTCTCTTTCACCTTTCTGGGATTATTCTGAGGAAAAGGTAGTACTAGATCAGTGCGGTACTTAAGTTATCTTAAAACTTATTTACATGTACTAGTTACTCCCTTTCAGTGGAAGATATTTAGATGAAATATTGAACTGTTTTGCTATACAGCAAGTATCTTCCTAAAGAAATTTCAAATGTGGCTTTAAGGAGAATAAATATTTTTTAAAAAAAGATAACACAAAGTAAAATATAAGATCTCCTTCCCCAGAAAAAACTTAAGGATTATAAAGGTCAGTAATATATTTTTGTGATTTGAGTATGACTTTTTGGATATAATCATAGAATATATCTGTTTAAAAATATTATTTTGCAAATTGTGATAGTTTCACAATTTGTAAATGCACACATACACACTTATGTATGTGGTTATATAATTAGTGCCAGTTTACCTTCTAGACCATAAGCTCTGTGAACGTAGGGACTATATCTGACTTGTTTACCCACTGTATTCCCAGTGCCTGGTATTAGGTACTCAATAAATATCTGTGAGTGAATATTCAAAGAGGTGCAGTGTAATTATGATGGTACATATTTGTTTTTATCCCAGGAAAATGCCTTTTTAAAAAAAATTAATATTTCAGTTATTAAGTATTCAGGTTATAAATTTAGATGTTGTTTTAAGAAAGTACTAATGTCTGTATATAAAAATGTGATTGAAAAGATTCTATGAATTATGAAATCATATATGCAACTGTTTGCCAGTTTGTGAAATTAAATCTTTTTTTTTTTTTTTTTGAGACAGTCTCACTTTGTCGCCGCTGGAGTGCAATGGCGCGATCTCGGCTCACTGCAACCTCCACCTCCCGGGTTCAAGCGATTCTCCTGCCTCAGCCTCCTCAGTAGTTGGGATTACAGGCGCGTACCACCACGCCCGGGAAATTTTTGTATTTTTAAGTAGAGACGGGGTTTTGCCATGTTGGCCAGCCTGGTCTCGAACTTCCGGACTCAAGTGATCTGCCCATCTCAGCATCCCAAAGTGCTGGGATTACAGGCATGAGCCACCACGCCTGGCCTGAAATTAAAATTTTTAAATAATTGGAGAAATGGTCCCAATAAAGCAGAGTAAGAGCAAAATCCACCTAATACAATTGGTTAAAGAAGCCACTTGTGTAATCCTAGCATTTTGAGAAGCCAAGGCGGGTGCACTGCCTGAGCTCAGGAGTTCAAGACCAGCCTGGCCAACACGGCAAAACCCATCTCTACAAAAAATATAAAAATTAGCCTGTAGTCCTAGCAACTTGAGAGGCTGAGGAAGGAGGATCACTTGAACCCAGGAAGTCATGGCTGCAGTGATCTGAGATCGTGCCACTGCACTCCAGCCTGCGTGATAGAGTAAAACCGTGTCTCAAAAAAAAAAAAAGCCACTTGTCTCTGAAACACTTTTAAATTTTGCTTTGAAATCAAATCCTTTCATTGTATTAGTACCACAGTATGTGGCTCTAGGTATTTGCACACATGGAACTCTGCACCTTCCATCTGTAAAGATGACCGGTAGAAATGGCAGAGCTAAGGGACAAAAGTCTGAGGCTGGTGGAGACTTAATCACCTTAATCAGTGATTACGACGGTGGGGAATGCAACTCACTTCCAGACATTCTAGAATCTTTGGAATCCACAGTGCTCTGCAGGAGGAAGCAGGAGCCTCTTGAAAAACTTACCACCAAACTTCATGGAATCACCCTGGCCTTCTTCAACAAAAACCTCTTTAACAGCACTAAAACACAGCTAAAAGGTAACCTTTTCATGTAGGATGGTTTATTTGGTAGTGTTTGGTTGTGCACCAGAGAGGATGGAAGGAGTTGTTTCATAGCCTTTCAAACAAGACCAGCATTGTCAAACATTTGCTGTTTCTTCTGCTATTCCCCTATTCCCTTCTGCCCTCAAAAGATGTTTAAAATTTTCAGGGCCATGATGTTGCCCCATTTTGCTACCACGCTTCTTTTTTCTTGATCTTTTGTTTCAATGTCTGCTTTCTTTCCCCTGTGTGCTCACTGAAGCCTGATTGTGGGGTCAAGCTATAATTAGTTTATATATGAAGTTTAATTCACTGTGGCTTTTTTGGCATTAGACTCAAATGGGCTTTGATGTCTGGCTGGGGCTTTGATCCCAGACCCTCGAATGGTGGTCATCTCTCCAGCTCAAAGGATTGCCCTTTACTCTTTTCCTCCTATTCGGAGACAGCTTTTCCCAATTACATCATTTGTGTTTGTTTGGCCATAAAAGCTGCAAGGCATCATTTTGTTGCTTTGCTTGATGGCAAAATGTGCAACTGATGCCCCTTACTTTGCTTGGCTGCAATAGAATGTTCACCGCTGGACAAGGCATTTGTAGAATGATGCTCAGACTTTGGTGGGGGTGCTGTTAGGAGCTGTTCTGCCTAAGGACAAAGCATCAGACTGTGTGATATGAGGGACATGTTCTGGCTCTGCCCAGGAAAGATCTTCAAGCATAAGTTAACACCACTGTAATATATTCAGCCAAGACTCTTTTTCATGCTGGCAACTTTATCTTACTCTCCAGATCATCCAGGCAGCAGGTCCACCCCATCGTTAGTGGTACACTTTCTGAGTGTCAATTAACAGTTTTTCTGAGCAGACAGGCGTGTCCAGGGAAAGCAAAAGAACCAACTAGGGCTGAACAACATTAGAAAGGAGATAATGAAATAGCACTAGTGGAGGAAGAAGTACCAGCACCTGCTTTAAAAAGAAAGGGAAAGAAAAATCAAAACAGTAGGGGGAAGTGAGATTCCGTTGGCAACAGAAGGGAGCAGTAGGCGATCACTTTCAACTGCTTCCGGAATACCTGCAACAAAAACAAAGAATCAAAGAGGAAAGAAAATCCAGGCAACTAGACTGGAGGGGAGAAAATTTGGCTGCTAGCTTAAAAAGAGAATAGGGGCAACCCAGCCTGTCTCACTTAATCTGATGACATTGGGAGTTTTCCTGGAAAAACAATTACAGCATTGAGCTCCTTGCTTCTAACTTCATTTGACAGCCTGAGTTTGTTTTAATTGGCATGTGAATGAACAGCATTATTTATTAATGTGTAATGGATACTTTGGAAAGCATAACCTTTTTTCCTATTCGTGACCATTTTATTGGCGGAACCATCTGAATATATTAGTTTTAATATTTAAACTTGCTGAGAACACTTTTTCATGGAGATATACAAGCTGTTACGGCAAATGGCTTGCTTTGGACTAATGAGCCAGCTCAAAGTGGCATTTGGTGAGGAGGGGGGTTGGGAGGGTGGGGAGGTTTGGAGACATAGCGAGCTTGTCTGCCTGACTTAAGATTTATTAGTAGTGTGTAAAAATGTGTTTCAGCTTTTTTTCCCCCTCAACTATACAAATATAGTTGTCGATGTGTGACATAACACAGGCCACAATAATAGACTCCACCCAGTCAGAGGAATCTAATTCAGAGCTGGAAAGCAAGAAGCTTGTTTAGAAATGAGCAGAATGAAACAATGACAGAGGACATGGGTGAGTGGCATTTGGCAAGCAGGATAAGTCACTATCCTTTCGTGCCTTACTAAAATTAGGGAGGAAAATTAGTTCCTATATTATAAAGTAGTGTTTGGCAACAGCAGGCATAAAGAATAGATAACCTGAAGAGAATCGATTTTGTATGCTTATGAACACCTGACCATAATTCCATTTTTAGAGCTAATATACAACCTTGTTAATTATGAATCAAGTTTGTAGTTCTTTCATGTCTGTGGGAGGCAGCAATGGGGAGGAAAGTGAAAGGTGGCAAGGGAGTTCTTTTGTTTTTGTTTTTTGGTAAATGTCAACTTAATTCTATTTGTAGTAGAGATTAAATGGGTACTATTAAGTTTAAAAGTATGCTAATGAAAAAACAATTTACAACCAATCTACATTCTCGAGTCTCTCTCTAGCAATTGTCAGGTGAATGCTTGCAAGGTAATGTGCTGAATACAGCGATACTAAGAGGGTATTAAAACAGTCCCTGCCTTCAGGAAGCTTTCATAATGTAGATGGAGAGAAGAGATACACATAAACACCTACGTAGATAGATATGCGTGTGCACACCCAGATAAATAACCATACAGGTAGCATGGGATCAGAATCAGATATTTATATAGTTAACTGGAGCTCAAAGGTTGGAAGGGTGGTTAGACCACACAGAGAGGGGAGGAAAGAAGAGGAATTCCTAGCACGGGTAAGCAGATGGGCAAAAGTGCAAGTGTCTGAAATAATGATATAGGATGCACTCTTTCACACAACACTTTGCCTGAACTTCAGCAATTGTGACTTGCTGGATTGAATTTCCGAGGTTCTTGGATGTACTGCTTTTAAAGATATATGTGGTACTTTTCCACAGATAAGCCAGCTAGTGGAATTTTCAGACCCCTATCCCACCGGAAATTTCAGTGGGATAGGGGTCTGGAGTAGTGTGTTCCAAGCAGAGATGACCAATACATGATACTTCAAGAGGGAAGACTTATAAATCCCTCTGGAGAAAAGCTACAACTCATATCACCTTTACTATCTATGTGCTAGCCACGTTGTAAGTGCACAGCCCCCACAATATATAGCATATGCTGCATACTATTATAATTCTTCAACAGCAGGTTCCCATAGCAGCTGCTCCCTTTTACAGTGGGGGGAACGTACACAGAGAAGGGAGTAAGTTGCCCGCACAGCTATTTAGGGGTGAAACTGGGATACAAATCCAGACAGTCTGATTTCTGAGTCAGAGCTCTTATTGTAAACGCAGACTAAGTAATAATAAAAGCTCAAACAAAAACCAAAGCGCGCACGCGCGCGCACTCAAATCGTAGGCTTGTAAAAGAATTGATGCAACCTCTCGCTATACAACGACATCCTCCTGCCTAATTTTAAATGCCGTCCATCGTAAGACCGACGTTAAAAAATTAAAACGACAACAAAACTTAAGTTTTAGAACACTGCATTGTGCTCTGTATTGCTTGCCTTTACAAAGTGGAGTTAAGGAACCAACCCCACAGTGTCTGTGAATACACTTGCAATACCTTGCTTGGGAAGTGAAAGAAACCTAACTCGGTGTGAGTGGAAATGAGGAGTGGCCGTGTGGGGAAAGGGTTAAGACTGTGCTGCAACTTGGTCGAGTTTCAGAAAGTTCTCCGGAGAGCCCAACTGCCGCGTCCCGTCGCGGCCCCTGCCTGCGCGGCCGACTGTAACAGGATGCTGGGGCTCCAGGCGCTCGCCCCGAGCTTTGGGCGACGAGAAAGAGCCAATGAGGAGCGAGGGCAAAATCGGGTGCAGTAAACCCGAAAAGGGGGCGAGGAGGCCCGCGAAGAGAGCGGGGGAGGAGGCGGGGAGGGGCGAGGAGGGGCGGGGAGGGCCGAGCGAGGAGGAGGCGGCTCTGGGGGCCGGGCGGCGCGCCTGACAGAGGAGGGGAAGCCTGGGGGCGCAAGCGTCGCAGCCGAGGGGCCGGCGCGGGGAGGCGGGCGCCAGGCGGGGGTTTGCAGGGCCGCCGCGCGTGACGTAGCGCCGGGCAGGGCGTTATCAGCTGCCGGGCCGCGGCGAGGGACGCGCGGCGACAGCGGACGGCGCTGCCCGGGCCGGGACAGCAGCAGCCGGCGGTCGCGCGCAGGACTCGAGGGCTTCTAGCCACCGTCCCCGCCAGCGCCGCGCCCCGCCACAGGGCGGCATGAGCCCACCCGCGGCCGCAGCCCTAGCGCCCTGCTCCTCCGCCTGGGCGGCCCGGCTGCGGTGACGGCTCTCGCTGCCCGACTGGGGGCCATGAAGCCGAGTCCGGCCGGGACGGCGAAGGAGCTGGAGCCTCCGGCGCCGGCCCGAGGCGAGCAGCGCACGGCGGAGCCCGAGGGGCGCTGGCGGGAGAAGGGCGAGGCAGACACCGAGCGGCAGCGCACCCGGGAGCGGCAGGAGGCCACGCTGGCCGGGCTGGCGGAGCTGGAGTACCTGCGCCAGCGCCAAGAGCTGCTGGTCAGGGGCGCCCTGCGCGGCGCCGGGGGTGCGGGAGCCGCTGCGCCCCGCGCTGGGGAGCTACTGGGGGAGGCGGCGCAGCGCAGTCGCCTGGAGGAGAAGTTCTTGGAGGAGAACATCTTGCTGCTAAGAAAGCAATTGGTAGGTCGTGCCCGAAGGTGGAGCACGGCTGTTCCTGCCCAGGGGCTGGAGGTCGGGCAGGTGGCCTGGGGCGGGCGCGAGGTTGACTCTGGCTGGGGAGATGCTCGCTGTTATGGGACGCCCCCGACCGCCCCATACCTCCCTGATCCCCTTCCTGAGTGCCCGCGGCGTGTGGGCTGCCGACGCCCACGCGTTTCTGGCGTGTGCCCGCTTTGTGTCTGGCGACCTCGCGCGGATTGCGGGAAGGGGGTGGCCGCTCTTCCCTCCTCCTCTGCCTTCGGGATTCTTGGAGTCGCCTAGTTCTAACGTTCGGTCTCCTTAGTTAGATGAGTATATGCCCTCTCCCCAGCGGTTTGCAAACTCCCACTTAAAATACCATTTTATTTGGAGGTTTTCTTGACTTTATCTCCTCCCGCCGAGAGGGGCCAAAAGCCAAGGAGGGGGTTTGTGGCGTGCTTAACTGTCCAGGGCCGAGTTTTACGATTACACTGGAGCGCCTGTAGGGAGCCGTGCCTCTCCGAGAGCTCTCCCCAGCATGCCAGCTTTCACCCAGGCTGGTGCTTAATTTCAAATAGAAGCCCTTTGTATAAGGCAGCTCAAACTAGATGGAAATGATGGAAATTTGGCTGGAGACTGTGTCCCCTCCTCTCATATTTTATACGTTCTGCCAGCTGTGATTGGTGGTGGAGGTGGGAGAAAAGAGAACCTGCTCTCGGTAAGCATTTATCTTACTGGGTTTCTGTCAGTGTCTCAGTCTTTCTATGCAGTCTTCATTAATGGGGAAGAAAAAGAACTTTGTAGCTTAATGTATTGATGAACAGCTTTTGACCCCGCCTCAGAATAATGGCGACAGCTTTGTTTTCAGTGACCTTAAAATGTAGTTTTGGAAACAGCAAACGTCCTCACCTGACCAAGTGATACTATCTAAACTAGACACATGCCAGGTAGTGGCCCTCCCACAATAAAGTGGTGATGCTGTGCAGTTGTCATGTGTTTTCTTCTATTATCTCTTTTCAGATCATTTCTTTTCTCTGTGTGTGTGTGTGTGTTTTTAAGCACCAAAGTGCTTTTACTTGATAGGTTCATTTTTCCTGAAGAAATTAATTGTAGCAAACAAACATACAATTTATGTCTCCAAGCTTTTTAAGTCAAAAGACAAGAGGCGTAGATATTCATATGCATGTGTTTTGTAAGGATGTACACTGTGGTTTGTGTAATATCTCTGTTTTGGCATTTTACTGTGCTGCTTCGGTCACAGACCAGATTCCTATGTAACATTCATTTGAGCCAGTTCTCACTGGTTATGGCTGGTGACTTTTACATTTTATTGTTTTGTGCAATTGCACCTTTTTGTCTGCATGAATCTCAAGATTGTAAGTGGCGCATTCCTATTGTCCGCTTGAGGGGAGCAAAGCAGTATGTCAAGAGAATTCCAGTCCAGTCAGTATTTATGGTACTATTTTCATTTGTAGACTTGGCATTCATGATTTGAACCAGATGCTTTTTGAGTTCTCCCGTTTTTCCAGCAATAGGAAGCACTAGGTGGCAGTGTGAGTTAGCACAATCCATCTGTCACCTTTGGAAACCCAGAGGCGTTCAAATCTCGATGGGCCTTCCCATGAGGGTTTTGGATTCTGCCAGCTCACATTATACTTGGCACTGGCTATTAGTATTAGTTTCTCACTTTCAAAGGCTCTAAGACTGATTAAACCCCACAAAGCAACTAATAGAAAACAAAACTCTGCAGGCCAAGACATTTGGCCAGAAAATCTCACCTAAGATTATAGTGTATTATAGGAAATCTCTTACTCTCATTTCAAATTAAAGAGTCTACTGTGAAGTATTGTTTTTTAAAAGACTGGTTATACACCAGATGATTTAAAGTCTCAGTCCATTTTTCTTGTCCCTATCTATGAAAAGTCAGTTTGTATATATTAGTTGAAACTAAAAACAAGTCTTGTTTTTATGAAGAAACTTTATATCACCACAAAATGTGAGAAAGTGGAATTAAACATAGGACATATTCTTGAATTCTCGAAGTTTTTCGTTACTTCAGGTCATCCAGTAAAATTTTGGTTTTCTAAGTTTAGTGAACTCTTCAGATGGGTAATTTGAATCCTTAGAGTAGACTTTCTGGTTCTTTTGTCACCCCTGTATGTTCATGTTTCCTTTGTTTCTTCCTAATCAGAACTGTTTGAGGCGAAGAGATGCTGGTTTGTTGAATCAGTTGCAAGAGCTTGACAAGCAGATAAGTGACCTGAGACTGGATGTAGAAAAGACATCTGAAGAGCACCTGGAGACAGACAGTCGGCCTAGCTCAGGTGAGTGATTGAGCACAAGGACAGAATTCTGCACTCTTGAGTTGTATCTCAGCCCCTTGTGGTTAACATTCCCAGACCTGCAAATGGCAATGGAGTTTGTTTCCAGTGCAGAGAGGATAAACAAAAAAGAAGTCTGCCATTCAGTTTTATCGGAATAAGAGGGAAATAAACTCAGACAACAAAATTTTTAGTAATGAGATCAATGTGATTGGAGTCCCCCAAGTTTAAAAATAAAAGCTATTCAAATTTCTGCAAGAGGTGCCCTCCTTTGAAACTTGAGTAAGTCAGAACTGGGCTAGAAAATTAGTCACACTTCAACTTCCTGAGACCACTTCAAAAGTTTTTTTTTTTTTTCTTTTAAACCATTTGGGCTCCTTAGATTTTTCTCTTATTATTGTTCTGAAACAATCATGATAAAGATGAGGCTTGACAGATCTAAGTTTCTTTCCTTGGACATGTTCAAAGGCGGGGTCAAGGAATAAGGTCAATTTGAGGGTGAGGGTAACTCTGAAATGTACCCCTAGTTATGGGCTCTTTGCCTTTTCCTAAGGATTGTTTGAAATAAGACCATAAGATTAGGACACCAAAGTCCAATGAATCAAAATTGGCCAAAAAACAAACAAAAAATCTCCTTTTCCTAAATGATTATTCATTTTCCTGTTAAGCGTGAATATGCATTATTTCTTGACATGATGTTAATTCCAACGGTGTTTTTATTTGTAGGGTTTTATGAGCTGAGTGATGGGGCTTCAGGATCCCTTTCCAATTCCTCTAACTCGGTGTTCAGTGAGTGTTTATCCAGTTGTCATTCCAGCACCTGCTTTTGCAGCCCCTTGGAGGCGACCTTGAGTCTCTCAGATGGTTGCCCCAAATCTGCAGGTAAGAATTTTTAGCACTGATAGAAATTTTTAATTGGAAGGCATCAAGGGCCCTTAAAAGGTTATTTGGCTCCAGCACCTTTCACTGGTGGAAAAATGAAGGTTCATCACTTTGCGGCATTTAGTGCCATACTTACATCTAGAACTCAGTTTCATCTAGGTGAGTATCTAGAACTATTCCAGTACCCTTTGGGTGCTACTTGGTTATATATTTTGATAGCAGCAAGACACTTTATCTCTAGAAATCCTGTCCCAATATTGTAGGTCTTGAGCTCTGTTTCTGAGCCTTTGCTGTTAGGTTGTCTGTATTTTCTTTCATTTTGGAACTGTTTTCTTCTTTTAATTATGTAAAGCTAAAACTCAGCCAGGTGCAGTGGCTCACACCTGTAATCCCAGCACTTTGGGAGGCTTAGGCAGCTGGATCACCTGAGGTCAGGAGTTCAAGACCAGCCTGGGTTGGCCCGGTGCAGTGGCTCATGACTATAATCCTAGCACTTTGGGAGGCCAAGGTGGGTGGATCACTTGAGGTCAGGAGTTCAAGACCAGCCTGGCCAACATGGTGAAACCCCATCTCTACTAAAAATACAAAAATTAGCCGGGCATGGTGGCACATGCCTATAGTCCCAGCTACTCGGGAGGCTGAGGGAGAATTGCTTGAACCCAGGAGGTAGAGGTCATAGTGAGCCGAGATTGGACCACTGTACTCCAGCCTGGGCGGCAGAGAGAAAAAAAAAACAAAAAACAAAAGACCAGCCTGGGCAACATGATGAAACCCTGTCTCTACTAAAAACACAAAAATCGGCCGGGTGTGGCAGCATGTGCCTGTAATCCCAGCTACTTGAGAGGCTGAGGCAATAGAATCACTTGAACCCCAGAGGCGGAGGTTGCAGTGAGCCGAGATTGTGCCACTGCACTCCAGCCTGGGCAACAGAGTGAGGCTCCATCTCAATCAATCAATCAGTCTAACACTCACATTAAGTTAAATATGTCCATCAGCCTGGCCAAGAACTGGTTGGCACTTCAGGGAGCAATGGCCCTTTCATGTTCTCCAGAATGTTCTGCATGATGGCAGCTTGTTTTTTCTTTTAAGTGGGTGCCCACATGCCATTATTCCTTATTTTGGGATATCTTTGCAATGACCCCCAGAAGGAATCATGCTATTGTACTAGAAGAGTTTCTGCATTTCCAGTATGTGTCACACACTACTGGATGCTCTGTATGTATTTATCTCCAATGAATCCTCCCAATAGTCGTGCACAGTACAGGTCTTGTTAGCTCCATTTTATGTATTAAAAAAATGAGTCCTAGTAAGGTTACATATGTTATTTAAGGCTCTATAGATGGTGAGTGGCAGAGGCAGAAGTTAAGCTCAGGCCTAACTGCCAGGTCCACGTTTTTCATCATCCCAAGGGAATTCAGAAATTGTTGTTTTCAACCTTCTCATCTAACAGAAGAGGAATTTTGGCTTATAAGCTAATTGTCAGAGGTTCTCCATCTGCTGAATGGCAGGGTTGCTGCTGGAACTCAAGACTCCTTCCTTAGTCCTGTTACATTGTGAATTCTTATAAGAGTAGAGAAAATATGAAGATTAGAATTGCTCTGGGTCCTGGGCACAAGTCATCACACTCCTGGTTTGTCTGTGTTCTCCACTTGGGTATAAGCCTGAATTTTTGAGTCCAGGCAAGGCAAACAACACTGAGCAGCTGAGGGAGCTAATTGGCTGGTGTCTTCATATCTGTGTGTTGTCAGCAGCAATCATTTGAGGAAGCACAGAACTGTGTTATCTAGAGGGTCTGGGCCTCAAGTTCATTGGTAATTGCTCCCCTTCATTCCACAGATCTGGTTTCAGAGGGAAACTTTATAAACCCATTAAAGGCACTTTGGTTTAGGTTTTCCTTCAAGACAGACCCGTGCTCTTCCAAATGCCACTTCCTCACATAATTGAGACAGTTGCACCAGGCCTTGGGGGCTAGGATATCTGTTTTGTTCAACTCTAAAGAGGGAAAAGGGATGAATAGTGAAGTGTTTGTCAGTGTGGCTTTAAGTAAGGCAAAGATAGGGCTTACGTTGCTGGGAGAGGAAGGATGGGGAAGGATGTTAGCTAGAGAGGTTTCCTTTTAGAACAAGCTCTTTATTGGGGGGGGTCATGTGGGTGGGGACATGGCACTTTTGTTTTATTATGTTTTCTTTACATATCATCTCTGGGTCTAGACTATTTTTTCCCTGAGACCGCTAATTATCATTGAAGTTTATGGAGCTTTCTCAACATAGAATCAGGCACATATAGGTTCTCAGTATTTGAATGAATAAATACAATGGAGGACAAATTATTACTGATAAACTCAACTTTAATTTTCTCTGATAACTGAAGGTCATTAAATGGATTTGTTATTTATAATATTCACCAACTTAAGAGATCAAAATCCTTTAAGACAGCAAGCTTGATTTTGCTGTACTTTGGCATCTACATTTTCAAGATATGGGAAATTTATCCATTAATATTACCACATGATCTTTTAAAATATTACCAAGAATTCTTTATCCTATTAAAAAAACATTTTTGACAAGTGGGAAATTTATCCATTAATACTACCACTCAATCTTTTAAAATCTTATCAAGAATTCTTTATCATATTAAAAAAGTTTTTTTAAATTAAAAATTTTGTTGTAGAGAGATGGAGTCTCACTGTTGCCCAGGCTGGTCTCGAACTCCTGGGCCTAAGCGATCCTCTGGCCTCAGCCTTTTGGTGTTAGGATTGCAGGCGTGAGCCATCATACCTGGCCCCTGTTTTATTTTTTTAGCATCACTATTGAAAACATAAGGCGATTATTATTTAAATCTGATCAGTTTTTACTGAAGTTTGATCAGTTTCCATCACCTTTCAATTGACAGTTATATTTGAATGGATGTCATTAAGAATTAGGTTTAAAAAAACACAAAATGAGGAGAAAGCCTACTGAACGTACAGTTTATCCTAAAGAAAGCCAGGAATAGAACAGAGGGGAGAGCAGCCTAGAGAAACAGTGATTCAAAAAATGTTTCCCAGTTGTAAACGCAGTACAGACAGTTTAACAGAAAATAAAGAAGAAAGTAAATATCACTTACTTCTGATCATTCTGAAATACTACTACTAGAATCTTGGTGTGCTTCATCTCAGATGTTTTTTCTTTGCATACATGTGATCCTAATAAGATTATAATCATATTCTAGTATTATATCATGATTTTCACTAAACTTTAAAGTGTTTTCCCTCTATTATGCAGTAGTTTGAAAACACTCTTAATGGCTGAATTTTTTTCCTTCAGAGGATATATCATATGCTGTCAAAAATTTTTGTTAAATATTTCCCCCTCATCCAGTAGCAGTACCTACATGTGAAATGGTAGGGCAGCACTTTTTAATCCTTGGCAATCTCTTTTTACCCATGGATTTTTCATAAAAATTGGCCAAAGAGTCAAGCTGGTGCTGACCAATTCATTTCTTCAGAGTGTACCTTTAACTGTTTTTCAGATCTCATAGGATTGTTGGAATATAAAGAAGGCCACTGTGAAGACCAGGCCTCAGGGGCAGTTTGCCGTTCCCTCTCCACACCACAATTTAATTCCCTTGATGTCATTGCAGATGTGAATCCCAAGTACCAGTGTGATCTGGTGTCTAAAAACGGGAATGATGTATATCGCTATCCCAGTCCACTTCATGCTGTGGCTGTGCAGAGCCCAATGTTTCTCCTTTGTCTGACGGGCAACCCTCTGAGGGAAGAGGACAGGCTTGGAAACCATGCCAGTGACATTTGCGGTGGATCTGAGCTAGATGCCGTCAAAACAGACAGTTCCTTACCGTCCCCAAGCAGTCTGTGGTCTGCTTCCCATCCTTCATCCAGCAAGAAAATGGATGGCTACATTCTGAGCCTGGTCCAGAAAAAAACACACCCTGTAAGGACCAACAAACCAAGAACCAGCGTGAACGCTGACCCCACGAAAGGGCTTCTGAGGAACGGGAGCGTTTGTGTCAGAGCCCCGGGCGGTGTCTCACAGGGCAACAGTGTGAACCTTAAGAATTCGAAACAGGCGTGTCTGCCCTCTGGCGGGATACCTTCTCTGAACAATGGGACATTCTCCCCACCGAAGCAGTGGTCGAAAGAATCAAAGGCCGAACAAGCCGAAAGCAAGAGGGTGCCCCTGCCAGAGGGCTGCCCCTCAGGCGCTGCCTCCGACCTTCAGAGTAAGCACCTGCCAAAAACGGCCAAGCCAGCCTCGCAAGAACATGCTCGGTGTTCCGCCATTGGGACAGGGGAGTCCCCTAAGGAAAGCGCTCAGCTCTCAGGGGCCTCTCCAAAAGAGAGTCCTAGCAGAGGCCCTGCCCCGCCGCAGGAGAACAAAGTTGTACAGCCCCTGAAAAAGATGTCACAGAAAAACAGCCTGCAGGGCGTCCCCCCGGCCACTCCTCCCCTGCTGTCTACAGCTTTCCCCGTGGAAGAGAGGCCTGCCTTGGATTTCAAGAGCGAGGGCTCTTCCCAAAGCCTGGAGGAAGCGCACCTGGTCAAGGCCCAGTTTATCCCGGGGCAGCAGCCCAGTGTCAGGCTCCACCGGGGCCACAGGAACATGGGCGTCGTGAAGAACTCCAGCCTGAAGCACCGCGGCCCAGCCCTCCAGGGGCTGGAGAACGGCTTGCCCACCGTCAGGGAGAAAACGCGGGCCGGGAGCAAGAAGTGTCGCTTCCCAGATGACTTGGATACAAATAAGAAACTCAAGAAAGCCTCCTCCAAGGGGAGGAAGAGTGGGGGCGGGCCCGAGGCTGGTGTTCCCGGCAGGCCCGCGGGCGGGGGCCACAGGGCGGGGAGCAGGGCGCATGGCCACGGACGGGAGGCGGTGGTGGCCAAACCTAAGCACAAGCGAACTGACTACCGGCGGTGGAAGTCCTCGGCCGAGATTTCCTACGAAGAGGCCCTGAGGAGGGCCCGGCGCGGTCGCCGGGAGAATGTGGGGCTGTACCCCGCGCCTGTGCCTCTGCCCTACGCCAGCCCCTACGCCTACGTGGCTAGCGACTCCGAGTACTCGGCCGAGTGCGAGTCCCTGTTCCACTCCACCGTGGTGGACACCAGTGAGGACGAGCAGAGCAATTACACCACCAACTGCTTCGGGGACAGCGAGTCGAGTGTGAGCGAGGGCGAGTTCGTGGGGGAGAGCACAACCACCAGCGACTCTGAAGAAAGCGGGGGCTTAATTTGGTCCCAGTTTGTCCAGACTCTGCCCATTCAAACGGTAACGGCCCCAGACCTTCACAACCACCCCGCAAAAACCTTTGTCAAAATTAAGGCCTCACATAACCTCAAGAAGAAGATCCTCCGCTTTCGGTCTGGCTCTTTGAAACTGATGACGACGGTTTGAGTGACATCATTGGTGTAGAAAGTTTGTGTGTTTTTTTTTCTTCTCCCTAGTTGCCAAAATTAAAAAGGTGGTGTTTTCATTTTTGTATAATACTTTAATGGAATGCTTTTTAAAAAAATATAAAACCAAGGTAAATTATTGTTTCATCTTCACGTATGGATGCTAGTGCCTTTAATGGAAGGTAAAGAATGTTTTGCTAGTTAGAAGTACATATTGAGGTTTTAATGGTGGTGATAGTGAGTTTTGTGGCACCAGCTGTTTTTTATTTTAAACTTTCTGAGCATCCGGCAAGGTACAGGTTTTGATGTTCAAGTTTTATTGGGATAAGATCTTTTGATCCCAAGGTCAGGTGGATGGAATTTTTGGATTTATATTTGTTCCTTGAGTCTTCAGGGCAGTGTCTCCATGAGGGTTTTCCTGTTGAGGGGCACCACATACAATAGTGTGAAGTAGGTATGAGGGGCAGTCATTGTATTCTATAGTTTTTTTATGTAGTCTACATTTCTCAGATGTATCCCCATTCGGTTTTATTCTCAGAACTGTTACTAGACTCATGACTTGGAGGCCAAACCTTAAATCCAGAGATAGCAGCCTCGATAGGGAC
The DNA here is from genome assembly GCF_000001405.40 of Homo sapiens. Taxonomy (NCBI): domain Eukaryota; kingdom Metazoa; phylum Chordata; class Mammalia; order Primates; family Hominidae; genus Homo; species Homo sapiens. The sequence continues at coordinate 58,647,739 of NC_000014.9, forward strand.
CTTAAAAGGATTCACAAAAACTTTTGCCACACTTGGTGCCTAGGCCCTGTTCCTAATAACCCCTTCTAGGGCCGTTTATCCAACATTTAGATGCCTTCTTTTCCCTCCCTAATTTGTAGCCAGTCCAACCTTTCATTCCTTGGAGGATTTAGTTTTGGGATAAAATTTTGGTCCTTGGGCACAGAGACATTCACTATTAATGAAGTAACCCTTGGGCATGACTCCAATCCCAGAATTGCTCACTGAGCGCTATGCCACCGAAGCGTTGACCTGAACATATTAGTGCAATCCAGTCCAGATTGGACCTTTGATCCTATGTGGAAGGGCTGTTTTTTAAGAAAAAATTTTTGGTAAACAGTATTGTGTAAAATTGCTTTTTGTATACCAATATATGCATGTTTTGTGCATGAGTAGTACTTGTGTTGATACTCCTGTTGATGTTAAATTACTATATAATATAAACAGTATGTGTTTTTATATATCATTGTGTAAATTTAATATAACATATGCAGTAATAAACCATTTGTTTTACTGCTGTTAAGTTTGTTATTTGGGTATAAAACCAGATGTTTACACCTGTAAATCTTGTGCTGGTTATTGGTGTTATTTGTGAGATTTATGTTAGACCTATTCTAGCATAAGAATATCATTTGCAATATAGATAGGTTTTAGTATTAGAATGGACGATGAGCAAGCAAATGAAGGAAAGCAGACAACTTCTAGTTAAGGTACTTTAAAATTTAAGGTAAATTTTATAGGTGTCATCTAAGGAAAATATTTCTGAAAAGAATCCCTTCTCCCAACTTTTTATTACAAAAAATCTCAAACATGGAAAAGTTGAAAGGATAATATAATAAACAACTATATGCCACCTAGATTCAACAGTTGCCAACATTTTGCCATGCTTGCTGTAACTGTATGTATGTATTAGGTTTAACTATATTACTGATTTTTCAGGTCAAAAACATATAATAGCAATCCTCCCCTCTCCTTACCCCACACTGATAAAATATTTTAAAGTAAATTTCAGGTATCATGATATTCTATCTTTAAAAAGCATGCATTACCCAAGAACAAGGAGATTCCCCTGTATACCCACAATATCATGATCACACTTAAGGAAAATCAGTAGTAATTCATAATATCAAATATTAATATAGAAAATTTCCCAATGTGTTTCAAGAACTTCTTAATAGCAGCTTTGTGCCCTCCTACCTCCCCTACAAAGCAGGATTCAGTCAATGTCATGCATTGCATTTGATTGTAGGTTGTAGGTTTCTTTTTAGTCTAGAACAGTCTCCCCACATTAAACAAAAGATGCTAGGTTTTTATTTATTTATTGAGACAGAGTCTCACTCTGTCGGGGAGGCTGGAATGCAGTGGCTTGATCTTGGCTCACTGCAACCTCCACCTCCCAGGTTCAAGCAATTCTCCTGCCTCAGCCTCCTGAGTAGCTGGGATTACAGTGTGCGTCACCATGCCTGGCTAATTTTTTTGTATTTTTAGTAGAGACAGGGTTTCACCATGTTGGTCAGGCTGGTCTTGAACTCCTGACCTTGTGATCCATCCCCTTCAGCCTCCCAAAGTGCTGGGATTATAGGCATGAGATACCGCGCCCGACCTATTTATTTTTGAGATGGAGTCTGGCTCTCTCCCCCAGGCTGGAGTGCAGTGGCATGATATTGGCTCACTGCAACGACTGCCTCACAGGTTCAAGCGATCCTTCCACCTCAGCCTCACGAGTAGCTGGGAATACAGGCCTGAGCCAGTGTGACCAGCTAGTTTGTATTTTTAGTAGAGATGAGTTTGTCAGGCTGGTCTTGAACCCCTGGCCTCAAGTGATCCACCTGCCTCCGTCTCCCAAAGTGCTGGGATTACAGGCGTGAGCCACCGTGCCTGGCCAGATAATTGGGTTTTTAAAGAGTAAGGACAGTTTTCTTGTAGAAAGGCCAACATGTTGGATTTGGTTGTTTCCTTATGTTGTCTTAGAATCCAGGCCCTTTATTTCCTGTAAACTGGGTGAGACTTGATTGAATTCAGGTTAAACATTCTTGGCAAGAATATTTCACTAATGATGTTGTATACTCTTACTCTTTCACATCAAGAAACAGCAGCAGGCTGTCCCACTATTTGAGTGATACCTTGATTAAGTTGGTGAACATAGATTTCTTCATGATAAGTTGGTGAACATAGATTTCTTCATGATAAAAGTAAGTCTTCTTATGCAAATAATATTTGGGGATGGATTCTTTGGTACTGTGGCTGTCCTATCCCTCAACAAATTCCACTTAATGGCTTTAGCTTATGTGGCTGATTCTTTTTTTTTTTTTTTTTTTTTTGAGACAGAGTCTCGCTCAGCCGCCCAGGCTGGAGTTGTAGTGGCGCGATCTCGGCTCACTGCAACCACCGTCTTCCGGGTTCACGCGATTATGCTGCCTCAGCCTCCTGAGTAGCTGGGATTACAGGCACCCGCCATCATGCCTAGCTAATTTTTGTATTTTAGTAGAGACGGGATTTCACCACGTTGGCCAGGCTGGTCTTGAACTCTTGACCTCAGGTGATCCGCCTGTCTTGGCCTCCCAAAGTGCTAGGATTACAGGCGTGAGCCACTGCGCCTGGCCATGGCTGATCTTTGCTTGAATCAGTGATTGCTGTGGAGATACAAAGTGATAGTTTTCTAAATATCCTTCCTTCTACTTTTATTAGTTGACATTCTTAAAAAAGAGCCTTCCTTATTTTTTCTTTTTCTCTTTGAATATCATTACGGACACATGGAGTTTTATTTATCTGATGTTTTATAATCATTTTACAGTCTCTGTTCTTTTTGATGTTCAGCATGTCCCAAATTTGGCCAATGGGAGGATAAATTTTATTAAAAGGAAATTATAGAATCAGCTCAGTCTCTCTCATAATTCAGATACTTATTATGAAATATATCCAATTAAAATTAACTCTTCAAATGCTGAATTTCAGATGCTGAGTTTTAATGCAACAAAAATCCCTTACTATTCATTTTTTACATTTTGTCTTGGAAATGTTCCTTTTTTTCTATACTTTATATATTTCTTACCTCTAGCAAGGCTTTTGGTCACATCTTTTAGCAAGACATCTTTGTTTGTTTGTTTGTTTGTTTTAAGGCATCTCAACTCAATTCTTCAAAATGTAGAGTTACTAGTCTTTTAGTATTCAGAATTTCTTTGATTACTTGACTAGATCTAAGCCAACCACAAGTGAGGGGATGATCTCACCATCTTTTCTAATGCTGTGATCTGATCTCTTTGGGGCATAGCTATAAAGTTTATTGCGTAAGGCAATTGTGACCTGCAGTCAATTCTTGAATCATTTCCAAGTTGTTCTCAATAAGCATTATTCTCGGAAGGGGACACTTTCTAAGAACCACCTGAGTAATTACATTGTAGGTGACAGGATGCCAAATTAAGAGAAGTGTGAAAAACAGGATTTTCAAAGAATCTTGGGTTTGTCCTTCTCCTAGTCCATTGCTTGACTTTCCTGTAGCTCGCAGTTGTACTGCACTCAGAAAACTGGGTTTTGTCCGTTATTTTCAATGACAAAATAGTTGCTGTTGTTGTTACAAGCAAAAGAGCTCCTAAAAATATTTTCCTTTATTTAAAAAAATTACAAATGCTCATTGTCAAAAGAAAAAACTATATCTGAACAATATGTCAATTTTAAGAACTCTTCCCCCTCAATCCTCCCCAAATCCTACTTTTTGGTAAATTTAGTGTATACATTTCTATACTCTGTTATATGTACATACAAATACATAACCTCTGTAGTTTTTCTTCAAAATGAAGTTTCAAGCTATGTTTATTATTTTATAACTTGCATCCTCCATTTCTTGGACCTGTATGGCAGAATATCATTCCCAATTCTTTTTAATGGGGTTCCAAATATTTCCTCACTGAGGAAAAGATATCAGATTTTGTAGGTTACTTGAAATTGCCCTGCTTAGAAACATTCTAATATTTAGCAACAAAGTGCTACCCAAATGTTATACATTTGTTATACACACATTATTGCCTTTCTGGTTTTCTTATATATTTGGTTATTTTGTATTGTGAGCTTGCTTTTAGTGAGGTATTATTGAAGGAATCTGGTGAGGCTTGGTTAAAGATTTTGCCATACAGAGAAATTTTGTGTTTTTTCTGCCAGGTGCCTCAGGGATATTTCCAAGCTGGACCACTTTTTAAGTTAATTTATCTGTGGTGGGTTTCCCTGACTACAGAGGTTGTATAAATTCAAATCCTAAGTGCATATGAGGGATAGGTTGTGGTTACATGTTCTCAGAGGCAAACGAGGCCCATAAGCTTCCTTCTTTTCTTTTTTATTTTTTTGAGACAGAGTCTCACTCTGTTGCCCAGCCTGGAGTTGCAGTGGCGAGATCTCGGCTCACTGCAACCTTCGCCTCCTGAGTTCAAGCGATCCTCCCACCTCAGCCTCCCCAGTAGCTGGGACTACAGGCACATGCCACCATGCTCGACTAATTTTTTGTCTTTTTAGTGGGGACAGGGTTTTGCTATGTTGCTCAGGCTGGACTCGAACTCCTAGTCTCAAGTGATCACCCACCTCGGCCTTCCAAAGTGCTGGGATTACAGGCGTGAGCCACCGTGCTCAGCCTAGCTTCCTTATTTTCATCCTGGACCAGCGAGTGAATTTTTTTTCTAGTCCAGTCTTTCACTAAGGGTGTAGCCCTTCAGTGATCTCAGGAATATAGGGCAGTCTCATTCCTGAATCCTACCCTGTAAGGGCCAAGTTTTTGTCCCTGAGTGACTATCAAAACCAAGTCTCCTTGCTTAAGGGACCAGCAGCCTCTCTCCCAACTCTTCAAGGGGAGCCCAAAGTATACACTTAAGAGGTGTTTGTAATAGTTTATTAATCATTTCTAAATGTTTAGCAGTGAAAATATCAGGTTTTCTAGTCCACGGTATGGCTGGAAACAGAAACCATAGAGCCACCCATTGCTTTTGTCAATAAATTGGGTCCTCCTCCCTCCACTCACTCACTCTTTCTTTCTTTCTGTCTCTCTCTGTCTCTCTCCCTTCCTTCCTTCCTTCCTTCCTTCCTTCCTTCCTTCCTTCCTTCCTTCCTTCCTTCCTTCCTTCCTTCCCTCTCTCCTTCCTCCCTCCCTCCCTCCCTCCCTTCCTTCATTTCTCTTTCTTTCTTTCTCTCTCTCTCTTTCTTTTTCTTTTTTTTTGACAGAGTCTCACTCTGTCGCCCAGGCTGGAGTGCAGTGTCGTGATCTCGGCTCACTGCAACCTCTGCCTCCCGGATTCAAGCGATTCTCCTGCCTCAGCCTCCCAAGTAGCTGGGACTACAGGCGCCCGCCTCCACGCCCAGCTAATTTTTGTATTTTTAGTAGAGACAGGGTTTCACCATGTTGGCCAGGATGGTCTCCATCTCTTGACCTCGTGATCGCCTGCCTTGGCCTCCCAAAGTGCTGGGATTACAGGCACAAGCCACCACGCCTGGCCTCCCTCCACTTTTTTGGTACAACTTTATTGATGGAAAATTGAAGTACAATAAAATGCACATATTGGAAGTGTACAATTTGATCAGTTTTCACACATGTACACACCTATGTAACTATCACAATCAATATAGCAAGCATTTCCATCATTCTCAATAGTTTCCTTGAGAACTTTGTAATCCATCTCTTCTTTTACTCCATTCCCTAGGCAACCACTGATGTGCTTTCTGTCATTATAGATTACTTTGTCTTTTCTAGAATTCTATATAAATTGGAATAAACAGTGTATACTTTTTTCCTGAATTGTCATTCAGCATAATATTTTAGATCTATTCGTGTTGTTTCATGTATCAGTGGTTCATTCCTTTTTAATCGCTGAGTTATGTTCTTTTCTATGGATATACAACAATTTGTTTATCCATTTACTTCTTGTTGGATGTTTGGGTTATTTCCAGTTTGGGATTGTTACCAATAAAGCTGTGATGAACATTCATGCAAGGTCTTTGTGTGGTCGGGCATCTTTGTTTCTCTTGCGTAAATACTTTGGAGTGGAATGCTTGGGTGTTATCATAGGTGTGTGTTTAACTTTTTGAGAAACTACAAAATACCTTCCAAACTGGTTCTATCATTTTATATTTCTACTAGCAGTTTGTGAGAGTTTCAGTTGCTCTATATCCCTGTCAGCACTTGGCATGCTCATTCTTTTTACTTTTAGCTAATCTAATGGATGATTAGTGGTATATAATTGTGGCTTTCACTTGCATTCCCTGATGCCTAATGATGAGCATCTTTTCACAGGCTTATTGGCCGTCTGTATATCTTCTTTGCTGAAGCATCTGTTTAATATTTTGTCCATTTTAAAAATTGGATTGTTTGGTTTCTTATTATTGAGCTATAAGAGTCCTTTATAAGTTCTCTGGAAAAAGTCCTTGCATATATGTTGCAAATATTTTCTCCCAGTCTGTGGCTTGCATTTTACTTTCTTAATGGTGCCTCATGAAGAACAAAAGTTTTTAATTTTGATCAAGTCCAATTTTCTATTTCTTTTTACATGGTTTATTATTTTGGTGTCCTATCTAGGAAACCTTTGCCTAATCCAAGTTAGCAAAGATTTTCTGCTATGCTTTCTTTCAGAAGTTCTGTGATATTTGGTTTATATATCACCAATACCAAATTGTCTTGATTTCTGTAGCTTTATAGTAGTGAGTCTTGGAATCAGTTAGGGTAAGTCCTCTAATTTTGCCTTTCTCTTTCTCCTTCTTTTCCTCCTACTCCTCCTTTTTTTAATTCCTCTGATTACTCTAGATCCTTTGCATTATCATATACATTTTAGAATTAGGTTGTCCATTTCTACAAAAAATTAAGGCCTGCTAAAATTTTTATTGGTATCCCATAGAGTATGCATTACTATGAGGATATTGCCAGCCTGGGCAACATAGTAAGACCTCGACTCTACTATAAATAAAAAGAAAAATTAGCTGGGTGTGGTGGTGTGCACCTGTAGTCCCAGCTACTCTGGAGGCTGAGGTGGGAGGATCACTTGATCCCAGGAGTCCAAGGTTGCAGTGAACTGTGATTGTGCCACTGCATTCCAGCCTGGGTGACAGAGTGAGACCTTGTCTCAAAAAAAAAAAAAAAAAAATAGGGCTACCTTAACAACGAGTCTTTCATTTTAAGTATGTGATACCTTTCCATTTATTTGGTTCTTTTTCTAGATCTCCTGGGCTCAAGTGATCCTCCTGCCTCAGCCTTCCAAGTAGGTGGGACTACAGGCATGCCACCACGCCTGGCTACTATTTTTTATTTTTAGTAGAGATGAGGTCGGACTATGTTGCTCAGGCTGGTCTTGAACCCCTGGGCTCAAGTGATCCTCCTGATTTGGCCTCCCAAAGTGCTGGCTTTACAGGTATGAGCCAACATGCCTGGCTGGTCTTCAGTTTTCTTCAGCAATGTTTTGTAGTGTGGAGGTCTTGATCATCTTTTTTTTTTTTTTTTTTAGACAGTGTCCCACTCAGGCTGAGTGCAGTGACATGATCATGGTTCACTGCAGCCTCAACCTCCTGGGCTCAAGTGATCCTCCCACCTCAGCCTCCCAAGTAGCTGGTACAGGCATGTGGCACCACACCTAGCTAATTTTTGCATTTCTTTGTAGAGACAAGGTTTCTCCATGTTCGCCAGGCTGGTCTTGAACTCCTGAGCTCAAGTGATCTGCCAGCCTTGGCCTCCCAAAGTGCTAGGATTACAGGTGTGAGCCACCATGCCCGGTCTTTTAATTTGAATAATTTCTATTGATCTATCTTCACCTTCATTTAATCTTTCCTTTGTTATCTCCATTCTGCTATTGAGTGCCTCCAATGAGCTTTTTTTTTAAATTTCAGATATTATATTTTCTAGTTCTAAAGTTTCCAAACGGTTCCTTTTTTTTTATAGTTTCTATTTCTGTACCAAGAATTTTTGTCTTTTTATTCATTTCAAATGTATTTTCCTTTATCTCATGGAATGTAGTTATAATAGCTCCTTTAAAGTCTTTGATAGTTTCAACATTGAGGTTATTTTGGGGTTGGCATGTGTTGATTGTTTCTACCTTAAGAATTGGTCACATTTGGCTGGGTGTGGTGGCTCACGCCTGTAATCCCAGCACTTTGGGAGGCCAAGGCAGGTGGATCACGAGGTCAGGAGATGGAGACCAGCCTGGCTAACACGGTGAAACCCCGTCTCTACTAAAAATACAAAAACAAAATTAGCTGGGCGTGGTGGCAGGCACCTGTAGTCCCAGCTACTCGGGAGGCTGAGGCAGGAGAATGGTGTGAACCTGGGAGGCGGGGCTTGCAGTGAGCTGAGATCGTGCCACTGCACTCCAGCCTGTGTGACAGAGCGAGACTCCGTCTCAAAAAAAAAAAAAAAAAAAAAAAGAATTGGTCACATTTTCCTGTTTCTTTGGTTGTCAAGTAATTTTGGATTGCATCCTGAACATTGTCAGTGTTATAGTGCATAGTTTCTAAGTCCTTTTGTAATCCTTAGAAGAATGTTGATGTTTTTGCTTTAGCAGTCAATCAGTGCGGTTAGGCTGTGACTAAGTTCTGATGATCTTCTGTGGGCACTGGTTTAAATTTTATAATAAATTATATGTCTGTGCTGTGCTGCTTTGGGTCTGTCCTGCACATGCATAGTTCAGGGGTTAGTCTGAGACTTATGCGGGTGGTTTATATCTCAGTTAAATTTTGAAGGTCTTTGCTATAGTGGTTTGTGTCTGTTCTGTGCATTCTTGACTCAGATGATAGACTGAGCCTAGGGTTCATACACAGAATTAGGGGACCACTTTCTCTAGTTCTTTCCCCTTTGGAATTTCTCTCACTCACCTGCCCCATCTGGTTAACGTTTCCCAGTTCTTCTGGCCAGAAAGACATGTTTCTATTGGAATTTTAGCTATGAATAGGCCACTGGGGCCTGCCCTCAGGATAAAGCTGCATCAGAAAAAAAAAAAATGGGAAAAACTCACCAATCCCCCCGAATACACCTGCTTTTGTTTACTTTTACAGTCCTCAGGTAGTTTTTTCCTCCCATGTTTTTGTCCACGTCTTTAGTTGTAATCAGCAGGAGGGATAGGATATTTTGGGCTCACACTGCCCTGGCAGAACCAGAACTCTACTGACCCATTTATTTTTCATATGGATACAATTCAAAGACCCAGCAGAGTCCTGCAGGAGAGCCAGCCATGTGCTTCACCCAGATTCCATACCCTACTCTGAAAAACATATATAGGCTTTCTGTATTCTGGTTTTAAAATATGATGTAATAGCAAGCAAGTCATTAAAAGCAAGGAAATCCTTTATCAATGACAAAGATTGGAACATTAAGTTTTATTTTACTTTTTTCTAGGTGCAAACCTTTAATTTGGAGGGTAGAGGAGAACTACGTAATCATTTATTCCTATACAATTCTTTCTTTGTGGCTAAGGAAATAACATTCTCTATACATATGCATATTGCCTGAAAGGTGGTGTAAAAGTGCCTTTTGTTTCCTTGTGAGTCATTTTGTTGGGTTTCAGAACTGTCACTTTTAGTTATTTACCTTACCATAATATCTCTGACTATAATATAAATACAATATATAATTATGCTTTTGAAAAGGGTTTTTTACTTCTTGGCCCACAGTGGTTATTTTGGAGCTATTACAACCTATCTGTTGAACATAAGGACTAACAGCGTGGAACCCAAATTTGATTCAGAGAATTATTTTGATTTGAAGACTGTTGCCCAGGTAAACAACAGCTGCTTTGGAATCATTACAGCTGAAGTGGTCAATGAATAATTTACTTTTATATTTAACTATTACAGGTGAATATTTCAGGGTTACCAAAGTAGGAAGTATTTCTTATCACTAGTTTATCTTGCTGTTATATTTTAAAGGGAATACTATAAATAGATACTAGGATATAAAGTTTCAGAGTTTCTTTGGGAGACATTGATTAACGGTGGGCAAAAATCAAAATGATCAGAGTACGAATTTGGTATTGTATACAGCCCTAAAATATATTTATTTATCAAAATCTTATGCAAAATGTATTATGCCTTTGAACTTGGGCAGGGAGTCTTGCAAGAGCAACTTTTTCCCATGATATTTTCTTTTAAAATTTATATTCCTTACTTAAGAAGAGGTTGTTCCCACATTTTTGGCATTATAGTAGGTTCTGGCATTTTAATTTGAACATGGTACCTAGACAGAACCAGGAAATGCAAAGATCTAAATTTTTAAGACTAAGGGGAACTTTTATTTTTCAACTGAAAATAACCTTTTGTTATTACAAACACAGTATATGTGTATTGCAGAAAGTAAAAATAACATAAATAAGCCATATATATATATAATGTAAGCAAGAATATAAACTCCTTTTTATTTTCCAGGGATGATTCCTGCCACCTCTTTACTGTCTGTTCTCCCATATCTCTTTCCAATTATGCATATATGTATTTTTTCTGAGAATAAGGTCACACTTCACTAGCTATTTTGCCACTTGCTTTTTTTTTTCTTTTTTTTTTTGAGACAGAGTCTTGCTCTGTCCCCCAGGCTGGAGTACAGTGGTGCGATCTTGGCTTACTGCAACCTCCACCTCCCGGGGTTCAAGCGATTCTCCTGCCTCTGCCTCCCGAGTAGCTGGGACTACAGGTGTACGCCAACACATCCAGCTAATTTTTGTATTTTTAGTGGAGATGGGGTTTCACCATGTTGGCCAGGCTGGTCTTGAATGCCTGACCCCAAATGATCCACCCACCTCGGCCTCCCAAAGTGCTGGGATTACAGGTGTGAGCCACCGTGCCCGAATTTTGCCACTTGCTTTTTAAAGTTAAGAATATCTGCTATTTAAATGCATTTTGTCTTATCTAATATCCAGTCTATGATCACATTTTTCCCAATTGTTTAGAGGAGCTTTTAGAAACAAATTTAATATTCTAAATTAAAAAAATTCATCCAAAAATTAAATATCAAGCTTTGATAACTAAGGATGTTATTTTAAATATTCACTTGATTTGATTTGGGGATTTATTTCATGGGAGGTCTTTGGAAGGCCTAAAAGTTGGTATTGATAATCCCATGGTCAATCTGTCACATAGATTGATTCTGATCATGGCTGTAGAGTTACCAAAATTACAAATGAACTGCCTGGGTTCTGGTGAATCCAGGGACTGAAAGGAGACATTCTGTCAGTAAGTTTCTAATAGAAATGAAAAAATATATGAGAGGAAGGTAATAATATTTGTATTTGTAGCATTTTACTTTCTTTCGAATACCTCATACCTCATGCAACATGTGAATAGGGTTCACCTTGGGAGCAAGTTAGGACCTTTGGAAAGGGCCTAGGTACTTGCTGGCCATTAGAGTGGATCCCATAAATGAGTTTTGAGTTTTGTCCTCCAAATAATATCCCATGTTAGCCAAGAGTTACAATTCTTCCAAAAGAGCCACAACTAGTTAAAGAGAAAGATTCTTTTTCCAGTAACTCATCAATTGACATTTAGAGGAAAGGATTTAGGAGGCTAAAAATATGGCTCATTGCCTAAGACACACAAATTTCACTCTTAAGAAACAAATTTCTGGAAAAGCGGTACTATTAGATTCAGATAAATGTACCTAATTTTCCTTTTGCCTCCCTACTTAAGTTTTTAAATATAAAAGTAATCTAAACCTATACATTACATAAAATTTAACAAATATACAGAAAAGGCAAATCACCATTTACTTTCCTAATCAAACAATCATTAGCATTTTGCTATGGTTCCTCTAAGTATTTTTTTCTATGCATATGCCATAGTTACTATCTCATATATATATATGAGATTTATATATTTATACATATATGCTTACACATAAGTACATACCATATGTCCATATGTATGTACATATATGTAAGCATATATGTACACTTACTTATACATACACATAATTCCTTATATATGTCACATGTACTACATATACATAAACATATATGCTTGCATTAGTCAAGGATTTTCTTAGATTACTATAGTCTTTCTAATCAGTATTTTGTAGTTGTTACATCCTATTTTATTGCAGTATTCAATTATTTATCCATTCCCCTCTCGATGGAAATTTTTCTTGTTTCTATTTAGGACCCAGTGTCTACTGGCCCACCCACTGACTGGGACTGAGATGCTCCGCGGAGGCTTCTTCCTTCTCTTCCCCACCCATTCTCAGGGCATATCTCCAGGATCCACATTCTGGAACATTCCCTTGGGGGGCCTGATCTCAGGGGTCAAGCTTTGTTTTGGCTCTCTTGCTTGGCCCTACCCCGATGTACTTGACATCTTGAACTTTTTCTTCTTGTAAGTCTGCCTTGCCAGGAATTTGGACTTAAAATCTCCTTTCTTCTCCGCTTCTTTCCAATCCTGTCTGCCTCTTCCCGGCTAGTCCTGGGTTTATAGATCTGTGCTTGAGCCAGAGTGCTAGGCCTTAGCTCACCATTGGACGGAAGGAAAAGGTCACTAAATCTCTAGTTTCTGCCTATAAATAACACTGGGATGAACTTTTTTGGTTAAGATTTCCCCCCCATATTAAGGATTATTTTCTTAGAATAGAATCCCAGAAATGGAACTACTGAATGTGATTATTTTTAAGACTGTTAATATTTATTGTTGAATGAATGTAGCTAATATTTATTAACCTTTTCTGAGACATTATCTCATTTAATTCTCACAACAGTCCTATACACGTTCCTATTATGGATAAGGAAATAGAGGGCTGGACATGGTAGCTAACGTGTGTAATCCCAGCACTTTGGGAGGCAAAGGTGGGAGGATTGCTTGAGTCCAGGAGTTCAAGACACCATTCTGGGCAACATAGAGAGACATAAATAAATAAATAAATAAATAAATAAATAAATAATTAGCCAGGTGTGGTGGTGCAAACCTGTGGTCCTGGCAACCGAGGAGGCTGAGGTGGGAGGATTGCTTGGGCCCAGGAGGTCAAGGCTGCAGTGAGCCATGATCATGTCACTGTACTTCAACCTAAGTGACAGAGTGGGACCCTGCCTCAAAAAAAAAAAAAAAAGAAAGAAATAGAAAAATGGGGGTTTGTGTAACACTACAATTCATTATTTTGGGCTGTCATCATTTTTCATTATATTTTAAAAGGTATCAATAGAACTTTGTTAATGTGTTTATTTTTGGGGGGCAGAGTGTATGGTAATGGAAGTTTGGTTAAATAATTTTCTTTCTTTTAAAAAACAGTTGTGATTCTTTTTTTGAGCATTAGTCATACAAAGATTTTCAGATTTTTTTTTTTTTTTTTTTTTTTTTTTTTTTTTTTTTTTTTGAGATGGAGTCTCACTCTCTTGCCCAGGCTGGAGTGCAGTGGTGCGATCTTGGCTCACCACAACCTGCACCTCCTAGGATCAAGCCATTCTCCTGCCTCAGCTTCCCGAGTACTACAGGGACTACAGGTGCGTGCCACTATGCCTGGCTAATTTTTGTATTTTTATTTATTTATTTATTTATTTTTTGAGATGGAGTCTCACTCTGTTGCCCAGGCTGGAGTGCAGTGGCGTGACCTCGGCTTACTGCAACCTCCACCTCCTGGGTTCAAGCAATTCTCCTGCCTCACTCAGCCTTCCGGGTAGCTGGGATTACAGGAATGTGCCACTACACCTGGCTAATTTTTTTGTATTTTTAGTAGAGACGGGGTTTCACCATATTGGCCAGGCTGGTCTCGAACTCCTAACCTTGTGATCCTCCCACCTTGGCCTCCCAAAGTGCTGGGATGACAGGCATGAGCCACTGTGCCCGGCCGATTTTTCTATTTTTAATAGAGATGGGGTTTCGTTATGTGGCTAGGCTGGTCTCAAATTCCTGACCTTGTGCTCCTCCTGCCTCGGTCTCCCAAAGTGCTGGGATTATAGGTGTGAACCACCGCGCCCGGCCGAATTTCAGATTTATAAACAAAATCAGTTTAATACTAAAGGATAAACAGTAGGGCTCATTGTGAACTCATTCATCCAATATTTCAGCACCTACCTGTTCAGTGCTACTGTGTAGCACTGTGTTAGGAGCTGTGTGGATACTGCACTAGAACAAAGCTTTACAAGGGGAGAGGCTCTGCTTTGTTCAGTGCTGCATTTCCAGAGCCAGGACAGTGCTTGGCACGCAGTGAATATTCAGGAAATCATTTCAGAATGAATGAAAATATGGTCATGCACTGTTTTTACCAGTTACGGTGAGTTCAGCTGTGGGTGACAGAAACCCCTAAATTACAATGGCTTAAACTGGATGTAAGTTTGTTTTTCACATGAAATAAATCTCGAAAAAAGCAGTCCTGACTGCCAAGGAAGGTTCCTAATACCACCAGGGCCCAGTTTCCTCCTGTCTTATTGCCCTGGATTTCTTGGCATATAATTTTTTACTTCAGAGTCTCAGCTGACTGTGTGGGCTCCAGCCATCATGTCAACATTTCCAAGGAAAAGAAGAAAAGAAGAGCATGCTTCCTGTTTTTCACAGCACTTCCTGGAGGTTGCACACAACTCTTTTACTTAAGTCTCATTGGCCACAACTTAGTTACATTGTCACATCTAGCTGCAGCAAGGTTAAGAAATGTGAACTTCATTATGGGTGGCCATGTGCCCCAAGTAAAATCAGGAGTTCTATTTATGTGGAGGAAAGAAAGAATGTATTTTGGGAACAACTCGCAGCATCTCTTGATAATGAGCTTAAATCTTAGGAGGTGAAATTATAAACACATTAAATTTTAAGTAACCACATAAAACTGTATATTATTGAAATCAAACAAGTAGTACAGATGATAGGAAGCACAGAGAGAGAAGATCCTTACAAAATCTTGGTTGATTAACTGCAGGAATATAGTGAAGGGCAGCATCATAGCTGAGGGGGTGAACCCGATACACAGAGAGTAGTGGGGAGAATTGGAGTCCAGTCCAAAGGCTACAGATGTTTTATATTAGATAGAGGTGGTAAAAATACAAAAAAAATGCACAGTGATTAAGAATAAAATTCAATCTGCTTTTGATCATCAAGAAAAGGTCATAGTAATAGTTTTAAAATCAATATATTTTATTTAAAAAGACTTTTACCACCTTTAAAGAAATCTTTAAAGCCATGTTACTTAGATTTCCCCCTGCAAGCCTCCTGTGGTTCTGCTGTGTTTAATCGGTGGTTCACCAAGGTTGTAGTTTTCTCTATAAGGCTCTTCTATTCTCTTGCAGGGCACAGAGCACTCAAGGGACTCTTGTGGCCAATGGAGGTTTCCCTGAGAGTTGGGAAACTATAGTGCCCCTGTTCTATAACTGCTGTCTCAAAAACAAGTAACATAAAGAAGGGAGGAGTGAAAATTTGGTCCACGTATTTAGAGGCTGAATTTCTTTCTCTTAACTTACTAGTTTAAAAATTATACATAGAGTACACATACATTAAATAATTAGAAAATAAAGTTAAACATAAAGAAAAAATAACCTGTAATCTCCAGAGATGGCCTCTGTTAATATTTTGATGTAAGCTCTTCCAGACCTTTTAGTGCCTTTTTATAAATACATTCACTTAAACATTGATTTAAAAAATACTCTCAAATTGCTGTCTTATAACCTGCATTTTAAATTTAACGATCTAGTGTGAACTTTTTTTGACCAATAAATCTAATCGCGTCATCATTTCAAATGGCTGCATAATATTTTATTGGGAAGATGTCAAGGGCCGATTTCTAGTGGCAGGAAATATGTCTGCAGTACTTCTTTTATCAGGAATTTAGGAGAGCTGCTAACTCACAGGAGCTGAGTGGGAGCAGAAGGCTTGAAAGAAGGTCATCAGAAAAGGTTAGTTGCACAGTTGCCCCAGGCTGAGAGACTGAATCTAATACCTGGACAACTGGTTACTCCCAAAGGAGGCTGTCTGGAGATGTGGCTGTCAGCATGGATGGGTATCTCTCATAGCCTGTGGCTCCCCCAGGAAGCCCAGGTGAGGGCCTCTTTAAAAGCAGATGGCTCTGGAGAAACCACCTCAGGCCAGCAGCTGGTGTTCTGTAAACAGCCCTCATCTGCCAGATGCTTGCCTGTTCTCCAGTTGGTGTTAGAGACTAAGAGCTCTGTCAAAGTGGGTGTAGTTTTAAAACTTCTTTAGCTGCTACATCGTCCCCCAGTAACCTCACCCCTTCACCCCAGCATTGTTCACATTCTGCTACCGATATTTGATTTACATAGAAAGCAATTACTTCATGAGCTGGGTATGTGCAGTGCTTAAGTCTTCTCACTCAGGAGCCTTTAGAAATAAAACTCAGATTAGGTAACAGCTAGGGCAGGATCATTGAGAACATTTTTTAACAGTGACATAATGACTTTCCTCAGTTATTTTCCCATTGTTTGAAAGGAATCATTATCTCTCTGTGAAACCACATTTGACATTGAGGCTTCAGTGAATTTCTGAAAGGCTGGCCCTTCCATCTGAATGGTAAGAGCCTACCTGCCTTCTGATAATGGGCTCTGCACCATCAGGGTACAGAATGGATGCTGGGTGCTTGCAGGCTGCCCTGATGTTATCCATTAAGGGTACATATCTTACAATGTGAGAACTATATCTGATACAGATTTTGCTCCACAAGAATAAACTTATTCTTACTTGAGGATAAATGACTGCAGGGATCATTGGCTTTTAAGTGTCATAATTTTTTATGTCATTATGAAAAAAATGGGGGCTGCAGTAAACCACTTAGTATTATATTTCCATTTTCTGGATAATGGATTAGGTGTAATGTTCCAGCAAAAGTGTGTAGACCTACAGAGGGGAGGCTAGAAATAGAACAGGATACAAAATATGTACAACAAAGTTTCCCAAGAAAGTCAAGTTAGCTTTCCTCTGATATGACCAAATATTAAAATATAAGGTGAATGCTTAGGAGAAGGGTTCATGATTGATGGGGCACTAAATTTTTAAAAAACCTGATTAAGTTCTTAAGGGACCCTAAAATGGGAATTTGGAAAAGGCAAGGGTAGTCAGAATAGCAGAGATTAGGGCTGGATAGTAAACAGTAACCTGGGGAAGTAATTAAAGATAAAAGCAGAAGAATTCAACACGGGAATGCTGAGATGTGAACTTGAGAAAAAAAAGACAGTAAGAAAGGGACATAACAGTGCATATAACCTTTATATAGTGTGGAAATAAGATATTTTAAAATTCTGACTTGGGTTTTCAACTAGGAAAGCAGGAGTTTTACTAGGACTCATACATTCTGAATAAGAAGAAGAGTCAATTTTACGATTTTTGATAAAGGGGAAATGAAAAGCTGCCTCATGTTTCTAGTGGACAATCTTTTTGAGGTAGGTTTCCTGGAAGATATTCCTCCTGTATGAGTAGCTCTCGCTCTCTCTCTCCTTTTTTTTTTTTTTTTTTAGGTGAACTAAGGTCAAAACCACTGGCCATTGGGCTAGGTGTCCAAGGGTGCTGGTGTTCAGAGAAACAAAATACTCTGAGAAGCAAATGGGGAAATAGAGAACCACAAAACACTTTGGGGAAGGTCACACTGGCAAATATTGGCATAGCAAATTGCTTCATAATGTAGGTATTGCTGAAAAATTCAGTGACCCCCAGGGTAAGTTGTGGATTGATTGGCAGGAGTCCAGTGAATAGCTTGTTTTAGGGTTATACATTTGATGTTGTCACTTTATATTTTTCTCAGCCTCCATTTCTATACCTATAAAATAATGGCTTTGGAACAGATGATCATGATTTTAGCAAAGACTGAGGAGTGGCTAGAGCTGTGCTGTTGGGGGTGTTGAGTGTTATTATCTAAGATAATAATGCACCAATCATCTAGGTAGAGCTAGCTAGGAGTACAAAATCTACAGAAGTCATGAAGCTTAAGTGCTGATGGGTCAATGGTGGAAGAGGGAACTTCTAGGACATGGTCTTTGGGCATAGTCAAATGGCCAATGCTTTGGCATTTTGCTTTTAAGGCCTTCTTTCTGCCTGGCTCTGGACCTGAGCCTTGTCAGTCTTATAGCAGCCATGTCTGGGAGCAGCTGTTAAACACAGATATATTTGTGAGAAGTTTGCAAGTATCAAAAAAAAAAAAACAGTGGTGACAACTTAAGCAAAATCAGGGAACTTATTATTAGGAGACAGGAGTGACTTGGGACCTTGGGAACCAACTAGAACCAAAGACCGGAAGCCTGTTGGAACTTTCCATCTCTAGTCTTGGTTCCTGTCTGTGTCTCTGCCAGATCTGTTAGGCATAACCTTATTCTAGTCAGCACTATCAGAACACAGTTGGAATACAGTATCCAGGCCCGGTCATCACATCCTGAAGGGAAACATGAAGGCTGTTTAAAGGAGAGCCATAGAATGACTAAAGACCTAAAAAAGAAAAAAAAAATTATGTCAGAGAGGAGATGCTAGAGGCCTGGAGATAATTCATTGAGAAAAGTCTGCTATTGGTGCATAAAACGGTCTTAATTAGATGATGGATTATTAGTGTAAGAAGATGATGACCAACTGTTCTTTGTTTTCACTAAGGATAAACTCACAGAAAAAGTGAGTCAGGCTAGATGAAAGTAAAGAGGTGATGGCAGTGGTGACTGTGGCATTATGATGGCTTTCAGGAGAAAGCTGAGGCTTCTCCTGCAACCACTTGACAGACAGGTAACTTGTGTCTCTCTGGAATGATGTCCATTCTGTCTTCAGGCAGGAGGATGGCCTGGAAGGGCCTATCAACCCTTCTTAATTTGGGGGGCAGGTATTTGGTTGGGTCATAGCAGCTCTTAATTTTTTCTGGTGAAGCAGTGTTTGAAGGGGCTTCTTAGGCTCTTTGGTGTTTTCTCAGGCTTATATCGTACTATATTGTACCATTAAGTAACTTTCTACCTTTCTGGCCCCTCATCTCAAGTTTCAGTGTCTAGCTGACAAAGTGCATTCATATTTTATTTGCAGGTTTGGAACATATTTGTTGCTGGTTATTTAGAAAATTATTAAATCTGATGTTCATGTTGTTTTTTGCTTTCAAGGCATCCAGTGGCCATTTGAGAGAAATGAGACTGAAATGCTTATTTATTTTGCTTTCAATTGCATGATTTGACTTTTCAAATAAAAATAATTAACATATCCTCTCCAATTACAAAAGAAAAATAATCCCTCCTCCTCCTCCTTAATTGCTTTAAACTCAACATTTACCTCATTTAGATACATGTGACTCAAGTACTGAAAGCTGCTCAGCTCATAATGTGAGGGGGGAGGGAAGAGTAACATTTTGTAATGAAATCCTCAAAAGTAGCTCTAAATGTTGGCTGCCTTATGTCTTAAATGACATACTTCATATGATAGAAAAAAGTCAATGAAAAGTTTGATCTGGTATTTATTAGGTAAAAATGGCTTCAGATGTTTCCCAGCTAAATAGACCATGGCAGAAAAATTATAATGAAAGAGCAGAAGAGTTGCTATGGGTGTTTATTCCCTAGAAAGCCATTAGAATAAAAGTCACCCTCACTTTTTGCTGGCCTCTCTCTGGTGCATTAATGTCACTCTCAAGTCCCTCTCTGAGATGGTGGTGTTTCTGACCAGCCAGAAGTAGTTTTAGTGATGAACAGATTATTTTCTGAAAAAAATGAGGTTGTCACTAAAAATAAGGCCTCTGAATAAAAGAAACTACTTGTATCTGATAATGACACACACATTTTGACACCTATACACTGTTTTGCTTCCAGATAGATGTCCATTTAAGTCACCCTATAATGCCTTCCCCCACATACTACTGATTTTCCCATTATATTTCCTAATGATGGAAATTTCTTATCTAAAGTTATTATGGCCCCAATTGTTACACTCAGTATGGTTTTGTTTTATTTTTGTATATTAGGTTTGGGTGAAATTATAAAGAATTTGGGTTCAGAACTGTGCTCGCCTTCTGGAGTACCTATCACTCAGGTGAGAGGTACCTTTGGAGAGGGTGTGCTGCCTAAAGCCACACACCACTGAGTAAGATGACAGTGGACAGGTGAGGCTCGAGGGGCCTGGGCTACTGGGAAGGGCTTGTGCATCCAGGAGCCAGGTGGGTGTGGTGGGAATGGGAATGGGGAGTAGAGGTGTCTCCTCTGTGAGGGCGGGCAGGCAGTGAAAGGCCAGAAAAACACCCAGAGAGCACAAGTCAGACCTTCTTTTTTGGAGGAACCACTGAGATGATTGTTGGGGACCTGACTGCATCCAGAGCTGTGTCTACCCTATGAACCTTCACTTCCACTGACCCTGAAGTCCTTTAGAAATGTTGGCACTCTCATTAGACGGGCTGTTTCATCCTGATTTCACATTCTCCCCATGTGCTAGTCTTGAAACCATTAGGTTTCTCCTGTTTTTCTTATGATAACGTTGCTTGACTAGACAGTGTCGTTTTAGCCAATAGCCCAAGGCAAAAGCTGAGTGCCAGGCTTTCTGTTTATCCAGCCTTGCAACCCTCGGGTGCAGGCAACGCTCTCCCTCTCCCTTACTGTGTTAGTCTGCTTTCAGTTAGATGCCTTCCCAAATCTAAGAGTAAAGGTCTTTGGATAGCAACACCTGTTGTATGTGAAGCAACTGGATAGGGTTATGAATCCTCATGTGGCTCTTCCACATTCAGTGAGAGAAAAGCACGCAGGTTCACTTAGACAAAGCTGGCTCACCACTTTACAGTTTAGATGGCATTTATTCCCTGAATTGGTTAAAAGTAGAAGTCTCTAAGAAGATTAATCTACTCTGCAGAGATTTTTTCATGAAATAGAAATGCACCCTTTTTTGGTCTTTCTCTTAACAGAGAAAATGAGACAGCTGTCACCTGGCCCTTGAAAAGATAGAACTTTTCACTAAAGTTGTCTGGATATATACATTGCCCAAGTTCTCCCAAGTCTTACCACTGAACCATGTCTGCAATGGTCATGTTCCTTGTCAGCTCTGGGGGCTTTGAGCCTTGCTGATACAGAGCAGAGTAGGAACGGGAGTGGGTGTGTAGGTGAAGATGACTGGAACTTTAATCTCTTCCTGAGGTCTGTTTTTGAATTTGCCAAAGATAGAGGACAAAGCTTTGAGAGTGAGAACAGTGGTGGAGAGAAAGAGCGTCTTTTTAAAGAGGTGTTGAGATGATGGGGTCAGATGGCTTCAGGAAGGCCAAGGATTTGTTGCTAAAGGTAGGGGCAGTGTCATCGGGACCACTTGTGGGTGGATGAGAAGTGAGCTAGCCAGCCCAGGGATAAAAGCAACATGAATTAATGAGGCTTCTGAGAATCCTCAGCAATTGGACTGACCCCTGCTGCCTAGCTTCCCAGGGTGGGTTCCAAGCACAGTGTGGCCTCACATTCTAAGTAGCTGACAGCAGGAGGTGCTGATATGGAGTAGTGGAGGAAGGGTTTGCCAGAAGAGAAGCTTGGGAAAGTCTCAATCCCCAGGCTTTGGAATAAGTAGAAGAAAGCCTTGCTACCCTAAATAGTGACAGCTGGAAATCACGAGGGAGCATTCTGTTTGGGAGTCATGACCCTTCCCGTCACATTTCTGCATTCTGGCAGGCTGTTGGAGAGATCTGTGTGACAGCCTCACCTTTCAGCACGCCTCAGTCACACCAGGGAGACAGCAGGAGTGAGGAGGAAGGAGAGAGAAGAGAGCTTGCGCCTGCTTCCTAAACAGTTCCTTCTCTCTGGGTCAGGACCAGGTTACAGAGGTCACCAGTCATGTGGTAACATCCTGATGATAAGGTGGAAAGTCTCTCCTCTACTCCCTTGAGGTGGCATTTGCATGGGCCATTAAAGAAGGGATGTTGATCTCTCCTGGGCCATCGTCCACACACGTATCTCAGCCCTCTGCCAACCCCCTCAGCAAAGGCACCCGGGTTAGAATCTAGACATTCACAGTGGGGAACTCTTGATTTTTAATTATGCAGGAAACCACTTTATCTTTTTAAAATGATAAATGACTTAGGAGAAGCAGACACAATCATGCCTTTTCAGGATTGTTTAGGAGATTTGGAGGTAGAAATATGATGGATTGGATTTGAATTCACTTAGCGCTGACTAAGATAAATTGTCACTAAAATCATAAGGCTGCATATTTTCACAGTCAAGCCCATTTCACTTTTAAAACTAGCTACTCTCTATAGGCTTCTTGTCAGCAACAGGGAAGGAATGGGATAATAATTATCAGATTAGGAGAACACCATTAAAATCACTAAGGTAGTCTGCTTGCCTGGTTGAAATATTTGGTTAGGAGGCTCATCTCATTGCTTCCTGCAGTTGCAGCAAGTGAGGAAATATCCCTGCGGCCACCGTTAGAATGAAACTTACGCATTCCTGTCGCAACAAGCACCATGATGTTCCACAATGAATTCAAAGCAATTGTCTGTTCACATCATTAAAAATAAAAAACATTTCCGATTCATCTTAGTAATACTCAGATAAAAACAATGAACTTGCTCTGGGCAAAATTTTCCTAAAGATTATATATTCATAATTACTTATATATATGGGCAACCTTTGAAATAATACACACGAAACTGGTAACTTTGAATGTCTCTGAAGGGAATCTGGATGATTAGGAGAGTGGGCTATTATTATTTAGATTACAATGTAAAAACTACTCATTAAAATATTACCTGTTAATATTAAAAACATTCCTTTTAAATATCTTTTTTCTTTATTGAAAAGGGGACACCATGCTGGCTGATTTGCTTTTTCTGTTAAGTATGTGATGGACTCATAGTATACATTCACCTGCCCTGGGTTGTAATAAAGACAGATACAAAGACATAGGCACAGACATTACTGCAAAATCATAACAGAAAGCAAAATTCATCACGGTAATTGTCCCACCACATCATTGGCTGGAGGCTGATAATGGTTGTTAATTTAAATGTAAATTTAAGATAAACTGTCTTTTATAATGTATCTTATAAATATAGTATCTGTTTAGAGTAGAACATTTAGAAATGCTGATAAACAGAAGAAAAATCACCCATAGTCTAACCACTCTGAGATCATTGTGACTAACCTTTCAAAATATATCCATATATATCTGTATAGGCCCCTTTTCTATGTTAATCTTTTTATATTTGGCTGTGTCCATGCATGTGCATATGGGATGCTGCCAACTAATTTCCCTCCAAGAGCCAGGCAGATAACATAAACGTGTCAAATCAGCTGGATATAAGGTGAATTGGAGAATGATGAGTATTATGCTAACCTGGAGAGCTTATACTTTGCCTAAAGATATCTCAAAGTTTCAGTAATATGTGGCCAAATATAACAATGTAGGCAGGATTTAGCTTGTGGGCCACCAGCTGATTTCACAGGAGGTAACCAAGGTTATTATTTTCTTCTGTATCTTTTCAGAGATATTCTGTATGAGTGTATGTGTATATTTTAGCTGTGCACACTCACACAAATTCATTCTCTCCTCAACTTCTGGCTCTTTTTGTTAAGCAAATGATAGCATGCCATTTCCAATTTTACCGCTGAGACTGAGACTGAGTCAAATATTTTGGCAGATAGTTTATTGTACTGTCTGCATTATCACTTATTACCTCCCTCCTGATCATCTTCTAGGTTCTCCTTGGTCCAACTCAGAGAATGTAGGGATTCTTTCCCACTACAGTATGTTTGCATTTCCTTTTAGTGAAAAATCTCTTCCTACTTTAAACCTTATGCAATTCCCTACCCTCTTCTCTTAACTTTAAACCATGTCAATTTCCTTTTACTTTCTTTCCCCGACTTGTTAGTATTTTAATCACCTAACAGTTATGATTACCTTCAGATTCCACTAGCATTTTATTATGCATGCTGCAAGAATCGTAATAGATGTTAAGTAAGATTAACCCTGAGCTTGACCTGTGGGTCATCCTATTAGAGTCAACAACCTTCTCCAAATTGAATGCCATGTCATCTATCATTGTACTTTCTAAAGTCTCTTGCCAACGGTTTTAGCTGTGATGAGCTGCTTTCAATATCACCCATCTGCTACCAACTCCTATCTAGCAATATAACCATTTAATGAAGAATCTCGTTCAACTAATAAGATTATTAGGCAAGATTCTGTTGACAGTGCACACATTGGCAGCTTTTCTTGAGTGCTTTTTAAAAAAATTGCTTTGGCTGCAGATAAAGTGACGCTTTTCCCCAAGGTGTGTAGAGTTAACAAAGTACAGTGAAAATAGCAGAGTTTAAATCTTGACTTTATTGATGGATGATCTTGGTAGGCATCTGACTATGGAGCCTTGATTTCTTCATTATAAAACTGGGCTAATATCCGTTCCAGTTATGTCACAGGGTTATTGGAATAATGTTACAAAACGAATGCAAAATCACCTTATCGAATGCTATCTGAGAAGATTCTTTTCCACTTCAGGGCTACTCAACAATCAACTGAGAAAATAGGATAGCAGTGGATTTATATTTATACTGTTTAAAAACCACAATTCCCCTCCAAACCTCCCTACTCTTCTTCAACCTTTCCCTTAGTACTCCTTATTCAGCACCTGAGTTTGATTCTGACTTCTTGGAGGCTCTGGTCAAAGGTTCTCTGCTTCCAAAATCTTCACTTTTAGCCTTTCACACCTGCACTGAAGATATTAGGCTCACTTCTTCATCCTAGTGTATATTTCCACCTATGCCCGGCTTCTTTTTTTAAATCTCCTCCCTGAAGTTGCTCCATTCATTGCTCCTTTGTTTTTGAGACAGGGTCTGACTTTTTTGCCCTGGCTGGAGTGCATTGGCATGATCTCAGCTCAATATAACCTCTGCCTCCTGAGTTTAAGCCATCCTCCCACCTCAGCCTCCCAAGTAGCTGGGACTACAGTGAACATCACCATACGTGGCTAATTTTTGTATTTTTTGTAAAGACGGGGGTTTCACCATGTTGCACAGGATTGTCTTGAACTCCTGAGCTCAAACAGTCTGCCTGCCTAGGCCTCACAAAGTGCTGGGATTACAGGTGTGAGCCCCCGGCACCCAGCTGCTGGTCCATCTTTTTGGAGTATATTTTTTCTTCTCAGGCAGCTCCTTCTCTCCTACGCGTGTGCCCATGTTTCTTTTTCTAAAATCCTTCCCTTAGTGCAGCTATTTCTTTAAGGCTACCACTCATCCCATCTCTCTCCTCCACACCACCAGATATCTGCTCCTTCCATTCCCTTCTCACTCACTTTGTCCTTAGCTTCTTGCAGTCACATCCCCCCCTCCCCATACTACCCTGAATGGGGTAGCTGAATCTGATGCATTAAAGGTCACTTTCTGATAACCAAATCTACTGATGTATACTCAGCTCTCATTTTTCTTGAATTTCTTACAACTTTAACATGATTAGTAATAAAACATAATTCTGTTTTTATTCCCGCCTTCCCAGTCAAGTTTCTCTTTTTCTTGCTCCTCCAATTCAGGTGTTCTTCAAGGTTCTGTCCCCAAGTCTTGATGATCTCATCAAGTCTCACATCTTTTGTGAATAATCACCAAATACCCAGGTCATATCCCAACTGTAGTCCCAATTTCGAGGCCTTCCTTACCAATAGCTGGCAGGGTACCTCTACATGAAGGTCATGATGAAGCCGTTCAAACTTAATATTTCAGTTGAACTTACCATCTTCTCCTCAAAGCTGGTCTGTACACTTGGTATCCCTATTTCCGTTCAGACAACTTTTCCTGTAAATTGACAATTACTTCTAAATTGCAAAATAAACTGAACCCCAGGTCTCTAGGCTGTCGAACTGGGTGAAAAGCAAATCAGGAGAACTATTAGAGTAATAGCAATCAGAGTGAAATTAACATGAACCACAAGAGAAAGCCAGGCAGGGGAACAGGAAATCAACATCAAGCATTTTGCTTAGGAATCAGATGACCAGTGCTGTTCAATATGCCAGTGTTTGTATTTCTAGTCTTCCTTCAAGGCTCCTGCCCAGCAGATATGAAGACTGGGCCCTCATTGCAGTTCATTGTTTAAGAACTACTGTATGATAACAATATCTCTTTAGACTATCTAATTCCTTATTCTCAGTTTTTAAATTTATACATTCTCCCTTTTTTTTTTTGTCTCACTGTGAAATCTTTTCAACATACAGAGAAGTATAGATGAGATAACGAATACTTCATTATCATCAAACACTTAACCATTTGGTCATGTTTGCTTCAGCTATTTATAAAACTCTTCATCTTGACATAATTTTAGATTTTGAAAAGTTGCAAAAATAATACACAGTCAGCATATGTCCTTTGCCCAGCTTTCTCAAATATTAACACCTTATGTAACCACAGCACAATGATCAAAACGAGGACATTAATGTTGATACAATACTCTTAACTAACCTGCAGACCTTACTCATGTGTCACTAATTGTCCCACTAATGTCTTTTTTTCTGGGCCAAGATCCTACCTTGCACCTGGGACAGTTCCTCAAGTCTTCTTTTATTTTGTATGACGGGATATTTTTGAAAAGGACTGGCCCGTGATTTTGTGGAATGTCTCTCAATTTGGATTTGTCTAGTATTTTCTCATGTTTAAATTCAAGTTATGCATTTTTAGCAAGGATACCACAGAAGTGATTTTGTGCCTTTTCCAGTATATCATATCAGGAAGTACTCAATGTCAACATGTTCCATTACAAAGTGATGTTCACTTGGATCACTTGGTTAAGGTTTCTCCAATGTAAAGTTACTCTTTTCCTCTTTGTAGTTAGTAAGTATTAATAATTTATCATTCAGAAATACTTCGAGACTATGCAAGTATACTGTTTTTTATTATAATTTTATGTACTAATTTTAATATCCATTCTTGCCTGCAACAATTTTTACTTTGGTGTTTGCCAAAAGGTGATTTTTCTATTTCCATCATGCCTTCTCTCTGATGTATTCATTTAGCCAGCTATTTATTTATAGCTTTATGGGCTAATGGAATTTGCTTTATTCTATAAGCTATAACCCATTGCTATCACTGTTTTGTTATTTAAGGTGTTTCAGATTGGGCTTCTTCACAATGACTCCTGTGTTCTTTCTAGATGCTCTCTTTTTTCTTTTTTTTTTTTTTTTGAGACAGAGTCTGTCTCTGTCACCCAGGCTGGAGTGCAGTGGCACGATCTCGGCTCACTGCAACCTCCTCCGCCTCCCGGATTCAAGCAATTGTCCTGCCTCAGCCTTCTGAGTAGCTGGGATTACAGGTGCACGCCGCCACACCTGGCTAATTTTTGTATTTTTAGTAGAGACAGGGTTTCACCATTTTGACCAGGCTGGTCTTGAACTCCTGACCTCAAGTGATCGCTCCACTTTGGCCTCCCAAAGTGCTGGGATTACAGGTGTGAGCCACTGCACCTGGCCTTTAATTTTTTTTTTAGTACTTCCTTACTCCCTGGTACCACAGAAGTTCCAGGCTCATCTTGTACTTTCCCTACTCTACCCCAAAATGTTTCTTTCTTTCTTTCTGTTTTTTTGTTTTGTTTTGTTTTAATAAACGAAACATCACAAAAATCCTCTGTAACCTGTGAACACTTCTTATTCAAATTATTTTTTGTTTCCCACGGTGGATGTTTTTACTGTCCTGATGTGGGACCTATCAAC
Organism: Homo sapiens; assembly: GCF_000001405.40. Taxonomy (NCBI): domain Eukaryota; kingdom Metazoa; phylum Chordata; class Mammalia; order Primates; family Hominidae; genus Homo; species Homo sapiens. The sequence goes on from NC_000014.9 coordinate 58,675,274, forward strand.
CCTATATATATTTCCATCCATGACTTCATACATTGATTACATGTCTATGTATCCATAAATAATACAGTAGGGATTTTTGCATATTTTATGACTCTGGGTAAATGAAATATTATAAACACATGTAACTAGACTTTCTAAACAAATTAATATCAGTATGTGTGGCTCAAAAGCTCATTCATTTTAACTGCTGTGTCACATACCGTTGTAGGATTAAAACAAATGTATTTATATTTTTTTCATCACTTGATAAACATTTTGATTGCACCCAATTTTTGCCCTTATAAACATGTTCTTGTAAGCTATCTCCTGAACTATTATGTTACAGTTTCATTGGGTTATATACTTAGAAGTATAATTACTAGGCCTTAGGGTATTTATGTATGTCTTCAATTTCATTAGATCTCGTCTCCAAAATGGTTTTTTAATTTGTACTCCTACCAGTGATACGTGAGAGTTCCTATGTCTACATAGTTTCCCTTGGTATTGTCAGTCATTTAAAATTTTTGCCAAAGTGGTAGGAGTGAAATGGTATTTGTTGTTTTTATCTGCATTTCCTTAATTATTGGTGAAGCTGAGCATCTTTCATCCTTTGTGGCCATTTCTCCTCTGTAAGCTGTTCATAATCTTTTGCCCATTTTTCTGTTGGATTATTGTCCTCTTGTTGATTTGTAGTTTTTCATGAGTTCCAGCTACTGGCACTTTGTTATCTGTGATGCAAGTATTGTCTCTCAAGTCAATGGCTTGTCTTCTAACATTGCTTGAAATGTCTTTTCATCCTTTTAACTTCAATTCAGTCTTCCAAGTGGGTTTCCTAATAGGACGTATTAATAAAGTGGCTTTTTGCATGCTACTCATAAATCAATTTCTTTTAACTAAAGTCGTTCAAGAGAAGTTTGAGACAACTCGATGAGTTTGAAATGAATTTTTAGACTCAAGGGTCAGAAATTCACTTGGGGATATTTAAAAAGAAAGAAACCAAAAAGCAACTTTGATCCTTTCACAAGTGAGGTGTAGCCTTCATCTGTTTTTTTTTTTTTTTTGTAATATAATCTGAGGCTGAGAAGGGGCTCTTTGATATCTGTAATATCCAATTTAAAATTCACTGAATTCTAGAAATAAAGACCTAGAAGGAACCACAGGGACCATCTGGTTCAACCCTCTCATTTTACAGGAAATAGAGGCTCAGAGAGATGAAATAAAATATTTAGGGCTGAAACCTAGTTTCTTTTCCTTAAAGATTTCAATTTTTAAAAGGATGGATTTAGCTCTTCATTCCTCCAAGGGAATGGGACTTTCATAAATTGACTCGGATACACATAATCTTCTAGAAGTTTCCCTCTTCTTTTGAGGTGTTCCCCTGCCCCCCATTTACTAACACTCTTGGAGTTGCATATAAATCCTGGTCAAATGCTTTGGACACATAGCAACTAATATTCCCCTGAGCCTACTGGGTACTATAAATCAGCCTGCAGAACGGATGGGGGACTTCCATTTTCTCTTTGTTTTCTTACGTCTCTTTCTTCTTCCTTTTCTTTTATTTATTTATTTTTTATTTTATTAAGCCCCATTTCCCTTCTCTAGGGAGAGTATACAATAATATTCTTTCTTAGACCCTGGAAACTTGGGTTAGAAATACATCTCTCCAGATGGTTAGGGGAGAGTCCCTTGAGCCAGACTAAAAGCCTTCAATATTCTTTTTTCCCACTTATTTTTCTTATGCTGGGTCCACATCTAAATAGCCTAAAAGCTTATTTTGGTTAAATCAGTTTTCTTTTCTAAATAAAGTGCTGCACGAGGGGTTTTGTTTCTAGTTAGAATCCTTTTTTAGCTCTAAAATGTCTATGAATCTAGGGTAAGATTCATCAGAAGGGTGTTGAGAAAAAGCAGAGCAGGCAACTGACTGTAAAGATCCTTCGGGATTGCTGGTAATGACCGTGTATCTTAACTGCCCAGTGCTGTTAAACTACTCCTGGATTACCCGTAAGCTGCTTTCTGTAGTAGATGTCAGATTTCTCTGGGTCCTAACTTTAAAAAACAGCTCTCCACCACCACCACCAACTCAGTATGCTAGAAACAAGACTTAGCTCCTAGAGGACAGTGGCTGCGTCTTAGTCATTTTTGTTCACTCGTGCTGCCCAGTGATAATGATGACAGTGGTGGTGATGGTGATAAAAATAAAAATAAAATAATTATGCTTATTACATGCCTGGCACTGTTCACAGTATTTCACACATATGAATAACTCATTTAATTCTCATGTCTAAGAGGTAAATTACTATTATTATCTCTATTTTACACGTTCAGGCATAGAGAGGCTAAGTCATTTATCCAGAGTCATACTGTTTACCATCAAGATCCAAACAGAAAAGAGATGACATATAAAGTAGTTAAATTGGGAGGTTTATTTACAAAGCGGGCTGGCTACAAATGTGGGTATACAGGAGGCATTGACGGAGCTAGGAGCAGGCAAGCTGTTACTACCCCTAGGCCTGAATGGATGAGGGAAGGGAGCCGTCAGCAGAACCCAGAAGGAGAGAGAACTGTGTGAAGCCAATTGCACATTGCACAGAGCAGTGATTTCTGGGCAGGTACACTCCCAGTCTATAGCAGTCTTGCAGAGAAGGAGTCAAGGGAATAAACACCCTAACCCCTTTCTCTGCCCTCCTTCTGCACTCCTGACAGGCCCTTTCAGTGGCATACTTTGGCAGACCTTCAAGCGTCCTGAAGACCACTGATGCCATTCATGCAGTCCAGCACCAGGGCAGACAGCAGAGTTCATATGGCACACACCAGAGTTAAGTAGTAGACCTTTGAACCCGGGCAGTCTAACTCCAGTGTCCATATTCCTAACCACTGTGCCAAATAATGCCTTCTATATTAAGGAGGCACTGCAGTACAGTGACTAGCATGTAACTGGAATGTATTAGATAACTCATCAAAGAGGCATGACTTGCTCAATAAATGACTGGACAGCTTCACCTTCTGCCAATGCATGTCCTGATGGCAAACAACCATGTTGATTTCATTATTGACTTATTTGTGTGTTGCTAGCTTGATCTAGAAAGGATTAGAAATTATTGGACTCATCTTCTCCATCATTAATCATATTTCTGTTTTCATTTTTCAGATAAGGCAAAAATCGACTGATTTTTCTCCAATTATATATGCTTTTGTCTAGGTGTATTCTCTTGATGGTTATTCCAAAATAATTGTATTACAGCTGCTCACAGTTGAAAGTTGCTAGAAGTTAAATTGCTCCCTTTCAGTTTCCAATTTTGGGGGAGATCACTAAATTAAGCTGAATACTTAACTGATTTTTTTTATAAGCAATTGCCAATTACTTCAGGAATCACCATCACTGATATAAAATGTTTTGATATTGTTGTTTTTAACTAAGTTTCTCTTTCATGGAATGGAAAAAATCCCAGGGCACTATGTGGTCATTCTAGAGAAGGAAAGCTAACATAAGGAATTTTTGATTCTGTATGAAAAGTAATTGAGGAGGAGAGAAATGGAGGGTGAATTCCATCCTGGGAAAGTGGCCTGAAGGCAGAGTTCATATCAGAGGCTTCATCAAGGAGATGACCCAAAGGAAATTCACAGTCTTAACCCTCTCCTTAAGGACAGAGGAAAGAAAAGTAAGTAGGAGGAGAGCATGAGTGCTGTTTTAAAAAAATACGTATGCCTTTGATTTTCTCTTTTAAACTTTGGGACACGAAAAATTGCCAACAGGAATAAGAATTCTGATTCAAATATGACCATAGAAGTTATGATTTATTTTGAAGTCCCAAACACAAAAAATAATTGAGAAAGGCAGGTATAACAGTCTCCAACTTCTTCAAGTTGTGTGTACTAACAGCATCTGCCCAGTAGCTCCAGAGGGGAAAAAAAAAACCCAGGACCGAGGGGGCAAAGAGCTCTCTTAATAAAGGAACTCACTGCCTGAGAAAAGAACAGCTAAGGTGCTGTATTGAAAGATCTTTCCTCTCAATTACAGAAATACAAAGCACAGTATGGAACTGTGATTCACTCTCATTTTTGAGATGTGAGCTGCATTAAATTGCCAAAGCCTATGAAGAACAGCTCCAGCGATATGGACCACGAAGCCATTTCAAGGATTGCTCAGGAGTCTGAATCTCATTGTTCAGCAAAACGGTCATGAACAATTGAGAATTGGTGTGTTCAGTGGGTGACACCATGCCACCATGGCCCAGTAAGGGGAACAGAGGCTCTGTGGTGTGGTGGGCAGCTCTACCAGAGGGGTCCCAGTCAGAGATTTCATTTCTTTGTTCCCACTCCTTCCACTTCCTTTAGCAAGAGGAAGTTGCCAGCTGCTTCACATGCAGGTGAGGCCAAAAAATTATTTTGAAGCACATTTTTCTTGTTATTTAAAACAATCGCTTTCATGGCTTCCCTTAGTTGCATGTGTGAATGAGTAGCTGTCATGGTCTGGGGAAGAGGGATGGTTGAGATCCTGAAGCCAGTTCTCAGCCAGCCTTCCTGGGGTCGGCTTGCTCACTTGGAAGGGACTATACATGTGAACTGATCACTAAGAGGGGAACATCTCGGCTTCAGGTCTTTTGAGGATGGAGTCCGGTGGGAGAGGAAGGGATCACCATGCCTCGAAGAGCAACCATAATGGAGTTCTCTTTGGCATTCATGGTAGCAGCTTGAACTGAGATCTTAGCTGAAAAACATTGCTTTTGACCCAACTTTTTGGATAGTTTTCCTGGTGCAGGTGATACTTCCTCTCCCTTTAGCCAGTATCTTCCTAGTTGACTACAGTCTGAATTTCTATTTTTCCACATCTGTGAGAACGGTCATAGGAGTCCTGCCTGTCAGACTCATCTGGGAGGGCTTGGTTCCTGGTGGATGTAGCTGAGCAAGGAAAGAAAAAGCCTGAATGGAGAGTGTACTAGCTAGTTTGGCAGAAAGCTTCTTTAATGAACTTTAATTTGGGGAGCACAGAGTCCAGCCCTGAAAAGTTGCTAACACCTCAGCCTCTATGGTTCCTACGGGAACTAGAAACATCACCCAGCTTTTCTGCACTTGGGAAATAAAATTCATCAGAAATATCCCACCAGAACCCCTCAGCTTCAGTCTGTGTCTTGAGATGGGGCTCTGCTGTATTGGACTTATTCTTCAGACACCTGAAGGGCCTAAGCAATTCCAGGATGCAGAGTAGGAAGGATGTTAGAGTCTTGTTGGATAGATTAGAAGTTCTATTATTACTGCCACATGGGTGTTTTAGCCTCATTCTTTAGAAATTACTGATGTGTTATTTGCACCTCAAACTCTATAGATTGTTCCTTGTTTATAGAGCATATAATTTGCACTTTCATAAAAGGCTCTCTATTTGTAAAATTGTTTGTGAAAAATATAACAATTAGACATTTTTATCCCGTGCCAAGTGATTTGAATGCCTGGGTGCAAAGCAATGGATTAGTTAATTTTTGTTATTTTAAAAACTAAAACCTATAGGAGAGAGGCGAAGGAATAAAATCCTTTATAATACTGCTGTAATTGCAGATACTTATTTGAAATTTGATTTAAAAAAAAATGCCAGGCTTTTCTTGGAAAGGTTTCTGCTGGCTTTGAACTTTTTCAGCTAGCATTTGTGGGGAGCTGGTTGGAGTCACCTGGTGCAGATTCCTGAAACAGACATCACAATGAACATATTCCCAGCTGACCAAGTGGCTTAAGCGCTCCACGATAAGCAGGTGTGGTGCTGATACCCAAATTGAAATAGTGCTCTACTTTATGATTTGGGGCTAAGCAGCGAAGCAGGATCAGAATAAGGACAAAGAGAGGCTTATAAATTTTCAGCCCTAATGCCCTTTTCCATGAGATCGTTAGATCAAAGAGAAAGCTGGAGTATTAGGATTTAGGGTCAGTGAGACTGGCCTGAATTATGTGATTCCGTACTGTGCTGGGGAAAAAGAATCACTAGATATGCTTTGAACAACTGAGATAAATAGGTTTTTCCATCACTTAGAGGAGAGTGGGCTTGAGCCCCACAACTGTCTCTTTAGTTTCCTTAAATCAGGAGGGCAAGTTGTGATCTCCTTTGATAGTATCTCCGGACTTTTAAAGCAGGTCACTCACGCCAAATGTATGTATCTGGCACTTTCTTTTCTGTAAAGTGGTGATCTCATGGGAGATTGTAGGAGAAAAAAATGAGAAGTCAAGAGTGGTGCTGGTTGCCTGTTATCCCAGCACTTTAAGAGGCCAAGGCGGGCAGATCACTTGAGCTCAGAAGTTCGAGACCAGCCTGAGCAACATGGTGAAACCCCATCTCTACAAAAAATACAAAAAAATTAGCTGGGCCTGGTGGCGTGTGCCTGTGGTCCCAGCTATTTAGGGGGCTGAGGTGGGAGGATTGCTTGAGCCCAGGAGATTGAGGCTGCAGTGAGCTGAGATCTTGCAACTGCACTCCAACCTGGGTGACAAAGTGAGATCCTGTCTCAAAAAGAAAAAAAACAAGAGTGGTGCTGGTGAATCGAGCTGTTCATTCCGTGCACCTGGCACACCTGACACGTGGTAGGTCCCAATTCAGTGAGCATTTATTGCATTTGCACTTATTGGTCCTTCATGTGTCAGGCAAGGTGCAGATTATAACATGCTGTCCCTGCCCTCAAGACACTTATAACTTTTTGCTTGCTCCTTATAACTTTTTTGGAGACCAGAAGGCACTGGTGTTACACCTCAATGATCTCAGGACTCAATTAAGCAATTAGTTACCTGCCTTGTGCCTAATTCCACACTAGTGCTCTTCCTTATCAGATATTATTCTAGCCTTCAAGAAACTTGGCTTGAGACAAGAAAGGATTAGAAAAATAATACCTGAGCAAATATCATGGAATGCTGTAGCAATCAGGCACCCAAAGGCTGCTACTGCATGAAGATTTTGTCCACAAGGAAGGCAATATTGTGCTTTGTGGAGGAAGTCAAAGCTCTTCCATCTTCCCTCCCTCCCTTTGCTCCCCAGGTGCAGAGTTGCTTCAGCAGCTTTCTTCGTGTTAGTAATTGGCTCTGAATACTTTCTGGTATTCATTAGTTCATTTATTTCATAGCTTCAACAAAATCTCTGTGCCTTCCATGTGTGAGGTATTGTGCTAGGGCAGGGAGAAGGAGCAGAGAGGAAGACAATGCTTACTTTCATGTAGGAGAGATGGATGTTAAACACATAATTACATACTGAGTTAATTGTATTTGTGTTAAATGGATGAAAGGCAAACTACATATTATAGGACCATATCACAGAGGATTTGCCATGGTTTGGAGAATCGGGGAGTTTTTGGAGTGAAGGATGTTTGAGCTGAACTTTGAAGGATGAGTAGGAATTAACTAGGGGAGGAACAGGGGGAAACATTTAGACAGAAGGAACAGCATGTGCAGAGGCCAGGCAGGCAAGACCATGAGGGGACTTCATGGATCTTAGTTATTGCTTTTACAATGAGAAGCCTTCTGAGAATAAGAGGTAGCACAGTGAGATGAGCTAATTTGCCTTTTTTTTTTTTTTTTTTTTTTTGAGACAGGGTCTGGCTCTGTTGCCTAGGCTGGGTTGCGGTGGTGCTATCATGGCTCTCTGCAGCCTCAAACTCCTGGGCTCAAGTGATCCTCCCACCTCAGCCTCTTGAGTAGCTGGTGCTACAGGCATGTGCCACCATACCTGGCTAATTAAAAAATTTTTTTTTTTTTTTTTTTTTTTAGAAATGGAGTCTCCTTTTGTTGCCCAGGCTGGTCTCAAACCCCTGGACTCAAGTGATCTTCCTGCCTCGGCCTCCCAAAGCACTGGGATTATAGATGTGAGCCACCAAGCCTGGCCCTAATTTGCATTTCAAAACTGTGGTCTGGGCACTGTGTAGATAGTATGTTGGAGGGAGGAGAGAGTGGAGGCAAGCATGTCAGTGAGGGAGGAGACGAAGGTTTCTTAAACTCTGTGGAGGAGATCAAAGGAAGTAGACGATTCATGACATGCTTAAGAGGTAAAATAGGACTTGAAGATTGATTAGGTCCAGGGGTGAGGGAAAAAAAGGAGTGAAGGAAGCCAGGTCTGTGGTGGAAAAGGACCAGCTTTGGTGAATGGTGGAGAGGGGAAGAAGGGATGATGAGCTGAGAGCTGGATATGATGATTTTGAGGCACCTTTGACACAAGTGAAGATATTCAGCAGGCACATCTCCATCGTAAACACACTGTTGCTTGGCTAACCCAATTGTCATTCGCAACACACCTTTCCCTTTCTCAAATCTCGTGGTAGAATAAACCAGAAACACTCTCATTTCCAATCTCCCTTACAGACCTAGGTGACCACTTGGGCCAATGAAACAAAGGTGAAGCATGTTGGTGGGTCTTTGGCTTTTCTGATAAAAGGAACAGATGCAAGTGAGGAATTGCTTCATCATCCCTTCCCATTTCATCCTGTCTTGAATGTGGATGTGATGCCTAGAGCTGCAGTAGCCATAAGATCGATCATGAGGTGACAAACCTGAGAATAAAAAGCAAATGAGTGAAAACATCAGAGTGGAAATGTAGGAAGTGCCTTGGTCTTTGATGATTTTTCAGAGCCCTTGAGTGAACGCTGAGACCAAATGCTTCCAGACATGTTGTGACATAAACTGTAAATGTCTTTAAGGTTAAACCACTCTTAAGTATTCTGTTACTTGCAGTCGAAAGTATTTTTTGTTTGTTCAGATGGAGTTTCGCTTTGTGGCCCAGGCTAGAGTGCAGTGGCGCGACCTTTGCCCACTGCAACCTCTGCTTCCCGGGTTCAAGCGATTCTCCTGCTTCAGTCTCCCGAGTAGTTGGGACTATAGGCACCCACCATCACACCTGGCTAATTTTTGTATTTTTAGTAGAGGCGGGGGCTATTTGGGTTAAGTGGTTCAGAGACCAAGCGTAGTCTTCTCTCTGGGTGTTGGTAACATGAGGTGCTGGCAGCTGTTAAAAACCAGCTCTTCTGGCCAGGCACAGTGGCTCACGTCTATAATCCCAGCACTTTGGGAGGCCGAGGCAGGCAGATCACCTGAGGTCAGGAGTTCAAGACCAGCCTGGCCAACATGGCGAAACCCCATCTCTACTAAAAATACAAAAAATTAGCCCGGCGTGGTGGCTGACGCCTGTAATCCCAGCTACTCGGGAGCCTGAGGCAGGGAAATCGCTTGAACCCAGGAGGCGGAGGTTGCAGTGAGCCGAGATTGTGCCACTGCACTCCAGCCTGGGCAACGAGAGCGAAATTCTATCTCAAAAAAAAAAAAAAAAAAACAACAAAAAAACACAATTTTATTGAGATATAATTAACATATCATAAAATTCACTCTCTTAAATTGTTAATTTGTTTTTTAGTATAGTATTAGAACTGTGTAACCATCACCACTATTTAATTTCATAATGTTTCTACTACCTCAGAAGAAACCCCATATCCATTAACAATCACTTCCCCATTCTCCCTCTCCCCAACCCCTGGCAACAAGTAATCTATTTTCTGTCTATAGGTGTGTCTATTTTAGACATCTTATATAAATGATATTATATAACATATGGTCCTTTGTGACTGGCTTTTTTCATTTAGCATATTTTGAAAGTTTATCCATGTTGTATTATGTAAGCGGTATTTTATTCTTTTTATGGCTGAATAATATTTAATTGCACAGACATACCCTTTGTCAGTTGATGGACATTTGTGTTGCTTTTATTTTTTGCTCATTATAAATAATGCTGCTATGAACATTCATGTACACATTTTTGTGTGAACATATGTTTTTATTTCTCTTAGGTATATGTCTAGGTGTGGAATAGCCAGGTCATACAGTACTTTTTTCTTTTTTAAAGAGACAGAGTCTCATTATGTTGCCCAAGTTGGTCTCAAACTCCTGTGGCCTCAAGTGATCCTTCTGCTCTACTCTTGAATAACTGGGATTACAGGCACCAGCTGCAGTGTCTGGCCCATATAAAAATTTGATGTTTAACATTTTAAGGAACTGCCAAATTATTTTTCAAAGCAGTGGCACCACCAGCAGTTCCCACCAGCAATGTATAAGGCTTCCAGTTTCTCCATATCCTCAACTCTTGCTGTCTATCTTTCTTACTTTAGTCATCCTAGTGGATATGAAGTGATATTTCATTGTGGTTTTGATTTGCGTTTTACTGATGGCTAATGATGTTGAGCATCTTTTCATGTGCTTACTGGCTACTATGATTTGAACGTATGTGTCCCTTCAAAATTCATATATTGGAAATTAAACCCTAACATGATGGCATGAAAAGGTGGGGCCTTTAGGAGTGATTAAGTCCTGAGGGCAGAGCCCTTGTGAATGGGATTGGTGATCTTATAAAAAGGCTAGAGGAAACTAGCTAGACTCTTTTGCCCTTCTGCCTTACACCACGTGACGGTGCAGTGTTCATCCCCTCTGGAGGGTACCCCAACAAGAGACAGAGACCAGGCCCTTGGACACTGAACCTGCCAGTGCCTTGGTCTTGGACTTTCAGCCTCCACAACTGTGAGAAATAAACTTTTGTTCTTTGTAAATTACCCAATCTCAGGTAATTTGTTATAGCAGCACAAATTGACTAAGACACAGGCCACCTGTATATCTTTCTGGAAAAATGTCTATTCTCATCTTTTGTTCATTTTCAAATTAGGTTGTCTTTTTATTGTAAGATTTCTTTATACATTATGGATACAAGTTGCTTATCAGATGTATGATTTGCAAATATTTTCCCATTACATATATTGCATTTCAACTTTCTTGATGGTGTACTTTGAAGCACAAAAGCTTTTAATTTTAATAAAATCCAATTTATCTTTTTTCTTTTGTTGTTTGTGCTTTTGGTGTTATATTTAAGAAACCATTGTCTAATCCAAAGTCATAATGATTTACTCCTATGCTTTCTTCTGAGAGTTTTAGCTCTTAAATTTTTATCTATGATAAAATTTAAGTTAATTTTTGTATATGGTATGATGAATCCAAATTCTTTTCCCTATGGATTTCTAGTTGTTTCAACATCATTTGTGGAAAAGATTATTCTTTCCCCATTTAACTGTGTTGACACCTTTGTCAAAAATCAATTGCCACGAAATGTAAGAACTTATTTCTGGACTGTTGATTCTATTCCACTGATTTATATATCTAGCCGTATGCCAGTGTGTCTGGAACTGGTGGGTTCTTGGTCTCACTGACTTCAAGAATGAAGCTGCGGACCCTCGCAGTGAATGTTACAGTTCTTAAAAGTGGCGTGTCTGGAGTTTGTTCCTTCTGATGTTTGGATGTGTTCGGAGTTTCTTCCTTCTGGTGGGTTCTTGGTTTCGGTGCCTCAGGAGTGAAACTGCAAACCTTCGCAGTGAGTGTTACAGCTCATAAAGGCAGTGTGGACCCAAAGAGTGAGCAGCAGCAAGATTTATTGCAAAGAGTGAAAGAACAAAGCTTCCACAGTGTTGAAAGGGACCGCAGCGCATTGCCACTGCTGCCTCAGGCAGCCTGCTTTTATTCCCTTATCTGGCCCCACTGACATCCTGCTGATTGGTCCATTTTACAGAGAGCTGATTGGTCTGTTTTACGGAGAGCTGATTGGTCCATTCTGACAAGGTGCTGATTGGTGTGTTTACAATCCCTGAGCTAGACACAAAAGTTCTCCAAGTCCCCACAGAGCACTGATTGGTGCATTTACAAACCTTGAGCTAGACACAGGGTGCTGATTGGTGTGTTTACAAACCTTGAGCTAGACACAGAGTGCTAATTGGTGTATTTACAATCCCTTAGCTAGACATAAAGATTCTCCAAGTCCCCACCAGATTAGCTAGATACAGAGTGCTGATTGGTGCATTTACAAACCTTGAGCTAGGCACAGGGTGCTGATTGGTGTATTTACAATCCCTTAGCTAGACATAAAGGTTCTCCAAGTCCCCGCTAGACTCAGGAGCCTAGCTGGCTTCACCTAGTGGATCCCACACCCGTGGCCCCAGGTGGAGATGCCTGCCAGTCCCATGCTGTGGGCCTGCACTCCTCAGCCTTTGGGTGGTCGATGGGACCGGGTGCTGTGGAGCAGGGGGCAGGACATGTCAGGGAGGCTCGGGCTGCACAGGAGCCCACCGCGGCCGGCTGGGGGAGGCTCAGGCATGGTGGGCTGCAGGTCCTGAGCTCTGCCCCGTGGGGAGGCAGCTGAGGCCCGGTGAGAATTCGAGTGCAGCCACTGCTGGGGGACCAGGCGCACCCTCCATAGCTGCTGGCCCAGGTGCTAAGCTCCTCACTGCCTGGGGCCGGCCGGCCGCTCCAAGTGTGGGGCCCGCTGTGCCCACGCCCACCTGGAACTCATGCTGGCCCACAAGCGTGTGCGCAGCCCCAGTTCCCACCCGCACCTCTGCCTCCACACCTCCCCGCAAGCTGAGGGAGCCACCTCCGGCCTTGGCCAGCCCAGAGAGGGGCTCCCACAGTGCAGCGGCGGGCTGAAGGGCTCCTCAAGTGTGGCCACAGTGGGTGCCGAGGCCAAGGAGGCGCCGAGAGTGGGCGAGGGCTGCGAGGGCCGCCAGCAGGCTGTCACCTCTCACCACTATCACACTATCTTGATTACTGTAGCTTTGTAGTAAGTTTTGGAAATGGGGAGTGTAAATCCTCTGGCTTTGTTCTTCTTTTTCAAAACTATTTTGGCTCTTCTGGGTTACTTGCATTTCTATATGAATTTTAGAATGAGCTTGCCCATTTCTCAAAACAGGCAGCTGGAATTTCAACAGGGATTATGTAAAATCTGTAGATCAATTTGGAGAATATTGTCATGTCAACAATCTTAACAATATTAAGTCTTCTGATCCCTGTAAATATGGAATGTCTTTGCATTTACATTGACCTTTAATTACTTTAGACAATGTTTTGTAGTTTTCAGAGTATAATTTTTTACTTTTTAAAAAAATTTATTAGTGTTAATATTTTATTGTTTCTGATGCTACTATAAATGGATTTTTTTGTTAATTTTCAGATTAGTTATTGCAAGTGTATAGAAATTCAACTGATGTTTGTATACTGATCTTGTATCTTGAAACTGCTGAACTTGTTCATTAGCACAAAATATTTTCGGTGGATTTCTTAGGATTTTCTATATATAAGATCAGGTCATCTGTGAATAGAAACAATTTTACTGCTTCCTCTCCAATCTGGATGCCTTTTATTTCTTTTTCTTGCCTACTTGCTCTGGCTAGTACCTCCAGGATAATGTTGAATAGAAGTATCAAGAACGAACATCCTTGTCTTATTCCTGATCTTAGGGGAAGGCATCCTGTCTTTTACCACTCAGTTGTGGGTTTTTTAGATGCCCTTTATCTGGTTGAGGAAGTTCCCTTCTATTCTTAGTTTTCTGACTGGTTTTACTATGAAAGAGTGTTGGACTTTTTGAAATGCTCTTTAAATTGTTTGCCAAATTATTCTTACCTGATACTGTCATTATAATACATAGTTATAGCCACCTCTCCAGGTAGCTCTAAGCCTGAGATGACAGGGTCAACTCATTATACATCTTTGTATTTTCAGAGCCATGAATAGTGCCTGTCACTGAATAGATGTACAATAAATGCCTACATAGTAAACCAACAAATAAATGCTACCAGGCACTGTTTGATAGGTTTAATGCCAAATAAGTGATGTGGAGTAGATAACAAAGAAGAAACTAGAAGAAGTGAGCCATTGTCCTAGCTTAAATACTCTCAAACTGGCTTGGTTTATGACATACAGAGATACAACACTTTCTTTTCCTCATCTCCATGTTAATTTATAAGTATTCAGGATTCAATCTTTTTTGCGGGGGGAGGTGGTTGGGTTGCCACTGTTCTCCATCCTGGACAACAGAGCAAGACACGGTTGCAAAAAAAAAATAGGCAAGTTGAAGCAAAGTTTTCCAAATTATTAAAAAGATGAATACAGTGAATAATGTTTTATCATTGTTTGCAACCCAACACATACATTATGACAAGACAACACACTATGACTTTTACTTAAATGTTATTGTTCAAACACATTTAAGCATTTCCACTGAAGACTCCTCATTTTGTAGTTGATTAAGAGTGAGGTCAAAATTAGCCAAGCATAGTGGCATGCACCCTCCCAGCTGCTTGGGAGGCTGAGGCACAAGAAACATTTGCACCCGGGAGGAGGTTGCAATGAGCTGAGATTGTGCCACTGTACTCCAGCCTGGGCAACGGGCAAAATTCTGTCTCAAAAAAAAAAAAAAGAGGCCGGGCACAGTGGCTCACGCCTGTAATCCCAGCACTTTGGGAGGCCGAGGAGGGCAGATCACAAGGTCAGGAGATCGAGACCATCCTGGCTAAAATGGTGAAACCCCGTCTCTACCAAAAATACAAAAAATTAGCGAGGCATTGTGGTGGGCGCCTGTAGTCCCAGCTACTCCGGAGGCTGAGGCAGGAGAATGGAGTGAACCTGGGAGGTGGAGATTGCAGTGAGTTGAGATCACGCCACTGCACTCCAGCCTGGGCGACAGAGAGAGACTCTATCTCAAAAAAAAGAAAAGAAAAGAAAAAACAAGAAAGAAAGAGTGAGGTCAGGAAACAGTGGGTGACTGTCAGGCACACAGGCCTCCTGACATGCAGGTCAGCAGGTCTCCACTTACAGGTACCGCCCCATCTCAAAAAGAATAGAATCTCCAGAAAGAAAGGGTCCAAAGATAAAGTTTCTGCATTAAATGACTCATAAATGGAAAATACTCAAATAATGTAACATACATTTGTGGTTATTAAGAAAATTGACTTCTTGGATTTGAGTTGACTTCCTGGACCAAGGATGACAAACTGGGTTCTTCACATGAGCCAATCTGATCAATTGTCTGAAGATTCCAAAGCTGTCTCTGGGTCTGGTAGGAAAAAGTAGTGCAATAGATTAGTAAGTCTATCATGGGCAAGGAGAGTCATGTGTTGGTAGCAGGCATGCCATATATTTACCATTCCTAATTTAGACACTTAGATGTTGAATGTATTGTGGATTTTCTCTGGCTCTGTCTGGTACCTGAATTCCATTCTCTCAACACAAAAATAGCTACTTGCACAGGTCAACCATCTCATAGGAGAAATAAATAATAGGGGAGCTGAGAGCTCCCTTGCTTCAGGTAGAACCATCTAATTGAAAGGTTGAATCAGTATGTCTGAATTATTTGCTTTGTAAATATACCTCAAGAAAAAAATCATAGAATATAAAGATTCCAATTTCCCTTGAAGGAAATCACACTGTTCATCTTGGAGTTGGTGGGCATTCCACAGTGAAAATAGCCTGTCATTTATCATCCACTGTACATGAGATAGTATAACATTTTAAAATATTAGCTGATTTATTTCTGTCATTATTTACCCCCTTTCCCTTTCTTACCTCTCTCCCAACTCCCAGTTCAAAGACAGAATGTATTATGGGTTCACTTTTCAGTGGAAGGATTTGACAAGACAACAACACTGGAATTGTTAGCGGTAGCGAATTCGTTCGGGTCTACAGCAACCTCAATTCTTGCCTCCTCAGAAGAAAGAATTTGAAAAAGGGGCATAAGACAGAGTGAGAGACCAAGGCAAGCTTTAGAGCAGGAGTGAAAGTTTGTTAAAAAGTTTAGGAATGAAAGGATGTCAAGTACACTTGGAAGAGGGCCAAGCGGGCAACTTGAGAGAGTCAAGTGCACTGTTTGACTTTTGACTTGGGGTTTTATACATTGGCATGCTTCCCGGGGCGTTGCGGGGAGTGGTGCGGGAAGTTTGCATTGCTTCTCCCCTGATTATTCCCTAGGGATGGGCTGTCTGCATGCGCAGTAGCCTGCCAGCGCTTGGGAGGGGCCGGCACACGCAGTGTGTTTACTGAAGTTGTATGCATGCTCACTTGAGGCATTCTTCCCTTACCAGTCCAGTGTTCCAATAAAGTCATATACCAGTTAACCTCCACCATTTTGCCTCTTAGTCTGCATGCTTGAGCCCACTCACCCAACTCCTGAGATCTTATCGGGAAGCTGATCACCAGCTCCAGGTTTTTTCTGTCTACTGAGAGACTGACGTTCCCTGGCGCCAGCTGCAACCAATTATTTTAGAAAGACAGCTTAACAATGCCTGACCATCACCTGATGGTCACCTGACATTCTGGAGTGGGGTAAGGAGGGAGCCTCTCCTGCCCCACTCATGTCTGCCTAGCTACCTACTGTAACAAAATCGCCTGCCAGACACTTGCATTTCAGTTTCCAAAAGCTTAAACGGATTTTGGAAGCAAGCAATTCTCAGACCATGTTATAGCCCAAAGCCATGTTTTGTGGCCCTGCAGAGCACAGTAAAAATTTCTGAATTATTTGCCAATGTTCCAAAATCAGGAGAGTTCACATGAACTTCCACATTTCCACCCTCCCTTTTATTTTAAAAGCAGAACTGTCAACACTAATCCTGTTTTCCTTAGGGTAACTTATCCCTTTAAAAACCAATACACTGGATCTGGGCACGATGGCTTGTGGCTGTAATCCCGTTTACTTTGGGAGGCTGAGGCGAGAGGATTGCTTGAGCCCAGGAGTTCAAGACCAGCCTGGGCAACATAGAGTGACCTCATCTCCAAGAAACAACAACAAAAAACACTATACATCAAGTAAAAACAAAGCAAAAAGTAACAACCCTCTCCTTTTCACCTTGATCCCCATCCACCTGCTTCACTGATTACTCACCTCTCTGGCCTTTATGGGTTTGGCTGTGGGAATCTGCACCAGAAGGCCTAGACCCTGGAAGGGAATCATGTCAGCTGCCTTGGAGGCAACACCTTCATGAGAGTAAGTACCTGTGAGGGGAAAATAAAGTTCAAGGGATTAGAAATTAGAATAAAAATTCCTGCAGTAGGGACAAGGAAAATAACATCGTAGAGTCTAGAATAAATACTATTTCTCGGATAGGTGTGGTGGCTTAAGCCTGTAACTCCAGCACTTTGGGAGGCTGAGATGTCAGGATCATGTGATCTCAGGAGTTTGAGACCAGCCTGGGACCATGTCTTTGCAAAAAAAATTTAGAAAAATTAGCCAGGTATGGGGGTGCATGCCTATAGTCCCAGCTACTCAGGAGGCTGAGGTGGGAGGATTATTTGAGCCTCAGGTGTTGAGGCTACAGTAAGTCGTGATGGCACCATTGCCCTCTTTCTGGGGTGACAGAATGAGACCCTGTCTCAAGAAAAAAAAGAAAAAAGAAGAAAAAAACTCTCTCCCATGCAGGAGTCAGGAGGAAGACAGCTGGACCTGCTGGGGCTCCATAGTGAGAAATGACCGCCAGGGCTGCGCTCATGATACATCAAGTGATCCAAGAAGCACCAGAGGATTGGCTCACAGTCCTTTCCTTTGTCTTCCTTTGTCTTAGCTGGGATTATAGGCGTGCACTACCACGCCCGGCTAATTTTTGTATTTTTAGTAGAGACAGGGTTTTGCCATGTTGGCCAGGCTGGTCTTGAACTCCTGACCTCAAGTGATCTGCCTGCCTCGGCCTCCCAAAGTGCTGGGATTATAGACGTGAGCCACTGTGCCTGGCCAGAAGAGCTGGTTTTTAACAGCTGCCAGCACCTCATGTTACCAACACCCAGAGAGAAGACTACGCTTGGTCTCTGAACCACTTAACCCAAATAGCCCCCACCTCACAAAATCCAGATCACAGCTCACTACAGCCTCAACTTCTCATCCTCAAGCCATCCTCCTACCTCAGCCTCCTGAGTAACTTCAGCTTGCCAATTCTCGGTCAGGTTTTTCCATCTTCATAGTCTTGTTAAGCACCACTTAAAATCTAAGCAGAATCTAAGGCACTCATCATCTCTTAATTCTTACATTAATTGGATACAGGTTTGGCAACATGACTCTATTTGCTTATAGGTTACACCCCTTTCCCCTTTGATGCCACTCAGCATAGGTGAGCCCTGCCCTTCTGAGCTGACATGCTTTTTCAATTATACAAATTGGCCTGTTTTTCAGTTTAGCCTTTTCATCTATCTGAAGTCAGACACTTGTTGATCTGCTACTCTCAGGTTGTTTCAGCATGGACGCTAATTTCAGGGTTCTGTGGGATAAAGAAAACAAAATCATTTTGCTTCCCTTTTTTCAGGGCTCTCGCCTATTCTTCAGAAGCCGTTAAGGTGCCTTCCCTGTGATTTAGAGGTAAGCATCGTTTGTTTTGGGCTTTGCTTCTTTTTAGGTGGTGTTTACAGTGTATCACCACTGGCCAGTTATTTAATTACAGAGTGACCAGTAAATCCTGCTGAGTTTTATGCGTTTTTACAGGGTCAGGAAAGTCAAGGTCACTGACCAAAATGAGGTGTTTGACTGTCAGTTTGGTTGTGTCTAATCAATAACCAAAGCAAACGGTTTCCACTCATACAATCAAGTATGATTTGTCAGACATTTATTGAGCATTTACCATTGGACATCATTTTTGGCCCTGGGGATATCAAGTTAATACAAAACGTGACTTTTGCCTTTGAAAGACTTATAGTCTCCCTTGAGTTGCAGGACCTATGTGTAGCGTGATGAGAATGTAAGGACGAGTATCTGAATTTGTAGAAGTCTATTATTTACAGACTTCTGGTTCAGAGAAGGATCTGTTTCTAAGATCCTGGGCCATAGGAGAAGGCATCATGAAAGGAGAGGTTTGAGGGGCTTCTTAAGCCAGTAGGAGGAATAAGTTGTGACCTGGCGGAGTGGGTGAAAGCCACGTAGCTGAGGGAGATATTCTGACTTTGAGAGACTGTGAGGGGATGTATTTGCCTGGAGCTCAGGGATCATGGGGTGGGTGTTACAGGAGAGGAGGCTGAAGAAATAGGTCCGGGCTAGACCTCAGGTGCCTTTGAATTCTAGTCCGTGGCATTTGGAGCTTCTAATATATGTAGAGAGTATCTGATGATAGTTTTAGATGGCATTTAAAAAAGATTAATCTATCAGTGTTGTGTAGGAACAACTGCAGTGGTGGAGAGGTAGAGGCCGGGGAAATGTTTAGGAGACATTTAGCTACAATTTTAGTTGCAAGATTTTTTAATTTTTTATCAGTTTTTTTGAGACGGAGTTTCGCTCCATCACCCAGGCTGGAGTGCAGTGGCGCGATCTCGGGTCACTGCAACCTCTGCCTCCTGGGTTCAAGCAATTCTGCCTCAGCCTCCCAAGTAGCTGGGACTACAGGCACCTGCCAGCATGCCTGGCTAATTTTTATACATTTTTAGCAGAGACGGGGTTTCACCATGTTGGCCAGGCTGGTCTTGAACTCCTCACCTCAGGTGATCCAGCCACCTCAGCCTCCCAAAGTGCTGGGATTACAGGGATGAGCCACCACACCTGGCCGTTGCAAGATTTTTTTTAACGGCAAAAGAACAAGTTGAATGGCTCTTGCTGGGATGAAGAAAAAGCCACACAGCCAAGAATTTCTTACTGTAAAAAGAATTTTCTTTTTGATTATTATTTGTGAAAAATAAGGAATGATTGGATCTGGACTGTAGCAGATCTGCATATCTACAGATCATCTCTGGATTACAGTGGGTTTTAGTATTAAATGAGGGGTGTTCTCATTTATTGGAAGGTGTTCTAAGACCATTGTGCTTCGGTGACATCTGTGCTTTCTGCATCTCTCTACCCTCAGGCAGGGCAGAGTGCAGTATCTGGTGAACTACTGCTGCTTCAAAAACTACCTTGAATGATTGAAAGCCATTAAAGAGAAAAGTGGATAAACAACACAACTGCCAGAGAAAAGATGAAGGAAAGAGAGTAAGGATGCAATCCAAAGAAACAGAAAGGAGGTCACTAAACTTCCCCCAGCCTCAAGGGAGGGAAGCTGGAGAATAAAGATTTAGAAAAGGTCAAGGCCATTGTGTTGCGAGGATGGAATCAGATCAGCTTACCTTAGTTGAAGAGGGTTTATGATAAAGATTCAAGGGAAAATTAAGGAAGATAGAAATCGACCTCAGTATAATCAGTCCTTGATTATCTGGTTACCTGTTCATTTCTTCAACAACAGTTAGCAAGTTTTTATGCTGAGAAAAACTAGGCAACTGAGATGCTTGGATTGAGGGAGCAGTGTTACAAAGGCATGAAGGTTTGAAAGAGTAGGGTGTTAGTAAGGTACTCCAAGGGTTGGGAATTGCTAGAGCAAACAAAAGTTAGAAATTGGCTGCCCACAGATGTGTGGTATTTGGCCAGAACAGTGTTTTGTTTTGTGTTTAAATTTATATATTAGTTGTCAATGCCAT
This sequence comes from Homo sapiens, assembly GCF_000001405.40. NCBI lineage: Eukaryota > Metazoa > Chordata > Mammalia > Primates > Hominidae > Homo > Homo sapiens. The sequence goes on from NC_000014.9 coordinate 58,695,482, forward strand.
AATTGGATTTCACACAAAAATACCATTTTTGTTTATCAGTTACTATGTAAGAAATCATATCAAAACTTAGTGGTTTAAAATTTAACCCTTATTTTATTCCTTATATTATTATCTCTTACAGTTCTGGGAAATGACTGGGCTCAGCTAAGAGATTCTCATTCAGGGTCTGTCATGTGGTTGCAGTGCAAGGATAGCTGGGATTGGGGTCATCTTGAAAGCTTCCACCCACATGTGGGTGGTTGATGGGACTGTAGCAGGGGCTGTGAGACAGAACTACATGTAGCCTCTCCTCCTTGTCCCTGGGGCAAGTGTCACAGAGAGATAGGAAGCAAAGTTCTCAGTTTCTTAAAGCTTGGGCCTGGAAACTGTCACTGCATCGCTTCCATTGTTCAAGCAGTGCTAGGGCCTGATTTATGTCCCCCCAAAATTTGTATGTTGAAGCCCTGTATTAGTCTGTTCTCATGCTGCTAATAAAGACATACCTGAAACTGGGTAATTTATAAAGGAAAGAGGTTTACATGGCTGGGAGGCCTCACAATCATGGTGGAAGGCAAATAAGAAGCAAAGTCACATCTTACATGGCAGCAGGCAAGAGGGTGTGTGGAGGGGAACTTCCCTTTTATAAAACCATCGGATCTCCTGAGACTTATGCACTATCATGAGAATGGCACAGGGAAAATTCGCCCCCGTGATTCAATTACCTCCCACCAGGTCCCTCCCGAGACACATGGGGATTATTACAATTCAAGGTGAGATTTGGGGGAGGACACAACCAAGCCATATTAAGCCCTAACACCCAGTACCTCAGAATTTCATTGGGTTTGGAAGTAGGGCCTTTAAAGAGGTAATTAAGTTAAAATGATGCTGTTAGGGTGGGCCTTAATCCAATATCACTGTGACTTTATAAAGAGAGGAGATTAGGACATAGAGATACCAGACATGTGCACACAGGGGCAAACACATCAGGACACGGTAAGAAGGTGGCTATCTGCAATCAAAAAGGAGACGCCTCTGAAGAAACCAGATCTGCCAATACTTTGATCTGGGACTTCCATCCTCTAGAACTGCGGGAAAATAGATTTCTGTTGATTAACCCCCACCAGTTTATGGTATTTTGTAAGGGCAGCCCAAGCTGACTAACACACACCTGAAGGGTTTTAGGTCCTAGGTAACATGACCCTCTCTTTCCACCCATCCACCATCTATCCATCTCTCTGGTGGTGGTGTGATGGCTAGGCTGCAGGCTGGTGGCCAGAGGCAGGGAGTGTGGCCCAGCAGTTCTCTCAATAGTTAGATGGAGGACAGGTGATGAACAGGCATATTGGGAATGGGAGAAGTACAAAGCAGAGAAAGACTTCCAATGTAAAATTGGCAGTATCTGGTGATTAGATATTTGGAGTTGAGGGGATCCTCAGAGGGAAAGACCAGTGAATGCCAGATGGAGAGTAATGAGGTCCTGTGGAGGGGGAGATTTGGTTGGCAACATTTCAATAGCATCTTTCATTGACAGAGATTTATTATTGCCTGAAGTAATACAAGACACATAGGTGGGACCCAGAAATTAGAGCCCATATTTCACCCTCTTCTAGGCAAGGTGAGCTAAGGCTCTGTTTAGGTGGGAGATTGGCAAAGGCCATTCTCTCCTTTTGCAGGTAGCCCTTTGCCAAGGGGACCCCAAGTATACCTATCCCATGGGAGCAGCTCAGTGTCCAGGTAGGCTGGGCTCTGCCCCTACAGATGTATCCAAGAATAGGGACAGAGAAAAAAATATAGAAGAAAATAGATTAAAAAAAAAAGATTTAAAAAAAGGTTAATAATAGTAAAAATAATAGAAAAACATAGGTTAAAAAGAATTGACAAAACTTTAGGCATAAATGAGCGCCTCCTCTGCCTCATTGCAGCTGCTACAAGCTCCCCACCCCAGCATCCTCAACATCCCCATCCTCTAAGTGTCCTGGCTGACTTTGTTCTCAGGGGAGCCTGTTAGTAAGGCACCACTGCAAAGCAGCCATGATGGCAACATCATATGTATGGGACGGTATTTGAACAGGGAAAATGGATTAATTTGGAATTTATGTTCATTCCCAATAGGAGCTAAAGTTGACATTTACTTTAGAAATACCAAGAAAAAAAATAAACCAAATTGAGTAGAATAGACCAGATTTCAAGAGAATGCTTACCTCCTCAAGGGAAGGAAGTGTTTTCCAGTGCTTCAGAAGGAATCATTTGCATATAAACAATGCCCTCATGGGCTGAGGCCAGTGTGGCTCAAGCTGCCTCCTTAGAGCTAATTATAAGTCATTTTTCTTTTTTAAAGCAGTGTTTCTTCCACTGCACCTCTCCTGCTTTGATGCTGCCTGCACTTGAAGTTAAGAAAATCTCATTTCCTCATTCACAGACACCATTTCAAACTTTCTTAATTTAAGCAGATTTTCTTTCTCAAATACTAGAATACAAATTAGGGAAAAGGAAAAGATAGATTAAAAAGGATTGACAAAACTTTAGGCATAAATGAATGTCATTTGACTTATTCTCCCTGCCATTCTACCTCTCTTAATTTCTATTTGCTGCTGAAAAGCCTGAGCTGGGCTCAATGCCCTGGGTCTCCATGAACGTGTTCCCAGCCAGCCAGAGAGTGATCCTCTTTCCAAACTGGATCTCTGGCAATCTGCAAATCTGCCATGGCTTACACGGCAACTGTATAGGGAATTTTTCTTCCTAGAAAATGCAAAGAGATGATGTTTTCTGATTAAAAGGGGAAAAAAGCCTAGGTATTTTCACTTAAGATTATAAAATCTTTCATTCATGTTGTGCACATCCACAATGCTGCCACTGTTTTCTTTTCCTGACCCTTAGACTCTCAGTTGGGCACTGCCCTTCTAAGGTTTGAACATGAAGACAATGACTGCTTGAATCACCACTCAGGGCACAAACAGCCCTCAAGCACTCTCTGAGGTTTTTTTTTTTCCTTCTTCTCATATCTGTTTAAACATTTCAACTCAGCGTGCACTGTGTCTGAAAATGGCTCTGATGTAATTATTTACAATGATACCTCTCTGCCACAGCCTGTAATTCCCTCTTGATTAAGATGGTGATATTGATTTAGCTGGGATTGCATGCAAATAAACCATGACATCGGGAGAAGTGTAGTTTTTCAGTACGCCAGTGTGTCGGTGATTTCCATTTAGTAGTCGTTTCTCTCACCCATATGGCTTGACTACAGCATTTATACAGATTAGTAACTGTCTACTAGGCTCAGATATAAACTATAGTCACCAAAGTTCTCATCTGGAGCCTTTGTTTAGGTTGTACCTTTCAACCACAGCCATCTCCGCTCTACATTTATCAGAGTGATCGAAGAGGAATGAGCTCTCTCCGTTGGCCAAAAGCTCGTGGTACTTCAGAGGGAGACAGGTGGAGGAGGCGATTGAGAAAATATTTTAGGGCAATGGAGTGATTTGTTAGTTGGCCACTACACAAGAGTCTGTGTGGCATTCTCCAGCCATGTATTGAAGGCTATAATCTTTTAAATAAATAGTGCCAGTTCACATTTACTTGGCGCAAAATTTGCAGTTGTAGATCTTTTCAAGGGTAAGGAGAAAAAAAAATGCTTTGGGAGGGCATAACTATACCTACCACCCAAACAGACTTTGTGCTACCTGGAGTTCCAGTGTAAGGAGGGATCAGGAAGAATGAGTGCCATTGAGGACAAATCTAGGAGCAGTGGATTGACAGGGATTCCTTGCAACGTTAATTTGGAAAGTGTGTAATTCAAATAAAACTGATGTCTGAATTAAAAGGGATGCTTTTGTGTGTGCATGAGTAAATGTTATGAGCTATAGAAGATTAAAGAGGCATGACAACTAAAGGCAATACTTAATCCTAGGCTGGATCCTGTTGTGTGGGAGAAAAAAGACATTATTAGGTCAAGCAACCAATTGGAATATGGACAATAGATTAGATTAAATTATTGCATCAATGTTAAAATTGCTGAAGCTGACAACTGCAGCGTGGTTATACAGAAGAACACCCTAATTTTAGAAAATACACATAATGTACACCACTTACTCTTAAGTGATTCAAAAATTATATATATGTGATGTTTATCAGAGAGAGAAAGGCAACAAATGATAGCAAACAAGTGAACTGTTAATAATAGGTGAATGTGGGTAAAGGGTATATGGGTGCTGTTTTTTCTATTTTTCTTGCAATTTTTCAGTATGTTTAAAGTTATTTCAAAATAAAAAGCTAAAAGAGAGGGTGAATGCCTTTAAAGGTCTGACCCAAAGCTTGTCTGACTCAAAACTCTTTTGCCCTGGGGTAAGTAAAAATTCTGACTTTGCTTTTTTGGTGTCAGCGAACAAGTATTCCTGTGCTGCTTCCTTCCTGTTGTCCTCTTTCTGCAAAGAGTTTACTGGGAGAAGATATCAAATATCAGTTGTTGATGAAACAGATGTTGAATTACTCTGGATGCACTGCAAGAGCAGAAGTATTTTTGCTAAAGTCAAGATTCTGATTGGATGAAAGGGAATATTGTAGAAGCCCTCTTGGCTATTGTCTCTTTCTTTCTTTTCTCCCCTAGACTCCTTCCTAGCAGTTAGAATTGTCTTCATCCAACACTGTTTTTTCTCATGGTTTTCTTGCTCAATCACTTAGAATTCCTCCTTTTTATGCTTTGTCCAGCCTCATCCCCAAACTCCTGTTGTTTCTTATACTTTATCCTCAAATAGAACTTGCCTTCATTTCTGCTAATCAGTCCAACTCAAACTTTATACACTTTAACCAACCAAAGCTCTCTGATTACTTTTATTTTCTCCTTTTATATAATGTGTCTTTTTCCTGATAGCTTATGAAAATAATACATGTTTATCATGCATGGCTCACTGCAGCCTCAACCTCCTAGGCTCAAGTGATCTTCCCACTTCAGCCTCCCAAGTAGCTGAAACTACAGTCATGTGCCACCGTGCCTGGCTAATTTTTTTGATTTTCTTTGTAGAGACAGGGTTTCACTTTGTTGCTCAGGCTGGTCTTGAACTCCTGGACTCAAGCAGTCCTCCCATCTCAGCCTCCCAAAGTGTTGGGATTACAGGCTTGAGCCACTGTCCCCGGCCTAAAAAATGATTTTTAACAGTTACATGATTTTCAGTTACGTGGAGGGATTCTTGGCTGATATCCAGCAATGTGGTGGCTATCTGTAGGGTTATGTACACCTTCAGGCTAATTGATTGGTACATCTGTTATGATTGGTTGGTCTATTGGTTTTGATTGGTTGGTATATCCATTCTGACCGATTGGTGTGTTGGTTATAATTATAAATTGGTTGGTGTTTATGTCATATCAGTTGTGAAATACTTTGAATATGACCTGTAATTATACTGTCACAGAGTTAACCTTCAGTCTATTAAAATTCTAAACAAAACAAAAAAAGAAAAAAACAAAACCAACATTAAAAAAAAAAGCTGATTGTTCCTCTGGTTAAATTTCTAAAACTCCAATAGCAGGTTAAAGATTTGATAATTTTAAAGGCTCTGATGCCTACCTATTGCCCTGCAAAAAGATTGGACTCATTTACAGTACACTCCTGCCAGAAGGGCACATGGGTTACACCAAAACCTACAAGCCTGAGTATTATCATTTTAAAAAGATCTTTGCCACTCTGATAATTGAAAAATGGTTTCTTGCTTTAAGTTGTACTTATACAAATAAAATGCTTATATTTTAATGTGAGCATTTGAATATTTTTTAGAATGTCCTTTGCCATTTTTCTCTGCTCACTTTTCTGCTCTACATTTTATCAATGTTTCTAGGCTCCGTCTTGACTCTTTTTGTACATGTGACAGCTGTTCCATCACCGATTGCCAGGATTGGTTTGGCTACTTTCCTTGGCAAGGCTGGTGCCACTTTCTCCCTTTACAAACTCAGTTGCAAGCCTCCTAAAGCAGTTCCTTAGTTGAAAAATATTGTTGTTGTATTTGTGGATAAGTTATATTGTGGAGTATTTATGTTGCTTTCTGCGGGTATGTTGCTGCCTTGGCTATAATCTAAGTTTTCCAAGGGCAAGGCCTTTGTTTTTCAATAAAAACAAAATAATTATTTGGAGCTGACTTGATTATCTATTAATAATAAGTTGTTGCTGTAAATCTCTAAGTACCATCCCCAAACTTAGAGATTTACAACAACTTATTCTTATCTCTCATGTTTTTTTTCTGTGTTAGCTGGGCTGTTCTTGAGGTTTCTCATGGAGTTGTAGTCACATGGTGGGAGAGACTAGAGTCATCTGAAGGCTTGACTGTGCTGGATATCCAAGAGGACTTCTGGTCTCACATGTCTGAGTCCTCATGTAAGATAGCTGGCACAGCTCAAGGCTGTCTGGATCTCTCTTTCTCTCTCACATGTTCTCTTTGTATGGCTGCCTGGGGCTTCTTCACAGCATACAGTCTCAGGATATTTGAACTTACTTGGTGGCTGGCTTTTCTCAAAGCAAGGACTCCAAAGAAAGCACGGTGGAAGCTGTATGCTTCTTATGACCTAGTCTTAGAAATCATGCAGCATCATGTCAGCCACATTCTATTAGTTAGAAGGAAGTCTCAGGGTCTCAAAAGTGAGAGCCCAGATTAAAGAGGAGAGGAGCCCAGATTTACATAGGGGTGTAAGTGCCAGGAAGCATGATTGGAGGGATATCTTTGGAGACAAACTACCACAGGTACCTAACATTGGTTATGTTAGGTCCATATGTAACATTCAATAAATTCTTATTTAGTGAACAGCCCAGAAACAGGAGATAAATTGTTTTCTGAAAAAGCCATTTGACCTTTAATTTCCTTTGCTGGTGGCAGGGGGATGGGAGCGCGCCATGAAAAATGAGACTTTGGCATAGCTGCAATCTAATCTTGGAAGAGCAAGCAACCTTGAAGAAATTCACTTATGGGTGTAAATATATCCTACTGACAACTGGATATTTTATTCCAAGATTCTATTATTTTTAGTTATCTAACCAATATTTTTCTGTTTATGTTCATTCTCTGCCTCTGAATAGGGAGAGAGCTGCACTGATGCCAGTTCTCCAATCACACATGCTATTGTCAAATGTTAGGAAGTAATTTCAGTGCCATTGCTTATCCTGGTCTAGCTCACAACATTT